>NC_000022.11:17276569-17597422 GCF_000001405.40 Homo sapiens
TTGAGACCAGCCTGGCCAACATGGTGAAACCTCATGTCTACTAAAAATACAAAAATTAGGCAGGCATGGTGGCATGCACCTGTAATTCCCACTACTCAGGAGGCTGAGGCAGGAGAATAGCTTGAACCTAGGAGGTGGAGGTTGAAGTGAGCCGAGATGGTGCCACTGCACTCCAGTCTGGGACAGAGTGAGACTCTGTCTCAAAGAAAAAAAAGAAAAGAAAAGAAAAGAAACCGATAGTCAAAACCTTCTGATAATTTTTAAAGATTTGACCATTAATTTTTTTTTTTTTTTTTTGAGACAGAGTCTCACTCCGTTGCCCAGCCTGGAGTGCAGTGCCATGATCTTGGCTCACTGCAACCTCCACCTCCTGGGTTCAAGCGATTCTCCTGCCTTAGCCTCCAGAGTAGCTGGGATTACAGGTATGCACCATCACGCTTGGCTAATTTTTTCTTTTTCTTTTTTTTTTTTTTGAGACAGAATCTCTCTGTGTCACCAGGCTGGAGTGCAGTGGCTCAATCTCGGCTCACTGCAACCTCTGCTTCCTGATTCAAGCAATTCTCCTGCCTCCGCCTCCCCAGTAGCTGGGACTACAGGCACATGCCACCACGCCCAGTTAATTTTTGTATTTTTAGTAGAGACAGGATTTCACCATATTGGCCAGGCTTATCTCAAACTCCCGACCTCAGGTGATCTGCCCGCTTTGGCCTCCCAAAGTGTTGGGATTACAGGCATGAGCCACCGCGCCCGGCCGCTCAGCTAATTTTTGTAGTTTTAGTAGAGACCGGCTTTCACCATGTTGGCGGGGCTGGTCTCAAACTCCTGACCTCTGGTGATCCACCCGCCTCAGCCTCCCAAAATGCTGGGATGATAGGCATGAGCCACCTTGCCTGATCTTGACCGTTAATATTGAACTGGATTTAAAATACCTTTTGTGGCCAGGTACTCATGCCTGTCATCCCAGCACTTTGGGAGGCCAAGGAAGGAGGATTGCTTGAGCCTAGGAGTTCAAGACCACTCTGGACAATAGAGTGAGAACTTGCCTCTACAAAGAAAAAAGAAAAGGCTAGTGTGGTGGAGCAAGCCCATTGTCCCAGCTACTCAGGAGGCTGAAGTGTGAGGATCACCTGAGCCTGGGAGGTTGAGACTGCAGTAAGCCATGATCACCACTGCCTTCCGGCCTAGGCAACAGAGAGAGACCCTGTGTCTAATATATATAGGGGGCTTAGGGAGAAAGAAAGTATTTGCTTTGCTTTCAGGATGTTTGTGTTATATCCCATTCCCAGGCCGAGCACCATCAGGGGAGGGGAGGGACTGGAAGAAAGAAGGCACTGTTTAGAGAATGCTTTTCAGAGAAACCCCAAATGTATTTTTATTTGTTTTAATTATTCAAAACAAGAGTGCACTGTGGGCTGGGCGCGGTGGCTTACGCCTGTAATCCCAGCAATTTGGGAGGCTGAAGCAGGTGGATCACCTGAGGCCAGGAGTTCGAGACCAGCCTGGCCAACATGGTGATTTTATATATATATGTATATATACATATCCTTTGGGAAAATATTAATTTAAAAACCACAATGCACTCTTTTTTTTTTTTTCTTGAGACGGAGTCTCACTCTGTCGCCCAGGCTGGAGTGCAATGGCGTGATCTCAGCTCACTGCAATCTCTGCCTCTTGGGTTCAAGTGATTCTCCTGCCTCAGCCTCCCAAGTAGCTGGAAGTACAGGTGCCCACCACCATGCCAGGCTGATTTTTTTTTTTTTAATTTTTAGTAGAGACAAGGTTTCACTATGTTGGCCAGGCAGGTCTGGAACTCCTAACCTCATGATCGGCCTGCTTGGCTTCCCAAAGTGCTGGGATTACAGGCGTGAGCCACTGCACCCGGCCCGGCCCTTTTTTGTTTTTTTGAGACAGAGTCTCGCTCTGTCACCAAGGCTGGAGTGCAGTGGCGCAATCTTGGCTCACTGTAGCTTCCACCTTCTGGGTTCAAACAATTCTTCTGCCTCAGTAGGAGGCAGGAGATCCTGAGTAGCTGGGATTATAGGCATGTGCCACCACACCCGGCTGATTTCTGTATTTTTAATGGAAATGGGTTTCACCTTGTTGGCCAGGTTGTTCTCAAACCCGTGACCTCAGGTGACCCGCCCGCCTCGGCCTTCCAAAGGGGTGGGATTGCAGGCTTCAGCCACCAAGCCCAGTCTTACTCTGCTTTCTTTCTTTCTTTTTTTTTTTTTTGAGATGGAGTTTTGCTCTCGTTGCCCAGGCTGGAGTGCAATGGCACGATCTTGGCTCACTGCAACCTCCACCTCCTGGGTTCAAGCAATTCTTCTGCCTCAGCCTCCTGAGTAGCTGGGATTACAGGCACGCGCCACCACGCCCGGCTAATTTTGTATTTTTAGTAGAGACAGGAGTTTCTCCATGTTGGTCACGCTGGTCTCGAACTTGCAACCTCAGGTGATCCGCCTGCCTCAGCCTCCTAAAGTGCTGGGATTACAGACGTGACCCACTGCGCCTGGCTTACTCTGCTTTCTTTAGCTCCTTTCCCTTCCCTTGCTCTTTGCACTGGTCCTGAGGAAATTTTCCGGAATGGAGGCTGCTTACGCTGTAGCATTTTTCCTAACTGACCTCCTTTATGGCTTCCCTAGGCCGTCAGTTAAATCATCACTCCATCAGAAGCCAGTTTTCCCAAACAGCTTCTTTTTCTACTGACACTTCTCTTTGAGAACCCTTCTTTTTCTCCTTTTTTCCTTCCTGCAACTCCAGGCCTCTCCCTTTGCCTTCCCTGTCCCTTGTTCTCTCCATCATCCTCCCTGAGGACATCAGCTCTGGGAACCTTCCCTTTCTCTCCATCATCCTCCCTGAGGACATCAGCTCTGGGAACCTTCCCACAAGCGTAGTATTTGTAGTATTCCTGTTTCTAACACTCACTTTACATTCCATGATTCGTTTCTGAGCACATGAAAGTAGCAATCCAAGGCAGTACAGTCTCATTTTAAAGGAAAGATGGGGATGGATTTCTCCAGCAGTCCTTGTCCTCATGGTTGCAAAAAGAATCAGCATTGTTTGGAAAAGAGCAGATTGCCAACCCCCCCACTCCTCCTCTCATACCATCAGGCCACTTCTGGCCGGGCACGGTGGCTCACATCTGTCACATCTGTAATCCTAGCACTTTTGGAAGCTGAAGTGGGAGGACCAATTGAGGCCAGGAGTTTGAGACCAGCCCTGGCAACATGGTGAAACCTTGTCTCTACTAAAAATACAAAAATCAGCTGGTCATGGTGGCGTTTGTCTGTGATCCCAGCTACCAGGGAGGCCGAGGTGGGAGGATAGCTTGAGCCTGGGAGGTTGAGGCTGCAGTGAGCCATAATTGTACTCCACCCTGGGTGACAGAGTGAGACCCTGTATCAAAACAAACAAACAAACAAAAACCCCCACTTCCTTTTTTTTTTTTTTTTTTGAGACAGTCTCGCTCTGTCTCCCAGGCTGGAGTGCAGTGGCATGGAGAAGGACCCAGGAAATGGAAGAAAGAAAAAAAGAAAACTCTTCTTTGTCCGGGTGCAGTGGCTCACGCCTGTAATCCTAGCACTTTGGGAGGCCGAGGCGGGTGGATCACCTGAGGTCAGGAGTTCGAGACCAGCCTGGCCAACATGATGAAACCCTGTCTCTACTAAAAAATACAAAAAATTAGCTGGGCATGGTGGTGGGCACCTGTAATTCCACTTACTCGGGAGGTTGAGGCAGGAGACTCACTTGAACCTGGGAGGCAGAGGTTGCAGTGAGCTGAGATCATGCCACTGCACTCCAGCCTAGGGGACAAAAGGGAAACTCCGTTTCAAAAAAAAAAAAAAATCTTCTTCAATGGAATTTTTTTTTTAAGAAACTTGGTTTCATTTTCCATTAAGGTGAAAGCTAACATCTGGGTTCAATTCAGTTCTTAACCTACACATTCTTGCTTTCTTTCTGTCTTGCCTGCTGTTTTGAGGTGTTTTAGACATTGATGAGTTTAAGTGCAAGGTGCAATGTAGACACATGTTGGCTAAGTTTGGGTTGCTTATTACTAAAAAGATTTTCTTTTCATGTCTTAAAAGTTTTGCTTCTTCTCTACCCTCACTGTTATTTTTACAGCATGTATTCTAGCTCCTAAGCAATCAAAACATGTAGTGCTTCAGAAAGGAGGGAAAGTCATGTGTGGTCTGAATCGTAACACCAGAAGGAGAATTGGCATTTGTGCATCCTTCCCCATGGTGCCAGTCAGAGATGTTGGCTGAAAGCAATACCATCAACTGTGGGTAACTCGAGCAGAGAAGGAATTGACAAAAAGGTAATTTCCAGGAAGCCTGGAGAACCAGGCTTGGACAGAACCAGGCTTGGACAACAGGCTAAACACCAAGGCTGTCCAGGCACACAGGACACCAGCCAGGACCAGTGTCAGGAACAGCCTGGCTGATAAGCCCCTATGGGTACTGCCTCTAGGGACCCTTGCCTGTGTTTCTGTGCATCAGCTTTAACCATCTTTACCTTTGTGGGTCTCCCTCCAGAACTGAAGGCTTGGGAGGAGTTTCCAATGGGTAAACTGGGCTATTTGTCCATGCCCATACTACCTGGGGGAAGAGGGAATGCGTTCAGCCTTTCGTGAAGATGCAGCCCTTCCCCACACCCGGGCGTCCTCACTGAGGAAGACTCACAAATAGGATGAGGGGTTGGGGAGAGGGCAACCAAAGCAATGGCCCAAGTCCACTCTAGCCCACTTTTTCATTCCCAGTACCCACGTGCAACCCTCTTCCAGGAGGAGCTCCCAGAAGCCATGCACCTCCCTGTCCATATTGCCTGTCAGAACTTTTGGTAATTGGGATCAGTTAATCACCCGAGCCAACACTTCAGCTCTCCTCTTTCTGTTTGCCTGATGGCACAAGGAGACAACATACCAGGTGTCTCTATTCACTTCCCTTCACCATGACTCCTTGCGCAAGCACTTCCCGCTTCGGTACTGAAGCCTCAAAACCAGCTGAGAACAGATTCGTGAAGACAGGAAGCAAAAAACTCGAATGGATCATTCAGTATAACTTTATCCACTTCCACCTCCCGCTTCTTAGCTCTGTGTATTCTGGCTATGGGAGGGGCCAAACCTTGTGTTCTTTACTGATTCAGAGCATACACTACATCCTGCCACCTAGCACGCCAATCTCTGAAAGTGTTATCATTGTGTCTTTGGAAACTCATGCCATGTCACTGTTCTATGACTTCTGGATAATGGGGTATGTGACGAGATGATTGAAACCCATGACAGTAAGTCCATTGCCTGCTTCTTCTTTTCTTTTTTTTCTTTTTTTTTTTTTTTTTGATACAGAGTCTCGAAGGCTCTGTTGCCCAGACTGGAGTGCAGTGGTGCGATCTCAACTCATTGCAACCTCCAGCTCCCGGGGTTCACGCCATTCTCCTGCCTCAGCCTTCTGAGTAGCTGAGACTACAGGCACGTGCCACCACGCCCAGCTAATTTTTGTATTTTTAGTAGAGACAGGGTTTTGCCATGTTGGCCAAGCTGGTCTTGAACTCCTGACCTCAGGTGACCTGCCCGCCTTGGCCTCCCAAAGTGCTAGGATTACAGGTGTGAGCCACTGCGCCCGGCCATTGCCTGCTTTTTTCACTGTAAAATAATGTTTGTAAGACACCTTGGTGATCTTTAAGGCACTCTTTTTTTTTTGGTGGGGGGGGACGGGGTCTGCTCTGTCACCCAGAGTAGAGTGCGGTGGCACAATCACGGCTCAATGCAGCCTCCAACTCCTGAACTCAGGTGATCCTTCCACCTCAGCCTCTTGAGTAGCTGGAACTACAAGCACACACCACAGTGCCTGGCTAATTTTCTTTTTTTTTTTTTTTTGTATTTTTTTTTAGTAGAGATGGGGTTTCACCATGTTAGCCAGGATGGTCTTGATCTCCTGACCTCGTGATCCCCCCGCTTCGGCCTCCCAAAGTGCTGGGATTACAGGCGTGAGCCACCACGCCCAGCCCCTAATTTTCAAATTTTTAATAAAGACAGGATCTCACTATGTTGTCCAGGCTGGTCTTGAATTCCTGGCCTGAAGCAATCCTCCTGCCTTGGCTTCCCATAGTGGTGGGATTACAGGTGCAGTTTTGTTTGTTTGTTTTTGAGACAGAGTTTCACCCAGGCTGGAGTGCAGTGGCGCGGATCTCAACTCACTGCAACATCCGCCTCCCAGGTTCAAGCAATTCTCCTGCCTCACCCTCCTGAGTAGCTGGGATTACAGGTGCCCACCACCATGCCTGGCTAATTTTTTTATTTTTAGTAGAGACGGGGTTTCACCATGTTGGCCAGGATGGTCTCAAACTCCTGACCTCGGGTGATCCACCCACCTCGGCCTCCCAAAGTGCTGGGAATACAGGTGTGGGCCAACATGCCCAGCACAGGTGTGGGTTTTTTTTGTTGTTGTTTTGTTGTTTTTGTTTTTGTTTTTTGAGACAGAGTCTCACTCTGGAGCCCAGGCTGGAGTGTAGTGGCACAATCTCGGCTCACTGCAACCTCTGCCTCCTGGGTCCAAGCGATTCTCCTGTCTCAGCCTCCCAAATAGCTGGGATTACAGGCACCCGCCACCATGCCTGGCTAATTTTTTGTATTTTTAGTAGAGTTGAAGTTTCACCATGTTGGCCAGACTGGTCTCAAACTCCTGACCTCAGGTGATCCACCCGCCTTGGCCTCCCAAAATGCTGGGATTACAGGCGTGAGCCACCACACGCAGCCACAGGTGTGTTTTTAGTAGAGACGGTGTTTCGCCATGTTGACCAGACTGGTCTGGAATTCCTGACCTCAAGTGATCCACCTGCCTTGACCTCCCAAAGTGCTGGGATTACATGAGCCACTGCGCCCAGCCCAAGGCATTCATTAATTTCACATTTCATGTGTAGCAGAATCAAAGAAAGCAAACACAAATCCAGGTTAAGTGTCTATTCCAGTGAAGACACAGAGGCATCCCTTTCCTGGTGGGAGGGGTCTAATGTTTAATCTAAGGTGTAATGTAATAAACCTGCCACCAGGTAGCTGGCTAGTCTCCTCAATGACTAGAACCATAACAGAGACTGAGAGCCCGCATGCTGTGAATTAGGCTCACAACAGTGGCGGTCGTCAGGTCCACTTTGATAAGAGAAGGTTTGTGTTGTTGACAAAGCACAAGATCTCTATTCCTGCCACTATGACCTTTTGCACAAGGCCTGGGGTGTTGGAGAAGGAGGCCCCTGACATCCGCAGGGCAGGTCATCTCACCCACTCACCTTTTATGAAGTGGAGGTCTTTTGATAAGAATTCATATGGGACACAAACATACGACCCAGAAACGTCTACCTCCCGTGGTTATTGAGAAGCATCAGTGAGCCAATATATCGGACATGTATGCCACACAATTTGTTTTCAATAACTGACAGTTACTTTTTTTTCTCTGAGAGGGACTCTCGCTCTGTTGCCCAGGCTGGAGTGCAGTGGTGTGATCACGGCTCACTGCAAGCTCCGCCTCCCAGGTTCACACCATTCTCCTGCTTCAGCCTCCCCAGCAGCTGGGACTATAGGCACCTGCCACCACACCTGGCTACTTTTTTTGTATTTTTAGTAAAGACAGGGTTTGACCGTGTTAGCCAGGATGGTCTCGATCTCCCGACCTAGTGATCCACCTGCCTCAGCCTCCCAAAGTGCTGGGATTACAGGCGTGAGCCACCGCGCCCGGCCGACAGTTACTAAATAACACAGTATGTGCAATGTAAAAATATAACCTAAAATCACATTGAAAAAAACACAATAAAGAGAAAATATAAAGTATACCATTTGTACAGTGCATAAAGCAACACTGAAAACAGGCCCTGGCACCCAAAGAAACCGTGTTTATTTTCTAAGAAAGACTTTATTGACTTTGGTCAAATTCAATACTAGTTACTCTAATCAGGAAAAAAAAAGATGGTATTTTTATTTAAAATCAAAGTTACAATGTCAGGTTCAGTTGCTGTAGTTGCCTAGAACTTTATGGATACCTGGTATTTATGGGTCTGCGTACCTTGGATTGAAGTGGATTCATGTGACACAGAAAACCACAGAAGGGAAAGTATTTACAGTTTTTTTTGTAAAGGGAAGTGTTTTGTAAGTTAATGCTTTACTTTTATGTGACTTTCTCCCCCTAATGATCTAAAACTGCATGGTAGGCAACTGTGGTCACCACTTCGCAAAATGGGCCATAAATTTCATTAATAATCCAATTGATATTATGTGGGTCCAGGGTAGGAAAAAAGATTGCTCCAGGTTTTGTGGAGCTACCATCCCATGTGGATGAAACAGCGTATTGCTGACAGAGGCACACGTACGGAGCCACAGGGTAAAACACAGAGCTGCAAGACGCCCATGTTACATGATGGGTGAGCATCTGTAGTTTCCTTCCTCTTAGTCCCTGTGGAAACAGCCTCGATCCAGAAGGAGAAGGACTGCTCTTGGTGCATGGGTGGGTGAAGGCTGAACTCTGAGGAAGCAGCTGAGGCTTGAAGGAGAGGCTCTGCGGCCAGGGCGCACGCAGGAAATGAAGGGACTCAGATAGGATGAAGGGTTTCAGGTGACTTTTCATGTTGAGCACAGAGCTGGTCAAGAAAACTACAAATCAACACTCCTAGTCTCCTAACATTACTGGGAGACCCGCCTCCTTGATATCTCATGAATCGCAGAATTTCCCAGATAAAGTAGCTCATTTAATTATCCTCTTTGCTGCTATCACTAAACCAGTTCATTTTCCCACAGTTTCCTAGTCTTATCACAGATAGTAGAGATGGAAAACCTAAATTACACTCTAATGGATGAAATGTCAGTTCGAAAATCCCATGATTTGCAGCACTTTTCTCTAGCATTACAGAATTTCCCCTACAAAGCTTCACAGCCATCAGACTTTCATCTTAACTCTGGCTTGACACTTCCCTGCAGTTCCCGTTCTACCATTTCGTGTGTGTGTGTGTGTGTGTGTGTGTGTGTGTGCACGCTATTGCAAATGCCTTGGTTGTCCAAGATTTGTATGTTTCACCGCCCCCCCACCATGTATGTTATTATGGTAGCAGTCACATAATTGGCTCCCAATAAACATTTACTTGCAATTTGAGAAAAATTTATGGGTGAAGATATTCAAGTGCTATTCGTTTGTTCTCTGCTTCTGGGTGACCTGCAGGGACATCCCTTGCTCTCAATGTTAATGTTCCCAGTACTTTCTGTTCAGTGTGAAAAGGATCCATGAATTGTCTCCCACACAAACCAGCCATGCAGGGCAAGATTTACTTCTAAGTGTTTCTTGTCGCCTTTGAAGTGTGATTGGAGGAGCTAGGCTTTTGTCTCCCTCCGCTGATGCCTAAACTTTAACCACTGGACATTCATTCACCTGTACTGAGTATGTCATTTTGCCTATGCCCTTTTAAAATGGCCTTTCCATGAGCAGTAAAGAATCCTAAGTGAAGAACCCAGATGACTATGTTGCCCAGGCTGGTCTTGAACTCCTGGGCACAAGCAATCCTCCTGTCTCAGCCTCCCAAAATGCTGAGATTACAGATATGAGCCACTGCGCCCAGCCTAGATTTGCTATATGTATATATATATATATTTTTTTTTTTTTTGAAAGGGAGTCTTGCTCTTGTCTCCAAGGCTGGAGTGCAGTGGTGCAATCCCAGCTCACCGCAACCTCTGCCTCCCAGGTGATTCTCTTGCCTCAGCCTCCCGAGTAGCTGGGATTACAGGTGCCTGCCACCACGCCTGGCTAATTTTTGTATTTTTTTAGTAGAGACTGAAAAATACAACATCACATTGTATTTCATCGCATTGGCCAGGCTGGTCTCAAACTCCTGACTTGAGGTGATCCGCCTGACTTGGCCTCTCAAAATGCTGGGATACAGGCGTGAGCCACCGTGTCCGGCCTAGATTTGCATTTTTGAAAGAGCTCCGTGGTGGCTGCATGGAAGATTCACCATCAAACCGGGGAGTGACTGCGCTGAGCCAGACCCTGTCTGAAGGTGGGTGGGAGCACACTGGAAAAGTCAGAGCTGTGATTAGCGCCAATGTGAAAGGATATAGAGCTGTGAGAAATCACAGAGGCAGAGACTTTGAGGACGGGAATGACCTGGGGAAAGGGCATGATGGATTCACAGGCTCCTGTGCTCACACTGTATCTGCTATGTGTTCTGGGTGCCTGAAGAGCAGATCGCAGGTGGTGGGTAGTGCATGCTCATGGAAGGAGTTGTCTGGGGTTGGTAAAGACTTGGGCGTACTTCACTGCCAAAAAGGGAGCACCGGTGGAGAGAATCTGAACATGGTTTTGAATAATGCACAGGAGCCAGGGAGGCAGAGGAGAGGAAGTGATCCCAGTGAAACAAGTATTAACAAAGTCTTTGGGACTAAAACTCTTTGGAACAAATTTATGCCTGGGTAGGGAAGTTCTGGACTCAGGCTGGCTTCATGGCACAGTCTCTGTGGAGCAGGTACTTGCAAAGTCTCAGGTATGGCCTTCTCAGCAAGTGGCAAGCTGGACACCTAGGTCCTACAAAGCCCTATCTACTTTTAGCCACATTTTACTTTTGCTCACTAGATCCAAAAGAGGCAAGGATGCCCTGTCCCAGGCTTGGGGGACAAAGCTGGCATCCCATGGAAGGAAAGGAGATGAGGAGATGAGAGCTGTGGCTCTCAGTGGGAAACCTCCTCCTGGAAGAGTCCTGGTAGCTCTGACCCCCATGGCCATTTGTTCTCACCTGTCTTCTAGCACCTGTCACACTGCAGTGTCATCCTTTATTTACTTAACAAATAATAATCTGCCTTCCTCAGTGCAGAAGTAGAGCTCGTCATCTCAGCTCCCTCCAGGGCTATGGCCGTGCTCAAGAAAATTGACCAAGATTGGAAATGAATGAGTGCGTGCTGCTTCCCCATCTCCAGACGCCACAGTCTGTCACCTAGCTCAAGGCGCTAACTAATAACTGGGAGCCCACCTGGACTCTTACCTCCCTCCCTGCTGTTTGCCACACTGGGGAGAGACCAGAGCCACCTTTCTAATGCGCAAATCCTTTCACGTCTCTCCCTGCCCCAAACCCTTCAAATGCTCACCATTGTGACTTCCAAATGACTTCCAAACTCTTTATTTATTCTTTATATTCTTTATTTTATTTTATTTCTTGAGACAGGGTCTCACTCTGTTGTTTAGGCTAGAGTGCAGTGGTGTGATCGTGACTTACCGCAGCCTCAACCTCCCAGGCTCAAGCCTCCCAACTAGCTGGGACTGCAGGCATGCGCCACCACAAATTTTTTGTTTTTATTATTTTATTTATTTATTTATCTATTTATTTTGAGACAGGGTCTTGCTCTGTCACCCAAGCTGGAGTCCAGTGGTACGATCACAGCTCACTGCAGCCTCAACCTCCTGGGTTCAAGCCATCCTCTTGCCTGAGCCTCCTGAGTAGGGGAAACTACAGGTGTGTGCCACCACCACACCCAACTAATTTTAAAATTATTTGTAGAGAGAGGGCTTCCCTGTGTTGCTCAGGCTGGTCTCAAACTCCTGGACTCAAGTGATCCTTCTGCCTTGACCTACCAAAGTGCTGGGATAAGAGGCCCCAGATGCTTTAAACTGACAGGTAAGGTCATTTGTGGTCTGGCCAACTCATGCCTGCTCCCCACCTGCAGCTCCAAACTCTGGTCCTCACAAGTGCCTTTAGCTCACCCAATGTTTCCTGCTGTCTTGATTGCCTTTAGTCCTTCACACAACGAGGCAATGTCCTTAGTTTCTCTGATCCCCATTTCACCTAGGTCATTCCTTCAGGTCTCAGCTGACTGTCTTCATCTTGCCGTCGCCAACCTCCCCAGAGAAGGCTGGATGCCCCTGTGCTGGCCCCTGCCTAGGTCATTGCGACGCGCTTTGAGCCCAGCACAACACACAGCACTCAGTGCACTGGTGAACACAGGGGTCCAGAAGAGATGAAAGGACCTAACAGCAGCCAGCAGAAAAGCAGAGGAAGGAGGAGAGAGAAAGCCTGAGAGTCAGAGAGGGGTGAAAGGGTGTGATCCTGAGTAGATGACAGGGCACAGATGGGAGCTATGAGCTGTGTGTGACACACGCTGGGTCCCTGTGGCAGATGCAAGTGATCCATCTGTAGCTTATTCTTAGGAAGTGTGAAATCAGTGTCAGGAGAGAAGGGAGCTGAAGCTAGCAACTGAAGAGTCAGCCTGGGAGAGGACGGAGAGAGAACATGCAGAGGAGAGGGAGCAAGCAGGAGGGGTTACAGGACCAGGACAAGGGCAGCAGTTTTGAGGGCAAGGAGGTCTTGAGCATCCGATAGGGCCATGGACAAGCCATGGATAGACAGAGGGAAACATCAGGGACAGGAGGGAACTCCTGGAGCAAGGCCCCAGATGGGTGGCCCCAGAGGGGCTGGGCGACCGGCACAGGTGGCAAGATTAGCTCTGGAAAGGGGTAAGGACACCCCTTCTTCCTCTGAGATAGCAGGAAGAAAGAACAAAGACACATATCATGGATGTCCCATGGAGGAAAGCTGAGGGAGTTGATACCTGACAGCCTCTACTCTGCGTGAAGTTGAAGTTTAAAGATTCAGGGAGTCTAGTTCCAGCCCTACCAGTAACTGCGTGGCCTCAGGCTATTCATGGAATCAATCTCCCCAGGCCTCAGAGTGCTCTGAAAACAACCTCATCTATCCTGGTAATTCAACAATCTGGTTTATAGACACTTCTTCGTTTCCATAAAAGCACTTAATTTGACACACAACACACATTTCAGCTAAGCTTGCTAAACCTTGAAAGGACTGCCTTCTTGTTGAAGCAGAGTGAGTTTAGGGGACAATAAAAAAAGGCCACCAAAGAAAAGAGGAGGGCACAGCAGTTTGCCAGCTTTGCCATTTGTGTCCTGGTCTTGATATTTCGAGAAGGGTTTATTCCTTGTACATGCTGGGGTTACAGGTTTGCTCTTCGTACATAAACATGTGGCATGTGTATATTGCATGCCTATGCTACATGCAGCATAAACGTTGCTTTGAATAAATGTGGTCATTTATTAATTTGCCCACAAAAATTTATTGAGCACCTGCTCTGTGCAAGGCACTGACAAGTGTTCAGGGGAGACAAAATGGATAAAAAACAGACCTGCACTCTGAAGCAACACTAGGGTATTAGAGTGCAGCTCTTCAGGAGACGTAGAATGTGAACCACACAAGTAATTTTTAAAAAATCAAGTTGTTTGTTAGAGACGGAGTCTCGCTCTGTCGTCCAGGCTGGAGTGCAGTAGCGCAATCATAGCTCACAGCAGCCTCAGACTCCTGGACTCTGTGATCCTCCCCACTCAGACTTCCTAGTAGCTGGGATGCCAGGTCTGCACCACCACACTCAGCTAATTTAAAATTTTGTTTTGTAGAGGCAGAGTCTTGCTATGTTGCCTCGTCTGGTCTCGAACTTCTGGGCTCAAGTGATCCTCCTGCCTCTGTCTCCAAAAGTGCTGACATTACAGCTATGAGCCACCACGCTCAGCTGATTTTTAAAAATTATTAAGATATGTTATGTGTGTTTATTTTTCTCCAGTAAGCCTTCAAAATCCTATGTGCATTTCATACCTACAGCACATCTCAGTTTGGACTAGCCACATTGCAAGTGGCTTGTGACTTCTGTATTGGACAACACAATTTTAAAGTGTGCCTCTAAGCGTCAAGGTTAATGTCAAAGGGACTTCTGGGCAACCTCCACCCCACTGCCTCCCTTGGCTCCAGTCAGAGGCTGGTTGAAGCAGGGCTATGCCCAGGAGGCCAGCGTTTGTTCTGAGCTGCTCGTGACCCAGGAAGGCTGGCCATTCCCCATTCCCCTGATCCTGTGCCCAGCCAGAGGCTGCTGCAACCTCTAGCTGTGCAGCCTCAACAAACGCCCAATCAAACTTCCTCCCCAGGGGAAAGAAGCAAAAAGAGCCATTGCCTTTCTTCTTGGGTCCTGCAAGCTCACACAAAGTGGTAAGGCTGTTTGTTTCTTACCTTGGAAGTTCAGTTACAAATGACTTGCAGCTGTGAGTTGTTTTCAGGCTTTCTCTGGTGCCGTTGCCCCCGACACCCTCCACCCTCACTGTTGCTGTGTTTACTCACAGTAGTGGGCATCTGAGCCTTTTTTTTTTCTTTGTCCGGCATCCTTTCTTTTGGGAAATAGCCCCATCCCATAGACCACATTTCATGTAATTCTGGCGGGGGTGTCAGTCTTAGGGGCCAGCCCCACTCCTACCATGAAGGCGGACACTTGACCCATCCCACACCAATCAGAAGGGCTTTCCCTGGAATTTAAATATGGAGCAGGAGGTCAGGAGTGATGGCTCACACCTGTAGTCCTAGCACTTTGGGAGACCAAGGCGGGAGGAGCACTTGAGCCCAGGAGTTCGAGACCAGCTCTGGGCAACATAGTGAGACCCCGTCTCTACAAAAATACAAAAATTAGCTGGATGTGGTGGCACTCGCCTGCAGTCCCAGCTGTTTGGGAGGCCGAAGTGGGAGGATTGCCTGAGCTCAGGAGGTCAAGGCTGCAGTGAGCCAAAGTCACACCACTGTACTCCAGCCTGTGTGACAAGGGGAGACCCTGTCTCTCAAAAAAAAAAAAACCTTAAAAATGAAAATAAACAAATAAATAAAGATTGAGCAGAAACAGAGGGGCTGAAGACAATGTGGGGCCAGAGCCCAAGATCCATCTAAGTTGAGGCCTGTCCTTTTAAAGCCTGGTCGCTGAACTCTGCCTTTGATTCTACGAGCCCTCCTTCCTGTGCTCCCTCCTTTGCCCTCCTCCTTCCCAGTCAAGTTAGCCAGAATCCATTCCGGTTGCTTATAATAGAAGAATCCTGATAACAAATTTTTTTTTTTTTTGAGACTGACTTTCACTCCTGTTGCCCAGGCTAGAGTGCAATGGCACAATCTCGGCTCACTGCAACCTCCACCTCCCAGGTTCAAGTGATTCTCCTGCCTCAGCCTCCCCAGTAGCTGGGATTACAGGTGTGCACCACCACACCCAGCTACTTTTTGTATTTTTATTAGAGATGGGGTTTCACCATGTTGGCCAGGCTGGTCTCGATCTCCTGACCTCAGATGATCTGCCCGCCTTGGCGTGTCAAAGTGCTGGGATTATAGGTGAGAGCTACCACTACCCGGACCTGGTAACAAAATTTTAATCTCAGTTTTACCAAAGAGAAAAAAGATACAGCAGTTAAATATATATATGAATATGGATATTACATTTATAATTTCTCTCTTTTTTTTAATTTCTCTCTCTCTTTTTTTTTTTTAGACAAGAGTCTCGCTCTGTCGCCCAGGCTGGAATGCAATGGCACGATCTTGGCTCACTACAACCTCCGCCTCCCGGGTTCAAGCAATTCTCCTGCCTCAGCCTCCTGAGTAGCTGGGACTACAGGCGAGCGCCACCACACCCAACTAATTTTTGTACTTTTAGTAGAGACCGGGTTTCACCATGTTGGCCAGAATGGTCTCCATCTCTTGACCTCATGATCCACCCGCCTCGGCCTCCCAAAATGCTGGGATTACAGGCATGAGCCACCGCACCCGCCCTAGTTTTTTTTTTTTTTTTTTGAGACGGAGTCTCACTCTGTCGCCCAGGCTGGAGTGCAGTGGCGCGATCTCGGCTCACTTCAAGCTCCACCTCCCGGGTTCACACCATTCTCCTGCCTCAGCCTCCGAGTAGCTGGGACTACAGGCATTCGCCACCACGCCCAA
This sequence comes from Homo sapiens, assembly GCF_000001405.40. Taxonomy (NCBI): domain Eukaryota; kingdom Metazoa; phylum Chordata; class Mammalia; order Primates; family Hominidae; genus Homo; species Homo sapiens. The sequence goes on from NC_000022.11 coordinate 17,292,329, forward strand.
CTAATTTTTTGTAGTTTTAGTAGAGACGGGGTTTCACCGTGTTAGCCAGGATGTCTCAATCTCCTGACCTGGTGATCCACCTGCCTCGGCCTCCCAAAATGCTGGGATTACAGGCATGAGCCACTGCACCTGGCCTTTTTTTTTTTTTTTTTTTTTTTTTTTTAATAAACAAGGAGCATTAGAAGTTTCCTATGCCTTACCATACTCTGAAGTCAGTATGTGTCCAGGTAAGATCACATCACCCGCCACCTCTGGCTCAGCAGCCAAGTGGCCAGCAGGATCCAGGAAAGAAGCAGGCAAACTTTTCTCTTGGCTGCTAAAGGAGAGGCTGCCCCTCGGGTAACTTCTTATGAGGCCAGCAGTGAGTTGCCCTTTTCCTCCTATTGAGGGACTGGATTTTGAATACTTCAGCACGGTGGCTCATGCTTATAATCCCAGCACTTTGGGAGGCCAAGGCAGGTGGATCGCTTGAGTCCAGGAATGGGAGGCCAGCCTGGGCAATGTGGCAAAACATTGTCTCTGCAATGGGCATGGTGGCCCACACATCTGTAGTCCCACCTACCTGGGTGGCTGAGGCAGGAGGATCGCTTGAGTCAGGGGGGTTGAGGCTGCAGTGAGCCATGATCACACCATTGCACTCCAGCCTGGGAGACAGAGCGAGATCCCATCTCAAAAAAAAAAAAATTGGTCTGTGATATTTTGATCAACTATGTAAAAACCAAAAAATAAGAGAATATTCTTCTGAAGTGTGATAATACATGACATCACAGCAGCTAACAATATAGGGGACAAGATCACTTGGCTTACAATGATTTTCACACAGAAAACCAGAAAGTAGTTTGAATCTTAAGGAAGAGAGCTGCATTTTAAAGTTTAACAGCAAGTTGGGGGTCAGGAGACCTGATTTTTTCCCCAGTTTGTGTGCTGCCACTTTACCAGTAGCGAGTCCTTGGGGATGCTACTAAAACTTTTTTTTTTTAATTATACTTTAAGTTCTAGGATACATGTGCACAACGTGCAGGTTTGTTACATATGTATACATGTGACATGTTGGTTTGATGCACCCATTAACTCGTCATTTACATTACCTATTTCTCCTAATGCTAACCCTCCCCCCAACCCCCCACCCCACAACAGGCCCTGGTGTGTGATGTTCCCCGCCCTGTGTCCAAGTGTTCTCATTGTTCAATTCCCACCTATGAGTGAGAACATGCGGTGTGTGGTTTTCTGTTCTTGTGACAGTTTGCTGAGAATGATGGTTTCCAGCTTTATCCATGTCCCTACAAAGGATATTAACTCATCTTTTTTTACGGCTGCATAGTATTCCGTGGTGTATATGTGCCACATTTTCTTAATCCAGTCTATCATTGGTGGACATTTGGGTTGGTTCCAAGTCTTTGCTATTGTGAATAGTGCCGCAATAAACATACGTGTGCATGTGTCTTTATAGCAGCATGATTTATAATCCTTTGGGTATATACCCAGTAATGGGATGGCTGGATCAAATGGTATTTCTAGTTCTAGATCCTTGAGGAATCGCCACACTGTCTTCCACAATGGTTGAACTAGTTTACAGTCCCACCAACAGTGTAAAAGTGTTCCTATTTCTCCACATCCTCTCCAGCACCTGTTGTTTCCTGACTTTTTAATGATCATCATTCTAACTGGTGTGAGATGGTATCTCACTGTAGTTTTGATTTGCATTTCTCTGATGACCAGTGATGATGAACATTTTTTCATGTGTCTTTTGGCTGCATAAATGTCTTCTTTTGAGAAGTGTCTGTTCATATCCTTCGCCCACTCTTTGATGGGGTTGTTTGATTTTTTTCTTGTAAATTTGTTTAAGTTCTTTGTAGATTCTGGATATTAGCCCTTTGTCAGATGGGTAGATTGTAAAAATTTTCTCCCATTCTGTAAGTTGCCCGTTCACTCTGATGGTAGTTTCTTTTGCTGTGCAGAAGCTCTTTAGTTTAATTAGATCCCATTTGTCTATTTTGGCTTTTGTTGCCATTGCCTTTGGTGTTTTAGTCATGAAGTCCTTGCCCATGCCTGTGTCTTGAATGGTATTGCCTAGGTTTTCTTCTAGGGTTTTTACGGTTTTAGGTCTAACATTAAGTCTTTAATCCATCTTGAATTAATTTTTGTATAAGGTATAAAGAAGGGATCCAGTTTCAGCTTTCTACATGTGGCTGGCCAGTTTTCCCAGCACCATTTGTTAAATAGGGAATCCTTTCCCTATTTCTTTTTTTTGTCAGGTTTGTCAAAGGTCAGATGGTTGTAGATGTGTGGTGTTATTTCTGAGGGATCTTTTCTGTTCCATTGGTCTACATCTCTGTTTTGGTACCAGTACCATGCTGTTTTGGTTACTGTAGCCTTGCAGTATAGTTTGAAGTCAGGTAGCGTGATGCCTCCAGCTTTGTTCTTTTGGCTTAGGATTGTCTTGGCAATGCGGGCTATTTTTTGGTTCCATATGAACTTTAAAGTAGTTTTTTTTCCAGTTCTGTGAAGAAAGTCATTGGTAGCTTGATGGGGATGGCATTGAATGTATAAATTACCTTGGGCAGTATGGCCACTTTCACAATATTGATTCTTCCTATCCATGAGCATGGGATGTTCTTCCATTTGTGTGTGTCCTCTTTTATTTCGTTGAGCAGTGGTTTGTAGTTCTCCTTGAAGAGGTCCTTCACATCCCTTGTAAGTTGGGTTCCTAGGTATTTTAATCTCTTTGTAGCAATTGTGAATGGGAGTTCACTCATGATTTGGCTCTCTGTCTGTTATTGGTGTATAGGAATCCTTGTGATTTTTGCACATTGATTTTGTATCCTGAGACTTTGCTGAAGTTGCTTATCAGCTTAAGGAGATTTGGGGCTGAGACGATGGGGTTTTCTAAATATACAATCATGTCATCTGCAAACAGGGACAATTTGACTTCTTCATTTCCTAATTGAATACCCTTTATTTCTTTCTCTTGCCTGATTGCCTTGGCCATAACTTCCAACACTATGTTGAATAGGAGTGGTGAGAGAGGGCATCCCTGTCTTGTGCCAGTTTTCAAAGGGAATGCTTCCAGTTTTTGCCCATTCAGCATGATATTGGCTGTGGGTTTTTCATAAATAGCTCTTACTATTTTGAGATATGTTCCATCAATACCTAGTTTATTGAGAGTTTTTAGGATGAAGGGCTGTTGAATTTTTTCAAAGGCCTTTTCTGCGTCTATTGAGATAATCATGTGGTTTTTGTCATTGGTTCTGTTTATGTGATGGATTACGTTTATTGATTTGCATATATTGAACCAGCCTTGCATCCCAGGGATGAAGCCGACTTGATCTTGGTGGATAAGCTTTTTGATGTGCTGCTGGATTTGGTTTGCCAATATTTTATTGAGGATTTTCGCATTGATGTTCATCAGGGATATTGGTCTAAAATTCTCTTTCTTTGTTGTGTCTCTGCCAGGTTTTGGTATCAGGATGATGCTGGCCTCATAAAATGAGTTAGGGAGGATTCCCTCTTTTTCTATTGATTGTAATAGTTTCAGAAGGAATGGTACCAGCTCTTCTTTGTACCTCTGGTAGAATTTGGCTGTGAATCCATCTGGTCCTGGACTTTATTTTGGTTGGTAGGCTATGAATTATTGCCTCAATTTCAGAGCCTGTTATTCGTCTATTCAGGGATTCAACCTCTTCCTGGTTTAGTCTTGGGTGGGTATATGTGTCCAGGAATTTATCCATTTCTTCTAAATTTTCTAGTTTATTTGCATAGAGGTGTTTATAGTATTCTCTGATGGTAATTTGTATTCCTGCGGGATTGGTGGTGATATCCCCTTTATCGTTTTTTATTGTGTCTATTTGATTCTTCTCTCTTTTCTTCTTTATTAGTCTTGCTAGTGGTATATCAATTTTGTTGATCTTTTGAAAAAACCAGCTCCTGGATTCATTGATTTTTTTGAAGGGTTTTTTGTGTCTCTATCTCCTTCAGTTCTGCTCTGATCTTAGTTATTTCTTGCCTTCTGCTAGCTTTTGAATTTGTTTGCTCTTGCTTCTCTAGTTCTTTTAATTGTGATGTTAAGGTGTCGATTTTAGATCTTTCCTGCTTTCTCTTGTGGGCACTTAGTGCTATAAATTTCCCTCTACACACTGCTTTAAATGTGTCCCAGAGATTCTGGTACGTTGTGTCTTTGTTCTCATTGGTTTCAAAGAACATCTTTTCTTTTTTTTTTTTTTGAGACAGATTCTTGCTCTGTTGCCCAGGCTGGAGTGCAATGCTGTGATCTTGGCTCACTGAAACCTCCGCCTCCCAAGTTCAAGTGATTCTCCTGCCTCAGCCTCCCGAGTAGCTGGGATTACAGGCACCCACCACTATGCCCGGCTAATTTTTTTTGTATTTTTAGTAGAGACGGGGGTCTCACCATGTTGGCCAGGCTGGTCTTGAACTCCTGACCTCAGGTGATCTGCCCGTCTTAGCCTCCCAAAGTGCTGGGATTACAGGCATGAGCCACCACCCCCAGCCTCAAAGAACATCTTTATTTCTGCCTTCATTTCGTTATTTACCCAGTAGTCATTCAGGAGCAGGTTGTTCAGTTTCCATGTAGTTGTGCAGTTTTGAGTGATTTTCTTAATCCTGAGTTCTAATTTGATTGCACTGTAGTCTGAGAGACAGGTTGTTGTGATTTCTGTCCTTTTACATTTGCTGAGGAGTGCTTTACTTCCAATTATGTGGTCAGTTTTAGAATAAGTGCAATGTGGTGCTGAGAAGAATGTATATTCTGTTGATGTGGAGAGTTCTGTAGATGTCTGTTAGGTCTGCTTGGTGCAGAGCTGAATTCAAGTCCTGGATATCCTTGTTAACCTTCTGTCTTGTTGATCTGTCTAATATTGACAGTGGGGTGTTAAAGTCTCCCATTATTATTGTGTGGGATTCTAAGTCTCTTTGTAGGTCTCTAAGGACTTGCTTTATGAATCTGGGTGCTCCTGTATTAGGTGCATATATATTTAGGATAGTTAGCTCTTCTCATTGAATTGATCCCTTTACCATTGTGTAATGGCCTTCTTTGTCTCTTTTGATCTTTGTTGGTTTAAATTCTGTTTTATCAAAGACTGGGATTGCAACCCCTGCTTTTTTATGTTTTCCATTTGCTTGGTAGATCTTCCTCCATCCCTTTATTTTGGGCCTATGTGTGTCTCTGCGTGTGAGATGGGTCTCCTGAATACAGCATACTGATGAGTTTTGACTCTTTGTCCAATTTGCCAGTCTGTGTCTTTTAATTGGGGCATTTAGCTCATTTACATTTAAGGTTAATATTGTTGTGTGTGAATTTGATCCTGTCATTATGATGTCAGCTGGTTATTTTTCCTGTTAGTTGATACAGTTTCTTCCTAGCATCGATGATCTTTACAATTTGGCATCTTTTTGCAGTGGCTGGTACCAGTCATTCCTTTCCATGTTTAGTGCTTCCTTCAGGAGCTGTTGTAAGGCAGGTCTGGTGGTGACAAATATCAGCATTTGCTTGTCTGTAAAGGATTTTATTTCTCCTTCACTTATGAAGCTTAGTTTGGCTGGATATGAAATTCTGGGTTGAAAATTCTTTTCATTAAGAATGTTGAATATTGGCCCCCACCCTCTTCTGGCTTGTAGAGTTTCTGCTGAGACATCCGCCGTTAGTCTGATGGGCTTCCCTTTGTGGGTAACCTGGCCTTTCTCTCTGGCTGCCTTTAACACTTTTTCCTTCATTTCAACCTTGGTGAATCTGACAATTATGGGTCTTGTGGTTGCTCTTCTCGCGGAGTATCTTTGTGGCATTCTCTGTATTTCCTGAATTTGAATGTTGGCCTGCCTTGCTAGGTTGGCGAAGTTCTCCTGGATAATATCCTGAAGAGCTTTTTCCAACTTGGTTCCATTCTCCCCGTCACTTTCAGGTACACCAATCAAACATAGATTTGGTCTTTTCACGTAGTCCCATATTTCTTGGAGGCTTTGTTCTTTCCTTTTTATTCTTTTTTCTCTAAACTTCTCTTCTCACTTTATTTCATTAATTTGATCTTCAGTCACTGATCCCCTTTCTTCCAGTTGATCGAATCAGCTACTGAAGCTTGTGCATGTGTCACGTAGTACTCGTGCCATGGTTTTCAGCTCCATCATGTCATTTAAGGTCTTCTCTATACTGTTTATTCTAGTTAGCCATTCATCTAATCTTTTTCCAAGGTTTTTAGCTTCCTTGTGATGGGTTCAAACATCCTCCTTTAGCCTGGAGAATTTTATTACCGACCTTCTGAAGCCTACTTCTCTCAACTCATCAAAGTCATTCTCCATCCAGCTTTGTTCCATTGCTGACTAGGAGCTGCGATCCTTTGGAGGAGAAGAGGCGCTCTGGTTTTTAGAATTTTCAGCTTTTCTGCTCTGGTTTCTCCCCATCTTTGTGGTTTTATCTACCTTTGGTCTTTGATGATGGTGACCTAGAGATGAGGTTTCGGTGCGGATGTCCTTTTTGTTGATTTTGATGCTATTCCTTTCTGTTTGTGAGTTTTCCTTCTAACAGTCAGGTCCCTCAGCTGCAGGTCTGTTGGAGTTTTCTGGAGGTGCACTCCAGACCATGTTTGCCAGGGTATTACCAGTGGAGGCTGCAGAACAGCAAATATTGCAGAACAGCAAATATTGCTGCCTGATCCTTCCTCTGTAAGCTTTGTCCCAGAGGGGCACCCGGCTGTATGAGGTGTCAGTTGGCCCCTACTGGGAGGTGTCTCCCAGTTAGGCTACATGAGGGTCAGGGACCCACTTGAAGAGGAAGTCTGTCTGTTCTCAGAGCTCAAACACTGTGCTGGGAGAACCACTACTCTCTTCAGAGCTGTCAGACAGGGATGTTTAAGTCTACAGAGGTTTCTGCTGCTGGCTTTTGTTCAGCTGTGCCCTGCCCCCAGAGGTGGAGTCTACAGAGGCAGGCAGGCCTTGTTGAGCTATGGTGCGCTCCATCCAGTTCGAGCTTCCCCTCTGCTTTGTTTACCTACTCAAGCCTCTGCAAGGGCAGACGCCCTTCCCCCAGCCAGGCTGCCGCCTCCCAGTTTGATCTCAGACTGCTGCGCTAGCAGTGAGCAAAGCTCTGTGGGTGTGGGACCCACTGAGCCAGGCGTAGGATATAATCTCCTGGTGTGCTGTTTGCTAAGACCCTTGGAAAAGGGCAGTGTTAGGGTGGGAGTGTCCCGATTTTCCAGGTACAGTCTGTCATGGCTTCCCTTGGCTAGGAAAGGGAAATCCCCTGATCCCTTGCACTTCCTGGGTGAGGCGATGCCCCACCCTGCTTTGGCTCACCCTCCATGGGCTGCACCCACTGTCCAACCAGTCCCAATGAGATGAATAGGTACCTCAGTTGGAAATGCAGAAATCACCTGTCTTCTGTGTCAATCACGCTGGGAGCTGCAGACTGGAGCTGTTCCTATTCGGCCATCTTGGATCCGGACCATCACCACAAAAACTTTTTTAAGTCCATCAAGGAAACAGAAGTGATCTGTTGTTCCAGATTTGGGATAATAAAAGAACACGGGCTCTGACTTGGATCATGCTGTCCTCCTGTCCCGGCTCTGCTCCCCGCTTGCCTGTCACCCTCCTGGACCTCAGTGTCTTCAGCTGTCAGACAGCAGTAATGTCTCTTAGCATTATAGGCATTATTAGATAAAGGCAACATAAGTAAGACACCTAGCATGGTGTTCATGCTTAACAAATGCTTCTTGCTCTTGTCACCCCACACCTTTTGTTGGTTAAAACATGAAATCCACATATTTTACTTTACCCAACTTGATTTAAAGGTATAAAAGACAAAATGAATGTCGAAAATGAAATCAGGCTGGGTATGGTGGCTCGCACCTGTAATCCCAGCATGTTGGGAGGCCTTGGCGGGAGGATGGCTTGAGGCCAGGAGTTTGAGACCAGCCAGGGCAACAAAGTGAGACCTCATCTTTACAAAAAATAAAAATAAAAATAGCTGGGCATGATGATGCACACCTGTAGTCCCAGCTACTTGAGAGGCTGAGGTGGGAGGGTCGCATGAGCCCAGGAAATTGAGGTTGCACTGAGCCAAGATCGCACCACTGCACTGCAGCCTAGGTGACAGAGCAAGACCCTGTCTGAAACAAAGTGTAGCATTTGACCCTTGCTGTTTTACTAGAGGGACTGTTTGATAATAAAATATTGCTGGGGTGTGGAGTTCCTATGTGATATGGGAAGTTTCTATGTGATATGAGAAGACCCTCCCTAAATCTGGGCAGCCCTGTAAAACCCCTTGTACTCTATAGCTTCATACCAAACACATTTGCATTACAGAGTTCTCTAGCATTTCTACAATAGAAATTTGGAACAGGAATGGTGGAAATAGAAACATAATTAATGGAGGCAGAAAATCCATAAACAATTATGTCTCTGCAATAAACACCAATAGCGAGAAGCAACCAGACCAGTATGGGCTGTGGCTGTATCAAAACGACTGTACTGGGCCAGAGACCTAGCCCTAGTCATCCCTGGTTAAGGTAATTAATCTTCCAGTGAGAAGATAACATTATCTCTACATTGTGTTTATGACTTTATATTATTTTCAATTCGGTTTATTTTCCCAAAACAGTGACTTTGGTTAATTTCATTTAGGGATTCAAGGTATTCTTCTGTTTGCTTTCTAAAGTTCTGAATTAAAAGAACCCTACCAAAATAGTTAAGGAGGGAACTGTGTTTCTCAACAAGACTGAAAGCTCTTGTTTGTTGTAGCGTCAGAGGCCAGGGCTATGCCTGAAGGTAAGCACTCTCTTTGCTGGGAACGATTGATTGGCTTGAAAGAGATGGACCCAGACAGAGGTGTGGCAATGACCTTGTGCCCAGAGCAAGCAGACATGTGACCTGCCCCCTATAGGATAGTGCCTGAGAGGATCTTTCCTTGTTTGGTTGGTTGATTGGTTGTTTTTTTTTTTTGAGAGACAGGGTCTCACTCTGTTGCCCAGGCTGGAGTGCAGTGGTGCAATGACAGCTCACTGCAGCCTCAAACTCCTTGGCTCAAGCCATCTTCCCACCTCAGCCTCCTGAGTAGCTGGGACCACTGGCATTCACCACCTCCCCCAGCTAAGTTATATATTTTTTGTAGAGTTGAGGGCTCTCTATGTTGCCCAGGCTGGCCTGAAACTCCTGGCCTCAAGCGATCATTCTGCCCCATCCTTCCCAAGCACTGTGGTTACAAGCATGAACCACCGTGCCTGGACGTCCCTGTTTGGGGTACTGCTCCTTACAGCAGGAGCTAGCCAGAGCAGGGAAGAAGGGTAGAGAAAAAAACTGGAGAAGAATGAGAAAAGAATATCCAATAGTCCCGTTCCTGGCCCAGCCTAGCCTACCAGATTGTTGCCCAAACAACTCCTCCTCTAAACGCCCCTCCTCCTGGCTCATTCCTGTTCTGCCACCTCTACACCCCAATAAACCTTTCTCTTCCCAGGGTTCTGCTCTTTGTGTAGCAATTTGCTAAACAAGTATTTTGCTAATGGGCAAACAGGAGAATGCTAGACTGGATACTCTTGGGCTCTTGGTAACAATTTCATATTTAGTAGTGGTTTCTGGGTAGACAATGGCTTTGCTCATCAGAATTGTAAAAGGCCTGGAAACCTAGGAATGATCTTTTTTTTTTTTTTTTTGAGATGGAGTCTCATTCTGTCACCCAGGCTGGAGTGCAGTGGCTCAATCTCAGTTCACCGCAAACTTTGCCACCTGGGTTCAAGCAATTCTCCTGCCCCACCCTCCCGAGTAGCTGGGATTACAGGCATGCACCACCGCATCTGGCTAATTTTTATAGTTTTAGTAGAGACAGAGTTTCACCATCTGGGCCGGCTGATCTTGAACTGCTGACCTTGTGATCCACCCACCTTGGGCTCCCAAAGTGCTGGGATTACAGGCATGAGCCACCGCACGTGGCCAGAATGATCATCTTTATCATGAAAATGAGTTATCTGCAGTTCTGCCCAAAGATGACCAGGGTGGTCTTATAGACTGAAGTGGGCTTCTCCAGCCCACAAATTCAAATGTTGAAGCCCTGGCCCTCAATGTGACTGCATTTGGAGAAGGGACTTTTAAGGAGATGATTAAAATGAAACGAAGTCAGCCGGGCGAGGTGGCTCACGCCTATAATCCCAGCACTTTGGGAGGCTGAGGTGGGTGGATCACCTGAGGTCAGGAATTTGAGACCAGCGTGGCCAACATGGGGAAACCCCGTCTCTACTAAAAATACAAAAATTAGCCAGGCATGGTGGTGGGTGCCTGTAATCATAACTACTCGGGAGGCTGAGGCAGAAGAATCACTTGAATCTGGGAGGTGGGAGCTGCAGTGAGCCAAGATCATGTCATTGTACTCCAGCCTAGGGACAAGAGCAAAACTCCATCTCCAAAAAAAAAAAAAAAAAAAAAAAGGATTAAATGAGGTTCTAAGGATGGAGCCCTAATCTAATACAATGGGTGTCTTTGTAAGAAGAAGAGAAGAGACAGCAGGAGTGCACACAAAGAGGAAAGGCCATGTGAGGACACAGCCAGAGGCGGCCTTCTGCACACCAAGGAGAGAGGCCTCAGGAGAAACCAACCTTGCCAACATCTTGATCTTGGACTTCCAGCCTCCAGAACTTTGAGCAAATACATTTCTGTTGTTTAAGCCCCCAGGTCTGTGGTATTTTATGATAGCAGCCCCAGTTGATTAGTACCGATAGTCAATGGCTACAGGGGACGATTCTGTCAGTACACTAAGCTGTGGGCAATGGTGCCACAGAACACATGGGGGCACCTTTAGAGAGCTTCAAATTCATGCCAAGATTTGCAGGGAACATTGTTTTCATGTTGGGACAAATACAGATAATTTATGGGATACAATGCACAATTCACTTGACTTTTTTTTTTTTTTGAGATGGAATTTCCCTCTTATTGCCCAGGCTGGAGTGCAATGGCATGATCTTGGCTCACCACAACCTCTGCCTCCCAGGTTCAAGTGATTCTCCTGCCTCAGCCTCCTGAGTAGCTGTGATTACAGGCATGCGCCACAACGCCCGGCTAATTTTGTATTTTTAGTAGAGATGGGGTTTCTCCATGTTGGTCAGGCTGGTCTTGAACTCCCGGCCTCAGGTGATCCACCCGCCTTGGCCTCCCAAAGTGCTGGGATTAGAGGCGTGAGCCACCACACGCGGCCCGCTTGACTTTTTAAGCAAAGAATAATATGACAAAGACACGCCTCCCGCAGCAGTATTCTCCATCGTATCAGTTTGTGTTCAGCCAGGAAAATCGGCACTCCAGTGCAGCAAGCTGGTTCCACAGGTGCTGAGGGACTTACAGCGCAGGAAGCCGTTGCTACTCCTAGGGTTAGGAAGACACAGTAGGAGATGACGTTGCCGGGCTCCTGAAGACAGGGTTCCGTGTTAGTGGGTGGAGGTGATGAGGGAAGCTGGGACCAGGAAGGGAGATGATGTCCAACTAGAGATGGAACTGTGCAGGAGACACTGCCTTTGCACGACATGGGGCCCTTGCAGGAGGAGGAACACCCTGCCTTCCTCCTGGCTCCCACACTCCAGTCTTCTGCAGTGCCCCCAACAGCCAGAAAGCATGGGAGATGGGGAAATGTGGTTCCCGACCAAACAGGCTGGAGCAGAGCATGGGGTAGTGAGGACAAGTGGGCCCGCAGGCTGCAGGTGGGTACATTGTGGTGAGAATGGAACCACAGGAAGCATCGGCGTAAGGGACTTTCCTAGTGCTGACGCCTACGTTAGGGGTGAAGGGTATTTCATCATGAGTAGATGAGGTTTCTTCTTCAGCCTCTTTCCCTTCGACATGGAGAAACTGTGATCTCTCTGTGTGCTTGGCTCTGACTTCATGATCATGGGAGAGCCTGGCTGCTCTGGCTGTGGCCATTTCCAGCTCCCATCCCCCCTTGTCCCAGCAGGACAGGAGGGTTCTTCGTTACCCAGGAACGGCCGTGATGGTCACCTGTCCTAATCGTCCTCTCGTCCCCAGGCCGCTGCTGACTCCTGGAGGCTCCCGGGCTTCTCTGGCACTCTGTGCCTTTGTGGCTGTTCCCCAGCGGATCCCCCAGCCACTCCTGCCTGCCTACATCCTACTTATGCTTCCAAGCCTGGTAGTGGACATGGCCCTTCCTTCCTCCAGGCTGCTTCGGTGTGCTGTTTTACCCTGTGCTTGGCACTGACTGACATTCATCCTCTTGCTATTGGACTGCGTCACTGACAAGGCTGTTTAATCCACTGACCTGAAAGCCCTGGAGGCAAGGGCTGTGCCTGTCTTTATCCCAGTAGCCTCCACCAGGCCAAGGAGTGCCCTGCACTAGCACACAACCCGAGTCTATCAAAACGAAACTGGGGGCATTTTGTATGATTTTTCAGAGAGTGGGTCATTTTCGCAAATCTTTGTGCCAAGCCAGAAAGACCCAAGTGTAGAATGTACCACGGTTGTAGGTAGTAGCTGCAGCTGTCACAGTATCTTGAACCTAAATACCTTGCCTTTCTTTTTTTTTTTTTTTTTTGAGGTGGGGTGAACAGAGTCTGGCTCTGTCGCCCAGGCTGGAGTGCAGTGCTGCAATCTCGGCTCACTGCAGCCTCTGCCTCCCGGGTTCAAGCGATTCTCATGCCTCAGCCTCCTGGGAAGCTGGGATTACAGGCACGCACCACCACGCCTGGCTAATTTTTGTATTTTTAGTAGAGACAGGTTTCACCATGTCAGTCAGGCTGGTCTCAAGTGATCCACCTGCCTCGGCCTCCCGAAGTGCTGGGATTACAGGTGTGAGCCACCACACCTGACAGCTTAATATTTTTATAATAATTGCATTACTTTTTAAGATTGTTGAGCTCAATTCTAAGGAAAATGCTTACTGAACTACCTGAGAGGCACAGTGCATCATGGTCCCCTGGAGGCCTCTCCAGTCCCCACTGCGGAGCCCAGTGCTCAAGTGCACAGCTCTCAGGCCCTCCCAGCACCACCCTGCCAAGGCAAGCTGGCATGCTACTTTCGGAGAACAGGAGAAGCTAGGGAGAATGAGGCAGCCAGGGAGGCTCCCCTTTTCTCTGACTTAAGTTTCTTCTACCCTGTCAGGTTGATCTCTTCCCTGCTCCTAGCATTTGATCATCCCCTTGGAACCACGTTAATTGTTTTTGGGGCTTTTTGCTTGTTCAGATAACAGTCTGGTATCATCTTCAAAGGCCAAATGTCTGGAAGAGAAACAAGATGACTTCTAATAATTTACCAGCCTCTGCCTCTGATTAAGAATTCTGGACACTTTAACTTATGGGGCCTATTATTAGGAAGCTCAAAGTTTTAATTAGAAAGGGTGAGGAGATTTGTGCATTAAGAAGGGTTTAGCAGTTACTCTTAGTTTTCTCGGGGAACACTCTAGTATGTAAGAAAAGAAAAAATATATAAAAGGGGCTGAGAAGTGTCTGACCCAATGGGTATTTTATTTGTTTGTTTGCATTTTAAGTTGTTGTTGTTGTTGAGACAGAGTCTCACTCTGTCACCCAGGCTGGAGTGTAGTGGCACAGTCTTGGCTCACTGCAACCTCTGACTCCCGGGTTCAAGTGATTCTCGTGCCTCAGCCTCCCAAGGAGCTGGGACTACAGGTGCCCGCCATCACACCCAGCTATTTTTTTTTTTTTTTTGTATTTTTTGGTAGAGATGGAGTTTCGCCATGTTGGCCAGACTGGTCTCAAACTCCTGACCTCAAGTGATCCTCCTGACTAGGCCTCCAAAAGTGCTGGGATTACAGGTGTGAGCCACCGTGCCCAGACCTGAAGTTTTTGTTTGTTGTTTGTTTGTTTTCTAACTTTGAAGTGAAAGAGCAGTTTCTGGGTGACAGTCTCATTACTCTTCATTTTTGTTGTTGTTGTTGTTTTTGAGACAGAGTCTCACTTTGTCGCCCAGGCTGGAGTACAGTGGCGTGATCTCAGCTCACTGCAACCTCTGCCTCCCAGGTTCAAGCGATTCTCCTGCCTCAGCCTCCCGAGTAGCTGGGATTACAGGTGCGTGCCACCATGCCCAGCTAATTTTTGTATTTTTAGTAGCGATGGGGTTTCACCATGCTGGCCAGGCTGATCTCGAACTCCTGACCTCAAGTGATCCACCTGCCTCGGCCTCCCAAAGTGCTGGGATTACAGGCGTGAGCCACTGCACCCGGACCCCATTACTCCCTTTTAAGAGTTCCCTTATCAGCAAAGAAACACCAAACTCACCAAGATAGTGTAGGAAGCTGGTTCGAGATCAATTGTCTTTGTGTGTTGATCTGGAAAATATATCAGAAAACTTAGCTGGAGAATGAAGGTAGTATTTTCTACTGTTTTCTCTGGGATGTTCTAGACACTGGCACTGGAAATAGCTCTGGTGGCCTGAAGAGCCTTGCACAGTAGGGAGCCCTAATGTTTGCTGATAAACAAATCCCACTGTGATTTGTTGGGGGTATATTTCCTGTCTTCTTTACTCTGCAATCAGCCAAAAGTATGCCGGTGATGGTTGTTGACTAGCAGTAGCTAACAGTGCCTAAGACTTTTTCTCTGGAATCAGACTGCCTGGTTTGAATCCTGGGTCCACCAATGAGGAGCTGCAGGACCTGGGGCAAGTTGCTCTTGACGCTTATTTCCTCTCCTGTGTGTTCTAATATTTTGAATAGAGAGTACTAACTAACAGGAAGAGAGCACATCAGACCTTCCCCACCATGGCCCAAGAATGTGGAATCACATTCTTGTCAATATTGTCAGCTCACAGAGTATTATCAGTTATCTATTGCTGTGTAATAGATGATTAGAAATTGAGCTGCAAGGCCAGGCGCAGTGGCTCACTCCTGTAATCCCAACACTTTGGGAGGCCAAGGCCGGCAGAGCACCTGAGGTCGGGAGTTTGAGACCAGCCTGGCCTACATGGTGAAACCCCGTCCCTATTAAAAATACAAAAATTAGCCAAGCGTGGTGGTGGATGCCTGTAATCCCAGCTACTAGCGAGGCTGAGGCAGGAGAATCGCTTGAACCCGGGAGGCGGGGTTTCAGTGAGCCGAGATTGTGCCATTGCACACCAGCCTGGGCGACGAAGCGAGGCTCCGTCTCAAAAAAGAAAGAAAGAAAGAAAGAGAGAGAGAGAGAGGGAGGGAGAGGGAGAGAGAGAGAGAGAAAGAAAGAAAGAAAGAAAGAAAGAAAGAAAGAGAGCTGCTTAAAACAATAATTATTCATTTTTTCTCTGTTTCTAAGGGTCAGGAATCCAGGCATGGCTTAGGTGGCCTCTCCTTAGGTTGCAGTCAAGATGTGAGCTAGAGTTTTAGTCCAGTCTGGGAAGTGAAATCCCATCACTTTCGCCCCTCTCGTCAGTGAGGCGTTTGAGTCCCAGAAAGATGAGGTAATTCGCCTAATCACCGCCATCTTCTCCTTGCAAAGCTGACCTGACCATTTTCTGAAGACTGTTCTGTAGGGTAGGGATAAGGTTTCAGGTGCCTGGGGTGCAGCAGAAGGAAGAAGGCAAGGGGAATGTCGTTTTGCAACTGAGCTGTGGCCCAGAGCTGGGCGAGACAGCGAGCTCTGTCTCAAAAAAAAGAAAACACAGGTATCTTACAGGGGCCGGGGCAGGCAGGTAATATAAATGTTTGAGGGCTGGCTGGGAACTCTCATGAACCAGAGCCCATGTCCCATCCAGTGCAATGGCCGACCACAGCTGCATGTGGGGAAAGGACAGCTACAATGCTGCCAGATTTCTCAATTTTCTCAGAGAGGCAAAAAATCGGGATATTGTGTAAAGTACTCTAATTTTTAAAGTTCAGTAATGGATCAGAAGAACTTTAGCAATAAGTGAGAAGTAGGAAATTAGGGTTCAAATCCTGTCTCTTTTTTTTTTTAATTTTTTATTTTTTTGAGTCAGGGTTTTGGCTGTGTTGCCCAAGCTAGAGAGCAGTGGAGATTGTAGCTCACTGCAGCCTCCAATTCCTGGGCTCAAACAGGAGCCCCACTATATATATAGATATATCTATCTATCTATCTATATCTATCTATCTATCTAGATCTATCTATCTATCTATATATAGATTTTTTTTTCTTTTTGTAGAGACAGGTCTCACCATGTTGCCCAGGTTGGTTTTGAACTCCTAGGCTCAAATGATCTTCCTGCCTTGGCCTCCCAAAATGCTGGGATTACAGGCATGAGTCACCACGCCTGGTCCAAATCCTGGCTCTTATTAGCTGTGTCCTTGGGCAAATTACTTAACTTCTCTGTGCCTAAATTTTCTCATCAGTAAAAGAAGCTATTAATAGTGCCTACTTTATGATGCTATTATGAGGATTAAATGAATTCATAGTAAATGCTACATGTGTTTGTTAAATAAATAATATTTAAAAATTTAAATACAGGCCGAGCACTGTGGCTTACGCCTGTAATCACAGCATTTTGGGAGGCCGAGGTGGGTGGATCACTTGAGGTCATGACTTTGAGACCAGCCTGGCCAACATGGTGAAACTCTATCTCTACTAAAAATACAACAATTAGCTGGGTGTGGTGGCTCATGCCTGTAGTCCCAGCTACTCAAGAGGCTGAGACATGAGAATCGTTTGGACCCGGGAGGTGGAGGTTGCAGTGAGCCGAAATCAAGCCACTGCACTCCAGCCTGGGTGACAGGACAAGATTCTGTCTCAAAAAGGAAAAAAAAAATTTAATGTAGACCAAAGAAAACACATCTGGGCCAATATCCAGCTCTTAGGGCACCAGTGTGCAATCTCTGGCTTAAATACATGTGTATGTATGCATGTATACATGTGCCTGCATGCATGTATATGTATACATGTGTATGTATCCATATGTATGTACATGTGTGTATGCACGCACACATGCACATATATGTACACGTGTATGGACGTGTATGCATATGCGCACACATACATATGTATATGCATGTGTGTGTACTTATTTATGCATGCACATGTATGCATATGTACACACTGGCCTTACTCTTGAACACAAGCCCAAGTTTCAGCTCTTTACAGTCTAAAGTGCAGGCCCTCTCCTGACAAGGCTGTCTGCACTCAGGCATTCCCACGCTCTTCTCCCCTTCACTCTTACTCCTACCTCACCCCTACCTCGTGCCTGCCTCCTACAAAGCCCCACAATACCCATGGCCAGGACAATTGGCTGGACCCCTGCTCAGAGAACCTCACACACCAGTCTCCGTGAACATGAAAAGCTGGTTGGAAAAGGGACAGACTTGGGGACATGTTCTTCTGTTGGACCACGCTTCAAGGATGTGATGGAGCTTGAGGAGACACCTGTGCAGTCACGTTGTCTCAAACCAACAGCTTTGCGGAAACTCAGTAATGACAACCAGACAGTGTGGCAGAGTGGCAGGAGCAGGCAGTTTGGATTCAAGCATGTGTGGGCTCAACTCCAGGCTCTAGTACCTACTGTCTGTGTGGCCTTAGTCACCTCATCCATAAACAGGGGACAACAGAATCTACCTTACTGTGCAGATAATATTTTCATGAAGTGCCTCTAACCTAGAATGGCATCAGTAATCGTGGCAGGGACTATGACAGACCCACTTCTACCATTTCTTCGTCTGAAATCTCTCTTGGATTTTTCCTTCTCATTACTCCCAGGCCTGGCCTCACCTGCGGGTGCCTGAGTCTCTGACCCTGTCTTCTGGCAGCTCTCGTGCCAGAAGTGGGCTCTGCCCCACTCAACACCACTTTCCCCTGTCTTTCAGCTCTGTCCGTGTGCAGCCAGACCAACCTTCCTTGGTCGCCTCTCTATTTCGCCAAGCCACTTTCCGGTTGTCATGCTGCCTCCCAGTTGCCTGTGGCACTGGGCACAATGCCTCTGTGCAGAGCCTCTCACAGCCTTAGCCTCCTCCTCAGCATCCCTGGCTCACACATTCCCATCTGGACAACCTACCTCTTCTCTGCCCTCCAGTTCCTGGGCTCCTGTCTTTTTTTTTTGAGACGGAGTCTCGCTCTGTCCCAGACTAGAATGCAGTGGCACGATCTCGGCTCACTGCAATCTCTGCCTCCCGGGTTCAAGCGATTCTTGTGCCTCAGCCTCTGGAGTAGCTGGGATTACAGGCACCAGCCACCATGCTCAGCTAATTTTTTTGTATTTTTAGTAGAGACGGGGTTTCACTATGTTGGCCAGGATGGTCTCAATCTCTTGACCTCGTGATCCGCGCGCCTCGGCCTCCTAAATGCTGGGATTACAGGTGAGAGCCACCGCCCCCAGCGGCTCCTGCTTATTATCCCTGCTGGCTGCGATGTGGTGCTCCACCCTCCTTGATGGAAATCACATCGCCTGTTAAGGCCGGGGCTGGATCCCACCCACAAAGCCTTCTTTTACCACTGTAGCTCAACTCAGTGCAACCTATGTTTACTGAGCAACTGTTATGTTCAAGGAACTGTGATCAGGAAGGTCATAAAGTGGGACAGCTGGGGGTGGTGGCTCACGCTTGTAATCCCAGCACTTTGGGAGGCTAAGGCAGGTGGATCACCTGAGGTCAGAAGTTCAAGACCAGCCTGGTCAACATGGTAAAACCCTGTCTCTACTAAATATACAAAAATTAGCTGGGTGTGGTGGCGGGCACCTGTAATCCCAGCTACTTGGGAGGCTGAGGCAGGAGAATCGCTTGAACCCGGGAGGCAGAGATTGCAGTGAGCCGAGATCGTGCCATTGTGCTCCAGCCTGGGCAACAAGAGCGAAACTTCGTTCCAAAAAATAAATAAATAAATAAAGTGGGACAGAATACAACTTTTTGTCTTCCTAAGGAAGGAAAAAGATATTTTTAAAGTGGCACTTGAGCTGGGATTAGAAGGAGGGTCAGGATCGGCTGGGCACAGTGGCTCACGGCTGTAATCCCAGCACTTTGGGAGGCCGAGGAGGGCGGATCACCTGAGGTCAGGAGTTTGAGACCAGCCTGACCAACATGGAGAAACCCCGTCTCTACTAAAAATACAAAATTATCTGGGCGTGGTGGTGTATGCCTGTAATCCCAGATACTTCAGGAGGCTGAGGCAGGAGAATCGCTTGAACCCGGGGGCCAGAGGTTGCAGTGAGCCGAGATCGCGCCATTGCACTCCAGCCTGGGCAACATGAGCGAAACTCTGTCTCAAAAAGAAAAAAAAAAGAAAGAGGGTCAGGATTTTTCTAGGGTGAGGTGGGAAAGGTAGAATGAACGCAGTGGGCCTGTTTGGTTGGATTAATCTTCAGCTGCCTTTTACAAGAAATGCACCCCTCCACGTGCCCCTGTGCACAGGGAAGGGCTGCAACCGCCATGTCTGTGCTAAAACTCCGTCCTCCCTGGCCGTAAGTGACACCAGGCACAAGCTGCTACTCAGATCTTCTTACTTGTGAACTTGGAATTGGGGTTCATGGGTGCTGGTTACTCTCTACAACTGAAGATTTAAACTTGGGGATCTAGGACGGGAGCCTCCACCATGTGCCAAGCATGCGGGAGAGGGAGAACGGAACCCAGGCTCACAGTAGAGAAGAGCAGGCCATCGCCCCATGGAGACTGTGAGCGTTTCTCGGGTTCCGATTTGTTCCTTGTGAAGCCTGACCAGATGTTCCACCATTGGTTTTATGAGATTTACTCATATCCTTATAATGAGCTTTCCCCTTTTTTTGTTTTATCCGTGTGTGTTTCAGTTACTAAAAACCAAAAGTGTTTGACCAAGACCCAGAGCCCTAAACATCGGAATTTATGAAAAGAGGGGGCTCTGAGACACCCCTTTAACCACAGTACAGTGTGGGAAGTACCTGGACATCAGGCTGGAAGGGCAGGTTGTAGACACGTTGTGGAGGCCCTTAAATGCCTTCTGTTCAAAGTGGGATAGTATTGCTCACTGTGAACTAAGAACTATGGAGGTTTTGTGCAGATGAGTAATTCACAGCTTCAGAGGTGGGCTGCAGAGAGCGAAGTCTGGATGGGGGGCCTCAGAGCTTGGATTCGAAACCCATCTGGTAAATGGCAGCATTTTCCAGCTACGTTTCTAGACCTTGGTCAAATTACCTAACCTCTTTACCTTAAGTTTCTGCATTTATAAAATGAGAATATTAATGCTTAGCTCATAAGATTTGAGGGGAAATTATATGAAATAATAAGTTGGCAAATACTAAGCACTCAAATGTTAACTATTATTATTTTTATTTCTCTAAATTCCTGTGACACTTACTGCCAACACCTACACATTAGCCTTACTTATTTTTGAATAATTTCAAGTATGCTGATCTTGTCTCACAATCAGACCAAAAGCCTCTATGCAAGGATAATGTCTTAAAGTCCTTTCTATCTCTCCTAATTCCTATATGAGCTTCTGGGCGCAGAGATGAAGAACTCAATATCATTGATTGGTTGTTGGGGAGCAGCAAAACCACTCTGTCTAAGACAGTAGTTAGTGGCTGGTAAACATTTCCACATGTTGTCTCCTCATGAACTGATGGTCTAGGTTTGGGGCTTAGCAGGAAAATGACCACATTACTGAAGCCACTTCCCAAATTACAAGATTTAATGAGCCAAGGAAATTAAATTATTCTCTAAAGTGTACTTTCTGGTTTAGATTATGACTTGATTGCCACATTTGTTACCACCAAATCTTTAGGGAAAATTCCACACAGATACAAATAGACGTGGGCTGAAAACACTATCATTTTATTTATTCATTCACATTTATTAAGAATTTGCTATATGAAAGGTAAGTCTGATGCAAAGATGTACACAGACTATGATCCTTGCCCATAAATAGTTTGCTATCTATCAGGAAAGCAAAACTGCAGAAACAAATAATTACAATACAAGGCAGTATGTGATATGTATAATTAGAATGGCAGAATGTCTAAATGAACTAAAAGGAGTGAGAAGTCAGAAAAGGCCTCCTGAAAGAAGTATGTACACGGGGCTTTGAAGGATGAGCAGGATTCTCGTCTCTAGAGCTGGGTGAAGAGCTGTTTAAACTGGATGATATATGCAAAGACAGAGCTCACAGAAGTCCAGGTGGTTAGAACACGAGGTGTGCAGAGGGGTGCAGGAGGAGGAGACAGTTGAAAACCAGAGCCAGGAAAGCCTTCGACGCTAAGTTATGAGCTTGAATTTTGTATGTTAGACAAGTGGGGGATCTTAAGGTTTCAGAGTAAAAGAACGATGTGGCCTTTACTGTGTGATTTGTGATTAGTCGGTGGTTAAGTGTGGGTAGGAGACGCTAGAAGTCATGGGAATAGCCCAGCCGTGAAGTAAGGAGGCTGAAATTAGGCAGTAGCGTTAGAAATGGAAAGGGTATAGGTAAGCAAAGGATTCATTAACTATTTGGTCATGGAAGCCTGGCGAAGCATTAAATAATGCGTTTTCCTGAGGTGATGCGTTGGGATGTAGCTGTGTTGATTTGGTGCTGTCAGGACCACCCAGTAAACATCTGGCAGGCGCTCAAAATATGGCTGGAGCTCTGAAGGAAAGTCAGAACCAGCAGAGTCCTTCCCGTACAAGCCCTTCCCCTGTGCGCCAGCTGAGTGAGCTGGGGGAGGGTCACGTACCAAAAGAAAGAAAACACCTAGGCCAGGTGCAGTGGCTCACGCCTGTAATCCTAGCACTTTGGGAGGCCGAGGCGGGCAGATCACGACGTCGGGAGTTCAAGACCAGCCTGACCAACATGATGAAACCCTGTCTCTACCAAAAATGCAAAAAATTAGCCTGGCGTAGTGGTGTGCGCCTGTAATCCCAGCTACTCAGGAGGCTGAAGCAGGAGAATCACTTGAACCCAGGTTGCTGGAGGTTGCAGTGAGCTGAGATCGCACCATCGCACTCCAGCTTGGGCAGCAAGAGTGAAACTCTGTCTCAAAAAAAAGAAAAGAAAAGAAAAGAAAAGAAAACACCTAGAGGAAAGAAGATAAGAGGCAAATCTGGGGTCATAGTCAGGGAACTGGAAAACGAGCCAGAGAGAGAATTCAAAGACAAAATAATTATTACTTATGTTGGTGAGTGTTTATGACCCCAGCACTATCCTCCTAAGTGCTGTCCATGCATTCATGCACTTGATCCTCACCACATAATGAGGAAAGTACCATTACCTGAAGAAAGTGAGAGCCAGAGAGCTTAAGCCTCTTGCCCAAGCTCGCGCGGCAAGGCTCAGAGCCCGGAGTCCTACACAGGCAGCATGAGTCCAGCCCATTCTGCCTCTAAAGTCAGGGTAGAGGGCTGAGCCACTGAAATCAAGGGATAAAAAAGTTCAGGGGAGGTTGAAATTGTCAGTGCTGATGACCGGTTACCACGAACTGAGACCTGGAAGGGATATTCTAAAATGAGCCTCTGCTGTCACAAGCGTGTGTGTGTGCACAAGCGCATACTTGGCACTGGACTTCACACCTGCCCGGCTCCCTCTAACAAGGCTGGTCAAGCATGACAAGAAGGTTTTCACTCAAATTATTGTCCTGGAAACAAGATGGCTAAATGCATTCAGCACCAGCCTTCCCTCTCATCATCTTAGATCCATTAAACCCATTCAACCTGCCAGTCAGGTGGTTCGAAAAGAACGTAATCCAAACCCCAACTGTCCGCAGAGCGATCCTTTAATGAAAGGTCAGAGTAATCTAATGAAAGCTTCAGGCTCCTCTTTAGCTGAGGCCAAAGAAAGGTAGGGAAAGGGATATTACAATCAAGGGAATTTAAACAGGGCTTAAGCAGCACTGAGAGTTCTACTTCCCATTTATTAGGATAACAGAACATTATCCTCCAAGAACATTTGAGGGCTATTGAGTTTTAAGGTAAATTTATATCAGGGGCACTGGTATTCAACTGCCTTGGCTTGAATTGTTGATCCTACTCAGTGACCTGAGTACAGAATCAAGGTGTACATTCTTTCTGTTGGGCAGACCCATCTGGCCCTCTAGGAGCTGTTTAAGGATTCTTCCTGGACAATGTGAAGCCCACGGGAGACCTCAGATCTCGATGTCATTGTGACAGTTTTCTGGCCTTCCCATCTCAAGTTCATGCGTGTGATCACGGCTTCTTCAAGTCTGCATGTCTTCATCTCATTTGACCGTGTGTTTTGTTTACACCATCCCCTACAGTCTGGAATGCCGCAGCCTCTCCGTTCTTTTGCACTTCTTCATTTATTCACTTGACAAACATGTACTGAGAGCCCACTATGGGGCAGGTGCTGTTCTAGTGGGAGAGGAGGCACATTAATCAAGTAAATGTGTCATCTGTCAGATAGTGAGGAGGGACATAAAGAGAAATGAATGAGCGTAAGGGGACGGAGAGAGGGCAGAAAGGGGATCCATTTTAGAGAGGGTATCAGTGTATGAGGAGACGTCTGAGCAAAGGCTTATTAAGCCAAGTGAAGGGTTGAGGCATGGGGGCACATGCTCTGAGTAGAGCAGAGAGCTGTCTTGTTCATTTCAGTGTCTCAAAGAATCTGCTGCTGCGTCCTCGAGTAACTTCCCAGTAAACACTGGGGGAATGTGGAGAGGAATGGCTACTTGAAGGTATAATTGATAAAGAAGAAAGGAGCAACTTACTGACCATTACATCAGACTAGCCAAGACACTTGTTGCACAGAGACTTTCTTAGAGCGAACTTTATTACAACCAAATAAATTCAGTATTTTCACATGGGACATGAATGTGCATGGGTTTGGAAAAGGTTTTATTATATTTTAATATGTACTCTTCTTTGTAGTAATAATTATTGTAATGAAATTCTATCTGCTGACTTAACTATTAGTTAGAATTTTGTATACTTTATTATATGTAAATTCCATTACAATGTTCTGCCTTTCTTATAAAAAAATTACTTCAAATAGGCAATACATTTGTAAGATTTAAAAATCAGATTGTATTGGCTGTGTGCAGTGGCCCACTCCTGTAATTCTAGCACTTTAGGAAGCAGAGGTGGGAGGATTGCTTGAGCCCAGAAGTTCAAGACCAGCCTGGACAACATAGTGAGACACTGTCTGAATAAAATTTAAAAATTTAAAAAAAAAGAAGGTATACACAGATGCATGGTGAAAAGTCTTCCTCCCACCCTTTGTCCTTTTGTTGCCCAGATGGCATCTGGAGCCTCAGCACACTTGCACACACAAAACTGCTATTATTAGTACCTTAGATATCCCCCCTGAGTTTCTTCATGCATATACAAACAAGTTGTATTAGGCCATTCTCACACTGCTGTACAGAAATACCTGAGACTGGGTAATTCATAAAGAAAGAGGTTTGACTGGGCGCAGTGGCTCACCCTTCTAAACCCAGCACTTTGGGAAGCCGGGGTGGGTGGATCATTTGAGGTCAGGAGTTCGAGACCAGCCTGGCCAACATGGTGAAACCTCATCTTTACTAAAAATACAAAAATTAGCTGGGCGTGGTGGCTCACGCCTGTAATCCCAGCTACTCGGGAGGCTGAGGCAGGAAAATCGCTTGAGCCTGGGAGATGGAGGTCGCGGTGAGCTGAGATCGCGCCATTGCATTCCAGCCTGGGTGACAGAGTGAGACCCTGTCTCCAAAACTTAAAAAAAAAAAAAAAAAGGTTTAATTGCCTCACGGTTCGGCAGGCTGTGAAGCATGGCAGCCTCCTCTTCTGGGGAGGCCTCAAGGAGCTTTTACTCATGGCGGAAGGCTAAGCGGGGGCAGGCATCTTACATGGCAGGAGCAGGAGCAAGAGAGATGGGGAAGATGCTACACATGTTTAGACAACCAGATCTCAGCTCTCACGAGAACTCACTCACTATCAGGAGAACAGCACCAAGGGGAAATCTGTCCCCACAGACCCAATCACCTCTCACAGGCCCCACCTCCAACATTGGGGATTACAATTCCACATGAGATTTGGGCAGGGACGCAGATCCAAATCATATTAAGTATAAATATACCACCAGGTGCAGTGGCTCACACCTGTAATCTCAGCACTTTGGAAGGCCAAGGCAGGCAGACTGTCTGTGCTCAGGAGTTCGAGACCAGCCTGGGCAACATGGCAAAACCCCTCTCTACTAAAAATACAAAAACTAGCCGGGCATGGTGGCGGGCACCTGTAGTCCCAGATACTTGGGAGGCTGAGGCAGGAGACTCACTTGAACCTGGGAGTCAGAGGTTGCAGTGAGCCCTGTGATTGCACCACTGCACTCCAGCCTGGGCAACAGAGGGAGGCTCTATCTCAAAAAAAAAGTATAAATATATATTCTTATCTTGTCCCCTCTCATACAAATGGTAGCATACTCTTTACAACATTTTGCATTTTGCTTTTAAAATTTTCTTGGGGCCAGATGTGATGGCTCATGCCTGTAATCCCAGCACTTTGGGAGGCTGAGGCAGGCGGATCACCTGAGGTCAGGAGTTCGAGACCAGCCTAGCCAACATGGTGAAACCCCGTCTCTATTAAAAATTAGCTGGGCATGGCGGCACATGCCTGTAATCCCAGCTACTCAGGAGGCTGAGGCAGGAGAATTGCTTGAACTCCGGAGGCGAAGGTTGCGGTAAGCCGAGATTGCACCATTGCACTCCAGCCTGGGCGACAAGAGCAAAACTCTGTCTCAAAAAAAAAAATTTTTTTTTTCTTGGAGGTTTCCTTATCAGAAATAGAGGGTTTCTCATTCCATTTTATGGTTGCATAGCATTCTACTGTATGAAAGACCATGATTTGTTTAAAGTCCCCCTCTGGGCAGAGGTTGCAGTGAGCTGAGATCACGCCACTGCACTCCAGCCTGGGTGACAGAGCAAGCCTCTGTCTCAAAAAAGAAAAAAAGTCTCCTTCTGATGGACTAGTAGGCTTCCAGATTTTTGTTATTCAAACAACACTTTAATAAATAACTTGGGGCCGGGCACGGTGCCTCATGTCTGTAATCCCAGCACTTCGGGAGGCCAAGCTGGGTAGATCACGAGGTCAGGAGTTCGAGCCCACCCTGGCTAACACGGTGAAACTCCGTCTCTACTAAAAATACAAAAAATTAGCCAGGCACGGTGGCGAGCGCCTGTAGTCCCAGCTACTCGGGAGGCTGAGGCAGGAGAATGGCGTGAACCCGGGAGGCAGAGCTTGTAGTGAGCCAAGATGGCGCCACTGCACTCCAGACTGGGCGACAGAGCGAGACTCCGTCTCAAGATAAAATAAAATAGTAAAATAAATAACTTGGAACATTTATCATTTTGCCTGTGTATGAGTCTAGCTGTAGAATAAACTCCTAGAAGAAGAATTGGTAGATCAAAGGGTGTACTCATTAGTGATTTTTTTAGATATCACTAAACAGCCTTCCCTAGAGGTGGTACCATTGAACTGTATTTCTTCTCTCTTTCTCTCATGACATACAATTTATTGAATGTCTAGTGCCTGTTAGGCGCCATGAGAAGTACTGGGGATGTGAATCAAATAAGATTTGGTTTCTGTCTCATTGGAACTCACAGTCTGGTGCAGTGGTTTTCAACTGGGATGATTTTACTCTCCAGGGACATTTGGCAATGTCTACAGACATGTTTTGGAGGGAGGTTGCTAATGGCATACTGGCACGTAGTAGGTAGAAGCCAGGGATCCTGCTAAACATCCTGCAATGCACAGGGAAGTCCTCACTACAAGGAAGTTTAAGCCCAAAATGTCAATAGTGCTGGGTTGACAAGCCCTGGGCTCATGGGAGAGAGAGACGGACACTCAAATGTGCTACGGAAAAGGTGTGTTCTTGAAACTTAGAGGAGTGGCTTCCAAAGGGCTTTTTCAGAAGGTGCAAGTGGATTCTGGAGGGAGGAGGGGGTGCGAGGAGAAAGGGAACAGTAAGTGCAGTGGTGTGGAGGTGTGAACAGCTTGACCCAGGAGGAAGGACAAGTGGTTTTGAATGGCTGGACTACTAAAAGCTATGTGAGTGTGGAGCAAGGCCAGACAGACAGGCATGGATGGTGCTGACTGACAAGGGTCCTAGCTGCTAAGCTAATGAGGGGAGTCAATGAAGGGTTTTAAGCATGGGAGTGAGTTACTTAGATGTGCATTTTAAAGAAACTCACATTGGGTGTGGGAAGGAGGGCAGCCTGGATGGGATCAGATTGGCCACAGGCAGAAGAATTAAGAGGCTGCAGCAATAATCCAGGTTGGATGTGACAAGAGCCATCACCAAGTGAGAGTGGGAACAGAGGGGAGAGGACAGGCTCAGGAGATATAAAAGAAGGTAGATTCAGAAGGTCATGGAGCTAGGAAGGAGATCTATAGGATAATTCCTAGGTTTTGATATGTAAGCAATAGGGTGGACAGAGAGGTCGTTCTGTAAAATAGAGAACACAGGAGAGCAGATGGGGGCAGGGGAGAAATGCAAACAGACATGTTGTGTCTGAGCGCCGTGGGGCCCGTCAGTGAACAGGGGAATGTTCAGACCCCTGGTCAGCAGAAAGCCCAGGGCCAGCATGCACATTCAAGAGGCATCAGCCAGGAGCTGTCCTTTGAGGCCCTGGGTGTGGATAAATAAGCTCATCCAGGCGGAATGAAGAAAGAGGAGTGGGTGGAGAGCCCAGCCCTGAGGAGCAGCTGTTGATTGGCCTCTGTGGAAATTGCAGGAGGAGCTGCTCAGGTCTTTTATGAATTTCTGTTGTCATTTCTTCTAGCTTTGCCAACTGTGGGGCTCTCTATTTTCTTCTGTGCAAACGTCCTAATTCTTGGCAATTTAAAGGGCTATGCCAATCTAACTTATTGTTACTAATACTGTTATTGTTATTATCCCAACTGTTCATCTGGTACCCAAAAGCCTTCCTCAGCTTACAATTTGCCACCTCCTACAATCATCCTTGGTTTTCTGCTTGCTTCATAAGGAACTCTGTGCAAACACCTACCATGGAAATGAAAAGCTCCATTGTAATGGTCTGTTGTTTGATTCCCCAGCTATACTAAAAGCTCCTTAGAGCAAGAATTACAGTTTATTTGTCTTAGAGTCTCCAGCACCTGTAACAGTGCTTAGCACTTAGGTATTTGAAAAATGGCTGTTAATGAATGATTTTGGTTGAGTTCTAAGAGGTTTATTGACAGGCCCACCATCGATCCCAGGGCAGGCTGGTTTATACCTGTTGTCCTGGCAGAGTTATAAACAATATTAATAATAACCCCTTTCAGCTGGGCGTGGTGGCTCATGCCTGCACTTTGGGAGGCTGAGGTGGATGGATCACTTGAGGTCAGGAGTTCAAGACCAACCTGGTCAACATGGTGAAACTTCATCTCTACTAAAAATACAAAAATTAGCCGGGCATGGTGGCACATGCCTGTAATCCCAGCTACCCAGGAGGCTGAGACAGGAGAGTCACTTGAATCCAGGAGGCGGAGGTTGCAGTGAGCCACTGAACTCCAGCTGGGTGACAGAGCAAGACTCTCTCTCAAAATAATAATAATAACAACGTCTTTCAATCACAAATCTGCCCTAGTTTAACGGATAAAGTATATGGTGACCCTATTTGCAGAACACTAAACTGTCATAGCCGGTCCTAACATTAGGTAGGTTTCTCTGTTTACAAAACATTCCTGCCAGAGAAACGGGTGGACACAGCAGGGTGGGTTACCAGCTCAAGTCAACATTAAAAAAGGGAGCCATTCTTCTGAGATAAGATAACAGAGTTATGGGGAAAAGGGAATTCAGGCAGATCCTCACATTAATAAAACTTGTTTTAAAACCAGCAAGCTATCAAATCAGTATAAAAAATAATTGGCACAAATAGAGTGGTTGAGTATTAAGAACCAAGAATCATGGGATTTTTTTTTTTTTTTTGTGAGGTCTTGGATAGGAGAATCAAGAAATTTTTAATTTTTTTTTTTTTTTTTTTTTTTGAGATGGAGTTTCACTCTTGTTTCCCAGGCTGGAGTGCAATGGCACAATCTCGGCTCACTGCAACCTCTACCTCCTGGGTTCAAGCAATTCTCCTGCCTCGGCCTACTGAGTAGCTGGGATTACAGGCACCCACCACAACACCTGGCTAATTTCTGTATTTTTAGTAGAGATGGGGTTTCTCCATGTTGGCCAGGCTGGTCTCGAACTCCTGATCTCAGAGGATCTGCCCGCCTCGGCCTCCCAAAGTGCTGGAAGCCACCACGCCCAGCCGAGAGTCACAGAATTTTATAGGTATAATAATTCATTGTGTGAGTGGGGAAAGTGAGGCATAGAGAAGTTATGTTGAGCTGGCCAATATATAACTTGTGTAAAAATTGGGCCTAGACATAAGAGTAATCAGATCAATGAAAGATAACAGAGAACTAAGAAAGAGACCCACACTGCAATCATTTGATTTTCAACAAACGTAACAAGAAATCTAGTGGGGAAAGGAAAGTTTTTTCAACCAATGGTGCTGGAACAACTAAATACCCATATCGGGGAAAAGACCAGGCATGGAGATGCCTGTAATCCCAGCACTTTAGGAGTCTGAGGCAAGAAGATCACTTGAACCTAGGAGTTCGAGACCAGTCTGGGCAACATAGTGAGACCCTGTCTCTACAAAAATAAAAATAAAAATTAGTTAAGTGTGGTGACGTGTGCCTGTGGTCCCAGATACTCCAGAGGCTGAGGCAGGAGGATCACCTGAGCTCAGGGAGGTCGAAGCTGAAGTGAGCTGTGATTGTGTCACTGCACTTCAATGTAGGCAACAGAATAAGACCTTGTCTCAAAAAAAAAAAAAAAATCAAACTAACATATGGGGAAAAAGTGAACTTTGACCACTTACCCCACACCATTCACAAAGATTAATTTGAGATGGATTAGAGACCTAAAACTATTCAGTTTTAGTACTATGACAGTAAAACATCTGGAGAAAACCATAAGAAAATGTCTTTGTGATTTAAGGGTACGCAAATATATCTTACAGAAGACAGGGAAAGCAATAATTACCAAAAAAAAAAAAAAAAACTTGTCAATTTAGACTTCCACAAAATAAAAAACTTCCACTCATCAAAAGATACTGTTAAGAAAAGAATAAGTGGCCTGGGCGAGGTGGCTCACGCCTGTAACCCCAGCACTTTGGGAGGCCAAAGCAGGTGGATTACCTGAGGTCAGGAGTTTGAGACCAGCCTGACCAACATCGTGAAACCCCATCTCTACCGAAAATACAAAAATTAGCCGGACGTGGTGGTGGGCACCTGTAAATCCCAGCTACTTGGAAGACTGAGGGAGAAGAATTGCTAGAACCCAGCAGGCGGAGGTTTCAGTGAGCCAAGATCGCACCACTGCACTCCAGCCTGAGGGACAGAGTGAGACTCCATCTCAAAAAAAAAAAAAAAAAAAAGAAAAAGAAAAGAAAAAATAAGCAAGCCACAGACTGAAAAAAATTTGCAAAACATATGTCTAATAGATGCCTATTAGTTAGAAAGAGAAAAATAGGAACTTCACAGTGGAGAAATCTGGCAGATTCCACTTTTAACCGTGTGACCTAAATTAACATCACCGGTAATGAGACCAATGGACATCACATACATCATGACAGGCTGCACTGAGAAAGACCCAATCTCCCTTCTGTGGTATTCCGGCAAAAAAAAAAAAAAAAAAAAAAAAAAAAATGCATATCATCAATCTAATCCTGCAGAAAGATCAGACAAACACAAAACGAGGGAAATTCTGCAAAACAGCTGGCCTATTCCCTTCAAAAATATCAAGGTTGTAAAGGACAAAGAAATATGAAAAACTGTTCCAGATTACAGGAGACTAAAGAGACATAATAACTGAATGCAGCATGTGATCCCAGATAGTACCACAGAACACCGATGAGACAGCTGGTGAAATATGAAGAAGGTCAAAGTTTAGATAAATACTATTATATTAATGTTAGTTTCCTGATGTGCATAATTGTATCGCTGTTATGAAGAGAATGTACTTTTTAATTATTTAAAAAATTGTTATTTTATTTCATTTTTTTAGAGACAGGGTCTTGCTATATTGCCCAGGCTGGACTCCTCTACTGAAGCCATCCTCCTGCCTCAGCCCCCTGAGTAGCTGGGGCTACAGATGTACACCACTATGCCCAGCTAGGATACATATTTTAAAAAGGAAATACACTCTGAAGAATTTAGAGGTAAAAGGGCATCCTGTCTGCAATTTACTCTCAAACATATTAAAAAATATGTTTGTATATATGTGCACATATATAAGTATGTACATATTTATAGACAGAATAAATGATAAAGCAAATAGGATAAAACATTAACATTTGGGGAATATGGGTAAAGGGACTATGGGAATTCCTACTACCATTTTGCAATATTTTGGAAGTCTAAAATTACTTCAAAATAAAAAATGTGTAGAGATAGATATCTGACAAAGGACTTGTATTCAGAATATATAAAGAATGCCATACCTATAATTCTATAAAAACAAACAACCCAATTAAAACCTGGATCCTAGCACTTTGGAAGGCTGAGGTGGGAGGATTGCTTGTGCACAGGACTTCAAGACTAGCCTGGGCAACATAGCGAGACCCCTGCCTCTACAAAATATTAAAAAAGTAGTCAGGTGTGGTGGCATGCACCTGTGATCCTGGCTCCTTGGGAGGCTGAGACAGGAGGATCGCTTAAGCCCAGGAGTTCGAGGCTACAGTGAGCTATAATCGTGCCACTGCACTCCAGCCTGGGTGACAGAGCGAGACCCTGTCTCTAAATTAATTAATTAATTTAATTTAATTAAAACAGCTTCTTAAAAAACTGGACAAAATATTTGAAGGGACACTTCACAAAGAAACATACATGAAAGGGAAATAAATACATGAAAAGATGCTAAAAATTAGAAACCATTATTGAAATGCCAATTAAAACCACAATGCAATACCATCAAATGAAAAAGATTGACAGCACTAAATATTAGCAAAGATATGGAGCAACTGGAACTTTCATATATTGTTGGTGGGAGTGTTAACTGCAAAGAAGTTTTTTTTCTTTTTTTTTTTGGCTTTTTTTGAGACAAGATCTGGCTCTCTCATCCAGGTTGGAGTGCAGTGGTGCAGTCTCGGCTCACTGCAACCTCCACCTCTTGGGTTCAAGTGACCTCTCACTTCAGCCTCCCAAGCAGCGGGGACTACAGGTGCGCACCACCATGTCTGGCTAATTTTTGTATTTTTGTAGAGATGGAGTTTTGCCATGTTGCCCAGTCTGGTCTTGAACTCCTGGCCTCATGTGATCTGCCCACTTCAGCCTCCCAAAATGCTAGGATTACAGGTGTGAGCCACTGTGCCCAGCCTGCCAACACAATATTGAAGGAGAAGGAGAAAGTCAGAGGATTGACACTACCCAATTTAGAGACTCACTATAAGGCAGTGTGATATCGCTAAAAGAACAGAAAAACAAGTGTGGTATTGCTAAGAGAACAGAAAAACAGATAGCTGGAACAGAATAGACAGCCCAGACAGACAAGCATAGATACAGTTAATGGATCTTTTTCAAAGGAGCAAAGGCAATACAATGGAGAGAGTTCTTTTCTTTTCTTTTCTTTTTTTTTTTTTTTTGAGACAGAGTCTCACTCTGTCATCCAGGCTGCAGTCTAGTGGCACAGTCACGACTCACTGCAGCCTCAATCTCCTGGGCTCAAGCGATTCTCTCACCTTAGTCTCCCAAGTAGCTGGGACCAGAGGTGCACACCACCAAGCCTGGGTAATTTTTAAAATTTTTTGTAGAGATGGGGTCTCACAAATTGCCCAGGCTGGCCTTGAACCCAGGATGGCTCAAGTGATCCTCCTGCCACATCCTCCCAAAGT
Organism: Homo sapiens; assembly: GCF_000001405.40. Lineage (NCBI taxonomy): Eukaryota > Metazoa > Chordata > Mammalia > Primates > Hominidae > Homo > Homo sapiens. The sequence continues at coordinate 17,324,990 of NC_000022.11, forward strand.
TTTGGGATTACAGGCATGAGCCACTGTGCCCGGCAGTGTTTTCAATAAATGGTTCTGGAACAACTGGACATCCACATGCAAAAAAAATGAATCTAGACACAGACCTTACATCCTATACAAAAAATAAACTCAAAATGGATCGCAGACCTAACTATGCAGAACTATAAAACATAGACGACAACAGACCAGGTGCAGTCGCTCATACCTGTAATCCCAGCACTTTGGGAGGCCGAGGCAGGTGGACATGAGGTCAGGAGTTCGACACTAGCCTGACCAACATGGTGAAACCCTGTCTCTACTAAAAATACAAAAAAATTAGCTGGGCATGATGGCGCACACCTGAAATCCCAGCTACTCAGGAGGCGGAGGCAGGAGAATTGCTTGAACCCAGGAGGCAGAGGTTGCAGTGAGCCGAGATCGCGCCACTGCACTCCAGCCTGGGCAACAGAGCAAGACCCCATTTCAAAACAACAACAAAAAAGAAGAATATAACATAGGAGAAAATCTAGATGACCTTGGGTTTGACAATGACTTTTTAGTCATTGACACCAAAGTCATGGTTCATGAAAGACATAATTGATCATTATGAAGATTTAAAAACTTCATGAAAATTAGAAACTTCTGCTCTGAGAAAGATACCATCAAAAGAATGAGAAGACAAGCCACAGACTGAAAAAAAAAATTTACAAAAGACATGTCTGATAAAGGACTGTTATTCAAAATATGCAAGGAGCTCTTAAAACTCAATGATTAGTAAACAAACAGCCCAATTTAAAAATGGACCAAAGACCGTAACAAATACCTCACCAAAGAAGGTATACAGATGGCTAATTATCATATGACTAGATGCGCTACATCAAATGTCATTAGGGAAATGCAAATTAAACAACAAGAAGATACCACTACACACCTTTTAGGGTGGCCAGAGTCCACTGACAACACCAAATGCTGACAGAATGTGGAGCAGCAAGAACTACTGCTGCTGCGGATACAAAATGGCACCACCATGTTGGAAAACAGTCCGGCAGTCTCCTACAAAAGGAAACATATCTTACCATTTGGGCTGGGCGCGGTGGCTCACGCCTGTAATTCTAACACTTTGGGAGACCGAGGTGGGTTGATTGCGTGAGCTCAGGAGTTCAAGACCACCCTGGGCAACACAGTGAAACCCCATCTTTACTCAAAATACAAAAATGTAGCTGGGTGTGGTGGCGGGTGCCTGTAATCCCAGCTACTCGGGAGGCTGAGGCAGGAGAATCTTTTGAACCCAGGAGGCGGAGGTTGCAGTGAGCTGAGGTCACGCCACTGCACTCCAGCCTGGGCAACAGAGCAAGACTCCATTTGAAAAAAAAAAAGAAATATTATCTTATTATTTGATCCTGTGATCCACCTCCATTGTATTTACCCAAAGGAGCTGAAAACTTCTGTCCATGCAAAAACCTGCACAGGGATGTTTATAGTAGCTTTGCTCATAAATGCCAAAACTTGGAAGCAACCAAGATGTCCTTCAGTAGGGGAATGGAAAAATAAACTGTGGTACATCCACACAACAGAATATTACTCAGTTCTAAAAAGAAAGGAGCTATCAAACCATGAAAAGAAATGGAGGAAATTTAAATATCATTTCAATGGCAAAAACCGCAATAACCTTTGCATCAACCTAATAAGTGAAAAGAACCCAATCTATAAAGACTCCAAACTGTGTGCTTCTGACCATATGATGTACTACAAAAAAGAAAAACTGGGGCTGGGTGCGGCGGCTCATGCCTGTAATCCCAGCACTTTGAGAGGCCAAGGCAGGTGGATCACAAGTTCAGGAGATCGAGACCATCCTGGCTAACATGGTGAAACTCCGTCTCTGCTAAAAATACAAAAAAATAAGCTGAGTGTGGTGGCGGGCGCCTGTACTCCCAGCTACTCGGGAGGCGGAGGCAGGAGAATCACTTGAACCTGGGAGGCAGAGGTTGCAGTGAGCCAAGTCATGCCATTGCACTCCAGCCTGGGTGACAGAACGAGATTCTGTCTCAAAAAAAAAAAAGAAAGAAAGAAAGAAATAAAAACTAAGGCTGGGTGTGGTGGCTCACACCTGTAATCCCAGCACTTTGGGAGGCTGAGGCCAGCGGGTTGCTTGAGCTCAGGAGTTGAAGACCAGCCTGGGCAACATAGTGAGACCCCCATCTCTATAAAAAAAAAAATACAAAAACTAGCCAGGCGTGGTGGCATGCACTGTAGTCCCAGCTAGTCAGGAGGCTGAGGTGGGAGGATCTTGAGCCCAGGAGGCAGAGGCTGCAGTGGGCTGAGATCGCACCACTGCACTCCAGCCTGGGCAGCAGAGTGAGGCCCTGTCACAAAAAATTAAAAATAAAATAAAAATTTTGAGAAAGTGAAACTACTTAATATGATATTATAATGGTGTATAGATGTTATTATACATTTTTCCAAACCCATAGAATGTACGTCAAGAATGAACCCTAACGGAGGCCAGGCATGGTAGCTCACACCTGTAATCCCAGCACTTTGGGAGGCCAAGGTGAGCAGATCACTTGAGGTCAGGAGTTCGAGACCAGCCTGGCCAACATGGTGAAACCCCGTCTCTATTAAAAATAAAAAAATGGGCCCGGTGCAGTGGCCCATGCCTGTAATCCCAGCACTTTGGGAGGCAGAGGCAGGCAGATCACAAGGTCAGGAGTTTGAGACCAGCCTGGCCAATATGGTGAAACCCCGTCTCTACTAAAAATACAAAAATTAGCTGGGCATGGTGGCACGCGCCTGCAGTCCCAGCTACTCGGGAGGCTAAGGCAGAAGAATCGCTTGAACCCGGGAGGTGGAGGTTGCAATGAGCCAAGATCACAGCACTGCACTCCAGCCTGGGCAACAGAGCAAGACTCTGTCTCAAACAAACAAACAAACAAACATATATATACACACACACACACACACACACACACAGACACACACACAAATTAGCCAGGTGTGGTGGCATGTGCTTGTAATCCCATCTACTCACGAGGCTGAGGCAGGAAAATTGCTTGAACCCTGGGTGGCAGAGGTTACAGTGACCTGAGATCATGCCACTGCACTACAGCCTGGGAGACAGAGCGAGACTCTGTCCCCAAAAAAACCAACAAAAAAAGAGTGAACCTTAATGGAAACCATGGACTCTGTGTGGTAGAGATGTGTCAATGCCAGTTAATTGATGGTAACAAATGCACCCCTCTGGTGGAAGAAGTTGATGACATGGGAGGCTACAGATACGCATGCAGGGGATGAGGGTATATAGGAAATCACTGTAGCTTCTGCTCGACTTTGCTGTGAACTTAAAACTGTTTTTAAAAAATAAAGTCTGAAAAATAACTGCTCCAAAAAAATAAAGTCTATTTTAAAAAAATGTAGGAGACATGACAAGATATGCCAGGAAAAATCCATAAAGCCAAGGACAATCGTGAGCAAGCAATACAGATTTGAAAAACAGTCCCTGAACTTAATTAGGGCCCAGGCATACACCAAAGACCTAGGTAGAAAACAGTCTGAGGAAGGACCAGGTTGTCTTTGGGGGAGCTGGCAGAGATACAGTATGCATGGTGTCAACATAGCTGACATATAATTTCAGACTATGTTAAAGATCCATAGAGCCCAGATAAGGGTTTTCTGTTTTGTTTTGCTTTGTTTTGTTTGCTTGTGTTTGTTTTTGTTTTTCTGAGACAGAGTCTCACCCTGTTGCCCAGGCTGGAGTGAAGTGGCGGGATCTCGGCTCACTGCAACCTCCACCTCCTGGGTTCAAGTGATTCTCCTGCCTCAGTCTCCCGAGTAGCTGGGATTACAGGCACAGACCACCACGCCTGGCTAATTTTTGCATTTTTAGTAGAGATGAGGTTTCACCGTTTTGGCCAGGGTGGTCTCAAACTCCTGACCTTGTGATCCACCTGCCTTGGCCTCCCAAAGTGCTGGGATTACAGGCGTGAGCCACCTCGCCCAGCCCAGATAAGGTTTTATGTTTTTATGACTTCTGCCTTCCCTGGACCTCATATCTAATTTCTCTAACAGCTTCATCAACTTCATTCCTGAGTCATACTTACTTAATAAACAAGACAAGATCAACAACAAGAAAGGTGGAAGAACACAGCTGGTTTACCTGCACAGGAGCTAAATACTTTGCAATTCCATTGGCTGAGCGCAACACCAAGAGGCTGACTAAGAGGAGCACACATGCACAACTGCTGCGTGGGAAACAGGATGGCAGCGAGTGGGTTGTCCCTAGAAGCTCAGCTTCAAGCAATGTTCTGTACCACTGAGTAACAGCAGCCGCTGACAAACCTGCTCAGCCTGTTGACACACTTCAGGGTAGCTCTGTCCAGTGCAGGGCAGATGGCTGTGTACAAATAACTAGCAACGTGATGCAAGCTTCCCATGGTGAAATCAAAACACCAAAGGGTAGCCAGTCTTGACTTGTTCCTACCCTTCAAAAAATGGTCAAGCTTCTGGGTGGTACTTAGTGACTCTGAATATGCAGGACACACAGAGATAACCAGAGAGATGCTCACCTAGCAGAGGAGACACCATGATCACCTAATCAGGGAGTACACAGGGACAGCTAATAGACGCAAAACCCTTCCTTCATGTTTGAAATTCAAATTTATAGAAGGCTTAAATATAATACATGCTTATATATAAAAATTTAAAAAGTAGCTGGGCACAGTGGCTCACACCTGTAATCCCAGCCCTTTGGGAGGCCAAGGCGGATGGATCACCTGAGGTCAGGAGTTCGAGACCAGCCTGGCCAACATGGTGAAGCCCCTTCTCTACTAAAAATACAAAAATTAGCCGGGCGTGATGGTAGGCGCCTGTAATCCCAGCTACTCAGGAGGCTGAAGCAGGATAATCTCTTGAACCCGGGAGGCGGAGGTTGCAGTGAGCCAAGATCATGCCATCGCACTCCAGCCTGAGGGACAAGAGGGAGACTTCGTCTCAAAAAGAAAAAAAAAAGAAAAGAAAAGTAGAAAATTGAAAAATAATAAAAGGAGTTGTTATTTTAATTAAGTTTAAAATAATATTTCCCTGTTGTAAAAGTTATTCATGCTTATTGTGAATAATTTGGAAAATAAAAAGTGTAACTCAGGAAGCTAAGGCAGGAGAATCGCTTGCACCAGGGAGGTGGAGGTTGCAGTGAGCCAAGATCGCACCACAGCACTCCAGCCTGGGCGACAGAGTGAGATTCTGTCTCAAAAAAATAAAAAGAAAATAAAAAGTGTAAATACAATACATTTTCAGTGCTGATTATTCTCATCAAAACAATTTATTGCAGTACTTCTTTACATGTTAGCATCTGCTTTTCTCAAATGTTTAAATTCATACAATGATTTAACTCGTACAATTCTTTCAAACTTCTTTTTTTGTATGTATGTAAGGTACCTTAAACAAAAAGACCAGGCATGGTGGCTCATACCTGTAATCCCAGCACAGTTTGAGGCTGGAGAATTGCTTGAGCCCAGGAGTTTGAGACCAGCCTGGGCAGAAGAAAAAGAAAATAAAAAGTGTAAATTGGGAGGCCGAGGCAGGCAGATCACGAGGCCAGGAGATCGAGACCATCCTGGCTAACACGGTGAAACCCCGTCTCTACTAAAAATACAAAAAAATTAGCCGGGCATGGTGGCGGCACCTGTAGTCCCAGCTACTCGGGAGGCTGAGGCAGGAGAATGGCGTGAACCCGGGAGGCGGAGCTTGCAGTGAACGGAGATCCCACCACTGCACTCCAGCCTGGGCGACAGAGCAAGACTCTGTCTCAAAAAAAAAAAAAAAAAAAGTGTAAGTACAATACATTTTCAGTGGTGATTCTTCTCATCAAAACAATTCATTGCAGCACTTCTTTACATGTTAACATCTGTTTTACATAGCAAAACCACCATCTGTATTTATATATATTTTTTAAAATTAGCCAGGCGTGGTGGCTCACGCCTGTAATCCCAGCACTTTGAGATGCTGAGTGGGGAGGATCCCTTGAGCTCAGGAGTTTAAGACCAGCCTGAGCAACATAGTGAGACTCTGTCTCTACAAAAAATAATAATAATAATTTAAAAATTAACCGGGTGTGCTGGCACATGCCTGTAGTCCCAGCTACTCAGGAGCCTGAAGCTGGAGGATCACTGGAGCCCATGAGGTTGAGGTTGGCGTTGTGCCACCACTGCACTCCAGCCTGGGCAACAGAGCAAGATTCTGTTCAAAAAAATAATAATAATAGGCCAGGCACGGTGGCTGACGCCTGTAAGCTCAGCGCTTTTTTTTTTAAATAATGTTTTTCTTTACTTTATTATTTATTTTATTTATTTTTGAGACAGAGTCTCGCTCTGTTGCCCAGGCTGGAGTGCAGTGGTGCGATCTCCGCTCAGTGCAACCTCCGCCTCCAGAAGCCCAGCACTTTGGGAGACCAAGGTGAGTGGATCACTTGAGGTCAAGAGTTCGAGACCAGCCTGGCCAACAGAGTGAAACCCTGTCTCTACTAAAAATACAAAAATTAGCCGGGTGTGGTGGTGCACACCTGTAATCCCAGTTACTCAGGAGGCTGAGGCAAAGAATCACTTGAACTGGGGAGGTGGAAGTTGTAGTGAGTCGAGATTGTGCCACTGCACTCCAGCCTGAGATTGTGCCACTACACTCCAGCCTGGGCAACAGAGTGAGATTCTGTCTCAAAAAAAAAAAAAAAAAATGAAAATAATGAAAACAAAAAAGAGGCAAATTATAAATTAAATAAACTACTAAATAGGCCAGGCGCGGTGGCTCATGCCCGTAATTCCAGCACTTTGGGAGGCCAAGGGGGGCGGATCACCTGAGGTCAGGAGTTGGAGACCTGCCTGGCCAACATGATGAAACCCAGTCTCTACTAAAAATACGAAAATTAGACAGGCGTGGCGGTGCCAGTGAACAGAGATTGCGCCACTGCACTCCAACCTGGGCAACAGAGACTGTCTCAAAAAACAAAAGCAAAATAAACAAACAAACAAAAAGTCAGGAATAGTATATAAAGTGCCAGTATTGTTAGTTTTGGCTTAAACATAATACTAACTTCCAAATTCTCTCTCCTTGGCCAAATAAATCGAATAAAACTGGGCTAAAGGAATGAATTTGCCAATGCAACAAAGATGACTGCCATTCTGCCCTGCCTCCGGAATCATGAAAGGGGTGGTCTTCTGACGTCCTCCCTTTTCACAGGGGCCTGCAGAGGGAGGCAGCCGCTGTTGGGAGGTCACAGAGCGTCTGCAGCTGACTGGGAAGCCCTCCTAACTGGCGCACCTGAGGGGCTGGGTGCCCGTCTGCTGCTTCTGGCTGCCCTGGCCCGCAGTAGTAGTAAGTCTCCTCCTCACCTCCCTCTGGCCCAAGCATGGAAAACACCAAGTCTTCCTGTCTCCTGAACACAGTTGGGACTAGTGGGAATGTACCAAAGGAACTTTCCTAAAAGTTAAGGAAAGCCAAAAAGAAAATAAACAAGAGAAATAAAAATCACAGAGGCGACAGGCGGTGTCCAGGTTTCTGAGCTTACAATAGCTCACTCGCGAGCCACTCCATTTCTAGTTTGCTGGGCCCCTCCCAGGAAACCCTCCTTTACAACGCAGGGCTGTTCCCCACAGAGGCGGGACTGGGTGAGGCCCACTCTCCTGGCTATTCTTAAGAAAGCCATGAGCCACAAAAGGCTGATGGCTCACAGACTTCATCTCCTGAGGCCCCTAAGCATCTTCTTTAACCGCCCATCTCTAGGATGGAGGACGATTTTTCTGCGTAGTGTCTCCTGGAGAGGGTTCCCATGCTCCAATCTCTGTGAGAGGGACAGGAATGAAAAGCGCCCAGGCCTGGCCCTAGTCTGAATCCAGGCTTTGATGCCTCCTGGCTGGGGACTTTTTCTTATTCAACCACTTTATTTTATTTTATTATTTTTGAGACAGGATCTTGCTCTGTCGCCCAGGCTAGAGTGCAGTGGCGCAATCTCAACTCACTGCAAACTCCATCTCCCCAGTTCAAGCGATTCTCCTGCTTCAGCCTCCTGATTAGCTGGGATTACAGGCGCCCGCCACCATGCCCAGCTGTTTTTTGTATTTTTAGTAGAGACAGGGTTTCACCATGTTGGCCAGGCTGGTCTCAAACTCCTGACCTCAAGTGATCTGCCCGCCTCAGCCTCCCAATAAACCACTTTATTATTCACAAACCATATAATTCACCCATATAAAGTATAAAATTACATGGTTTTTAGTATATTCAGAGTTGTGCGACCATCACCACAATCCATTTTATAACATTTTCCTCTTCCCTAGAAAAGAATCCCATACCTGTTAATGTCACTCCCGCTTTCCCCAAACCTCCCCAACTAGTTCCCTCAGCCCCCACCCTAGGGGCTTTTGTCGCTATAGACTTGCCAATGCTGCTGGCTACGTATGCTTGAAAAACCTCTTTGGTTCTCAATTTCTTCCTATGTAAAAAGGAGCTAGCCTTTTTACATAGCCCCTCCCCACATATGCAGCCCATGGGAGACAGTCTATAGAAATTAGTTCTCCGGCCCGGCGCGGTGGCTCACGCCTGTAATCCCAGCACTTTGGGAGCCCGAGACGGGTGGATGACAAGGTCAGGAGTTCGAGACCAGCCTGGCCAAGGTGGTGAAACCCTGTCTCTACTAAAAATACAAAAATTAGCCAGGCATGGTGGCACGCGCCTGTAGTCCCAGCTATTCGGGAGGCTGGGGCGGGAGAATCGCTTGAACCCAGGAGGTGGAGGTTGCAGTGAGCTGAGATCGCACCTTGCACTCCAGCCTCGTCAACAGAGCAAAACTCCATCTAAAAAACAACAAAAAAAAATTAGTTCTCATTATATACCACGTGCTATATACCCACAAAAATTAAAAATTTAAAATGAGTTAAATGAGTTCTCTCCTTCCCTTTCTTCAGGGCCTTAGCACATTGAAGTTTGTTTGTTTTGGTTTTATGTTGTTTTGCCTTAATTACACCTGTGCTGAAGCAGAGGCCTTATCGCCTGTATTTTATAAGAATAGGGCTCATGTCACTGAGGTAAAGACCACCCATTTTCCTCCTCTGGGCCCAGGGTATGAGCAAGCTTCTCAGCACCAAGCGCACCAGCAATAACAATAATCCCTGTCCTTTGTTGAGAGCTCACTGTGTGCTAAGCATTGCTCCAGGTGTTGTGTATGTAATAATTAATAATCCTCACCAACCCCATGAGACAAGTTGCTGCTGCTATTCCTGTTCTATAGATGAGGAACTGGAAGTGTTCAGGATGAAGTAATCGGCCTCAGTTACACAGCTAGCAGGAGCGCTGGAGCCAAGCTACAACCCAGGCAGGCTGCTCAGAGCCTGCACGAATGACTGGGCCACCTGTGCCTCTCCAGTGCAAACCCCCCGTTTGTCATCAACAACAGGAGGGACTGACTGGAGGTCCGCTGCAGCTCAGAGAGTTTGTCCATTTCTGGGCTATTATTGATTAACCTGTTTATATTCCACCGTATCAGAGCCTGGATCACCTGGAAGGCATTCCTTTCTAGACGCAGCAATGCAGGAGAGTCGGCGACTTCAGGGACTGAGGCTGGAGGTCTGCAAAAGCAGATCAGGAGGTGTGGAGGCATTTGTTTCTATATCATATCACCAACCGCAATACCACTCTAGGATGGAAAGACTCTGTATTTCCAAACAGTGTGCAACTGGGCCGAGCTGGTGGCAAAATCTTACCTTAGTGAAATGTCTATGTTACTTATCAAGCTCATTTCCTGGGATCACATCATGCCCTCCACTTACCTTAATATTGAGAACGCTTAATCGTTCATTTCAATTATTTATGTCTCCCCCCGATTCTCTAGGCTATATGGGGACAATGTCTTACCAGATACATCTCTAGATTACTTAAGTTAATACTGGTAGGCCAGATGCTGTGGCTCACACCTGTAATCCCAGCACTTTGGGAGGCCGAGGCGGGCGAATTGCTTGAGCTCAGAAGTTCCAGACCAGCCTGGGGAACATGTGGAAATCCTGTCTCTACTAATATATATATATATATTAGCTGGATGTGGTGGCACACGCCTGTAATCCCAGCTACTTGGAAGGCTGAGGCAGGAGAGTCGCTTGAACCCAGGTCAGGGAGTGGTGGGGGGTGCGGCATCGAGGTTGCAGTGAGCTGAGATCATGCCACTGCACTTCAGCCTGGGTGACAGAGCGAGGCTCTGTCTCAAAAGCAAACAAACAAACAAAAAAGAAAGTTTGCTCCAGGTCAGCTCTGGGTATAAACAGGAGGAACCCAGTTTGAATAGGAAATAATATCTAACAGATACTCTTACTAACTTCTATTCTCTTATTAGTCAACTAATTTTTTTTTTTTTTTGAGACAGGGTCTGATTCTGTCGCCCAGCTTGGAGTGCAGTCGTGCAATCTCGGTTCACTGCAATCTCCTGGGCTTAGCCAGTGATCCTCCCACCTCAGCTTCCTGAGTAGCTGGAACTACAGGCGTCCACCACTGCACCTGGCCAGATGGTCAACTCATTTTTAAGAAGGACTGCTTGTTGGCTGGGCACGGTGGCTCACGCCTGTAATCCCAGCACTTTGGGACGGTGAGGCAGGTGGATAACCTGAGGTCAGGAGTTTGAGACCAGCCTGGTCAACATGGTAAAACCCCGTCTCTACTAAAAAATACAAAAATTAGCTGGGCGTGGCAGGCGACTTAATCCTAGCTACTTGGGAGGCAGAGGCAGGAGAATCGTTTGAACCCGGGAGGCAGAGGTTTCAGTGAACCAAGATTGAGCAATTGCACTCAAACCTGGGGGACAAGAGCGAGACTTCTCTTAAAAAAAAAAAAAAAAAGAAGGACTGCTTGTTAAACTATCAATGTAGTGTCTACATTTTTACTTCATTCTGAAAAATTCAGTATAATTTTCAAATTTTTCCACTAGAAATATTTTGAGAACACATACATACAATTTTTTTTTCATTTGGGTGTGTATACATTCCCAAAATATTATAATTGGAATGTTTCTAGACTTTTTGAGGACCTTTCAGAGCAGCAAAGAACCAAAAAAAAAAAAAAAAAAACTAAACCTGTATCATTTAAATTGATTATATTAACACGGCAACTCAAGGTTTTTCACCTTGAACTGACTATAATCTTATTATTTTACAGCGTCTGTGAATCTTGGTATTAGCATAGAGAAAACATTTTTTTTTGGCAAACACAGAAAGGGGAACCTTTAAAGAGACAGACTTGCTCATTTTACAGATGAGGAAATCGAGATGCAGAAAGTGAACTGATTTGCTTAAGGTCCCTTGCTTAGTAAATAACAAACGGGGAACTAGAACTCAGCATTTCTGATTCCTGATTCTTCAACTTTCCCATAATACCTATTGCCTTGTCAACGGAAAAATGATTTTCCATTTGTATTAAGTAATCTTCTAGTATTTATTTATTTATTTATTTATTTAATTTTTGAGACAGAGTCTCTCTCTGTCACCCAGGCTGGAGTGCAGTGGCACGATGTCAGCTCACTACAACCTCCGCCTCCTGGGTTCAAGTGATTCTCCTGCCTCAGCCTCCTGAGTAGCTGGGATTACAGGCACGTGCCGCCACGCCCAGCTAATTTTTGTATTTTTAGTAGAGACCGGGTTTCACCATGCTGGTTGGGCTGGTCTTGAACTCCTGACCTCAAGCAATCCACCCTCCTCGATCTCCCAAAGTGCTGGGGTTACAGGCATGAGACACGGCACTTGGCCTTTGTTTATTTATTTACTTTTTTTTTTTTTTTAGACAAGGTCTCGCTCTGTTGCTCAGGCTGGAGTGCAGTGGCGTGATCATAGCTCACTGCAGCCTCAATCCCCTGGGCTCAAGCAATTCTCCCACCTTAGCCTCCCTAGTACTGAGGACCACAGGCGTGCATCACTATGCCCAGCTATTTAAAAGAGAAGTTTTGCAGAAACACTGTCCTGCTATGTTGCCCAGAGTGGTTTCAAACTCCTGGGCTCAAACAATCCTCCTGCCTCGGCCTCCCAAAGTGCTGAGATTACAGGTGTGAGCCACTGCGCCTGGTTCTAGTTTACTTTAAATGGTTAACCATCTGAGGCAAGGCATCTGTTTGGAATCACTCCACCTTTACCCCTTCCTTTGGCAGAAATTGTGAATTATCTTCCAACATCCATCCTCTCCTTCTTCCCTCAGAATAGAAGCCCTGATTTTCAACTGGGCATGAAACTGCTCCTTCTCCTTCCTGCTAATGGGACACAAGGGCTGATGGCATCGGGAGGTAGAAACTGTGTGTTGAGGACAGTAGAGCAGTAGGGCTCTTAGAAGGAGCCTGGCCTCTCCCTACTGTAGAGCTCCACACCTGTCTTCCTTGGTGACAACACATTTTATATTGTTTAAGTAACTTCTGCTGTTGTTGTTACCTGTAGCCAAGTTAATCCTGAACCTGGCAAGTGCTCCATCCCTCCACCCTTGTGTCTGTCTCTGCTCACAAAAGCGGTTTCCAGAGCTGTGCCTAGGTCCCATCTCTAGCAGCCTGGTCCCTCTCTGGCAGGGTCTTCTGACTTTCTGTCCTCTCTGCCTTTGTCATAGAATAGTACATTGTTGAGCTGGTTATTCTCTGGCCCTTGCCATCCTTTCTCTGCCTCTTCTCCATCGCAACAGACTGATCCCTGCGGACCTATCACTCGGGCTCCCTTGCCAGTTGGCTGGGTGCTAAGTGGCTGGGCCACTTGGAGGGACCACTGAGGGCTCAGAAGGCAGGAGGAGAGAGGGATGGGATGTTTCCTGCTCTGCTGTGTTCCTGGTATTTAGCTCTGGCACTGACTACATTTCTCCATGACTCTCGCACTGGCAGGGCAGTCCCTTCTCCTATCTCTCTCTAGGGTGCCATTCACACTGTCCGCACCCGTGCCCCTTCAGGCCTGGCGGTGACAGTGGCTCCGTGTCTTTTCTGGTTCCTGAGTGCCTCAACATCCCACATCGGTTCCTTTAACCTTGCTCCCCCGCTGTAAAAAGTCCTTCGTTTCCTTCTCCTCTGAATTCCATCGGAGTGTGCCTCTGTATCTTGCTGGACCGTGACTAATAAAATTACAGCATAGTTGTTCGCTTACTTCTGTCTCCCTTCCTGGAGTATAAGTTTCCTGAAGGTAACAAACATTGCCTTTTTTCTTGTTTGTTTTTTGCAGCTTATAGCATCATAGCATAATTTTTGACCCAGGAGTATTTGTTGAAGAATGAATACATGTAAATTAATAAATGTAATAAACCAACAAGGTATTTCTTTTAGCCAGGTGTGGTGACATGCACCTGTAGTCCCAGCTACTCAGGAGGCTGAGGAGGAAGGATTGCTTGAGCCTGTGAGTTCAAGACCAGCCTGAGCAGCATAGCGGGATCTGATCTCAGAAAAAACAAAAAGATATTTCTCTTCAGTATGCTTTCATAGTTTAGATTTTTATTTTAAGTATTCTATATTCTATTGGGAATCAGTAATACATCTTCCTTTCACCTCTAGCCAATAGCAACCCAGATCACCTTCCTGAAGCAAACACGCCAGCAATGTTATTTTAACAAAATCCATCCATATAAAACCAATGTTTGTCTTCCTCGGATCTTTACATTTGGATATTACTAATTTAATACACCTTTTAATTTCTAAAGAGACTAGAGGAAATCATATGAGTTCCTTGATTAAGTTAAATTTGAAACTTTCAAAATATATTACAAGCTCAGAGAATTTTAAAGTACACTAGAAAATCTTATTAAAAAATAAAAAATGAGTTGGGCACTGTGGCACACACCTGTAGCCCCAGCTACTCAGCAGGCTGACATGAGAGGAACTCTTGAGGGGAGGAGTTCAAGTCTGCAGTGAGCTATGATCACTCCTGTGAATAGCCACTGCTGTCCAACCTGGGCGACATAGAGAGACCCTGTGTCTAAAAACAAAAACTAAATTAACATAGTCTCTAAAAGGTTTTTTGCAGGAGTCCTCGGGAGTGTGGCGTATGGAAGAGCTTCAGTAGTCTTCACTCCTACTGCTGGGGAATCCCATTCTGTCTCCTGGAGGCAAGGGAACCTGGGTCAGAACCTGATCTGTGCACTTTCTCTGGTCTAAAACTTAAGAGGTGTTTTTGACTAATTTCCTCTCCTGCAGCCTGTATGGCCAAGCCAGGTTCCTGATGCTATCTTTGCAGCTTCTCATCACCCATTGCTCTGACTTCCCACTGGTGCAAAGCTAATCTTTGCCCTCGTTACCTCATTCCTGGCTTTTGCAAGTATCCTAAAATAGCTTCACTGCTTTCAATATGTCTCTCTTAAGTCCTTCCTGGCCCTAGGCAACCTACCCGAGCTGTTTCCCAATCTTCTCTAACAAACATTCTCCACTGAAGATAGCCTTGTTTAGTCCACCCCACAAGCACGCCTGCCCAATCCTGTCTCTGCCTGTCCCTTTGTTGATGTTGTTCCCCATATCTGAAATGCCTTTCCGCCTCCTCTCCTGGCTATCCGGACCTCACCTCTAGTTTAAGTTCAGCTCAGATTTCACCTTCACCATGAGCTTTCCTCCAGCAACTCTAAGCCACGGTCATTGCTCCCTTTCGGTATCCCATAGCACTTACTTATAGAATCAAAGAGCTGAGAGGAATCTCAGTAGGCAATAAAATCAAAACATTGATTTTACCAAATGAGATTAAGCGATCTCTCCAAGGTTACCTTGTTCGGGTAGCAAGTGATAAGCAGGAACCAAGCCTCCCAGCTCCTGGTCCAGTGTTCTGTCACAGACATTATGCCATCTCTCCTCCACTTGCCTTTACATTTCACAGGAATTTGCTTGTATTATTTACATTCATTCCATGGAACAAAGTTGTATCTCCCTATACAATAGATTGAAAGCCTCTCTTGAGATTAAAAACCATGCCTTTTACTTCTTTAATATTCTCACAGCAAATATTACACACTCAAAAAATCTTTGTTGTATTAATTTTTTAAAAAATTTTGGAGGCCGGGCACAGTGGTTCACATCTGTAGTCCCAGCACTTTGGGAGTCTGAGGTGGGAGGGTTGCTTGAGCCCAGGAGTTCAAACCCACCCTGGGCAACATAGTGAGATCCCATCTCTAAAATAAATAAATAAATAAACAAAATTAGCTAGGTGTGATGGCACACACCTCTAGTCCCAGCTACTCAGGAGGTAGAAGTGGGAGAATCACTTGAGCCCAAGAGGTTACGGCTTCAGTGAGCTGTGATTGTGCCACTGCACTCCAGCCTGGGCAACAGAGTGAGAGGTTGTCTCAAAAAAAAAAAAAAAAAAAAAAAAAAAGGCCGGGCCTGGTGGCTCACGCCTGTGATCCCAGCACTTTGGGAGGCTGAGGCGGGTGGATCATGAGGTCAGGAGTTCGAGACCAGCCTGACCAACATAGTGAAACCCCGTCTCTACTAAAAATACAAAAATTAGCTGGGCATGGTGGCACGCACCTGTAATCCCAGCTACTCAGGAGGCTGAGGCAGGAGAATCGCTTGAACCTGGGAGGCGGAGGTTGCAGTGAGCTGAGATTGCACCACTGCACTCCAGCCTGGGCTACAGAGCTAGACTCCGTCTCAAAAAAAAAAAAAAAAAGAAAGAAAAAAAGAACAAAAAAGAAAAAAATAAATGAATAAAAATTTTAAAAAATATGTTGAGGCTGGGCACAGCGGCTCATCCTGCATGTGGGAAGATTACTTGAGGCCAGGAGTTCAAAACCAAGCAACATGGTGAGACCTCACCTCTACAAAAGAATGTTAAGACCGGGTGCAGTGGCTCATACCTATAATCCCAGGTCTCTGAGAGGCTGGGAGTCAGGAGGATCTCTTGAGCCCAGGAGTTCAAGACCAGCCTGGGCAACATGGCAAAACCCCATTTCTACATACCAAAAAAATACAAAAATTAGTTTCAGCTACTTAGGGGGCTGAGGTGGGAGAATCACTTGAGCCCAGGAGGTGGAGGCTGCAGTAAGCGGTGTTCATGCCACTGTACTCCAGCCTGGTCAACAAAGTGAGACCTGATTTTTTTTTTTTTTATGGAGTTTTGTTCTTGTCACCCAGGCTGGAGTGCAATGGCACAATCTTGGCTCACTGCAACCTCTGCCTCCCGGATTCAAGCGATTCTTCTGCCTCAGCCCCTGAGTAGCTGGGATTAAAGGTGCCCACCACCAAGCCCGGCTAATTTTTGTGTTTTTAATGGAGACAGGGTTTCACCTGTTGGCCAGCCTGGTCTTGAACACCTGACCTCAGGTGATCTGCCCGCCTCAGCCTCCCAAAGTGCTGGGATTTCAGGCATGAGTCACTGCACCTGGCTGAGAGACCCAGTCTGAAAGAAAGAAAGAAAGAAAGAAAGAAAGAAAGAAAGAAAGAAAGAAAGAAAGAAAGAAAGAAAGAAAGGAAGGAAGGAAGGAAGGAAGGAAGGAAGGAAGGAAGGAAGGAAGGAAGGATTTTAAAAATTATCCACGTGTGGTGATGACCGCCAGTAGTCCCAGCTAATTGGGAGGCTGAAACACAAGGATCCCTTAAGCTCAGGAATTAGAAGCTACAGTAAGCCACTGCACTCCACCCTGGACAATGTGACAGAGCAAGGCCCTATCTCTAAAATAAGTTTAATTTAATATTTAATTTAATTTGAAAATTAAAAAGTGTTGAGTCTTTTGACAGTTCTACAGTCTTGCACATGCTGAGCACATGGTAAATACTTCAGAAATGCTAGTTGCTTGATTAGCTGAGTGAAAGACAAACATACAGATGTTCCTTTCTGCATTCAGCTAAAGGCTATCATGCATCAGGCACCATTTAGGTGCGAGAAGTGCACAGATTATTACATGAGATTGCGCTCTGGTAGGAGGTGACACACAAAGTTTTAGGGAAGGTGAATATGCACACAGCACTGCCATGCAATAAAATAACTCTTCCAGAGGAGTACTGGGAGGGTGGCCCAAAGAGGTCTCCTTTGAGATGAATCTTTTTTTTTTTTTTGAGGTGGAGTCTTGCTCTGTCGCCAGGCTGGAGTTCAGTGGCTGGATCTCGGCTCACTGCAAACTTCGCCTCCTGGGTTCAAGCAATTCCCCTGCCTCAGCCTCCCCAGTAGCTGGGACTACAGGTGCGTGCCACCATGCCCAGCTAATTTTTTGTATTTTTACTAGAGACGGGGTTTCACCATGTTGGCCAGGATGGTCTCGATCTCCTGACCTCGTGATCCACCCACCTCAGCCTCCCAAAGTGCTGGGATTACAGGCGTGAGCCACCGGGCCCAGCCTGAGATGCATCTTGAAGGACAAGTACAATTTCCTCAAGTATGTGTAGGAAAAGAACTTCCGGAATCAGGGTCAGCAGACACACGGAGGTGGGAAAGTGTGTATTGTTCAGAGGAGAGTAGGGGCCTGGCCTATGTTTGTGTTGGAGAAGTTGAGGTGGAGGCAGGTAGGTGGGATCGAGTGCAGAGAATCTTGCATGCAGAGCTAAGGAGTTTGGAACTTATCCTGTAAGCAATGCAGAGACAGGAAATGTTTTCAAGCAGAGAAGTGACAGGATCAGATACTTGGAAACAGTGTGCAGGGTGGCCTGGAAAGAAGAGCCTGCAGGCAAGGACACCAGTCAGGACACAATTCCAGGCTTCCACCGAGGGAGGACAAGCAGCAGGCAGGGGCCAGGAGGGGCGGAGCAGAGACCATGGAGTGTAGATTTTTGTCTTCCAAATATAAAAGTTATACATGAGAGACATGTATAACGACGTACAACAGTGTTAATAGTAAGTACAACAATGTTAATGGTAACATATGTACGTAATGGTATTACATGCAGTTTTTCTTGTTTTGAATTTTTTATGTTTTTTTTTTTTTTTTTTTAGTTGTTGAGACAGGGTCTCCCTCTCTGTCTCTCAGGCTGGGGTGCAGTGGCTCAATCACAGCTCACTGCAATCTCAACTTCTTAGGCTCAAGTGATCCTCCTGCCTCAGCCTCCCGAGTCTCTAGGACCACAGGTGTTTGCCACTACACCCAGCTAATTTTTGTATGTTATGTAGTGATGGGGTTTCGCCATTTTGCCCAGGCTGGTCTCAAATTCCTGGCCTCATGTGATGCTCCCACATCGGCCTCCCAAAGTGCTGGGATTACAGGGATGAACCACTGTACCCGCTATGGCCTTAAAATCCGTTTTTTTTTTTTTTGAGACGGAGTCTCACTCTGTCACCACATAGGCTGGAGTGCTGTGGCACAATCTTGGCTCACAGCAAACTCTGCCGCCCAGGTTCAAATGATTCTCCTGCCGCAGCCTCCCTAGTAGCTGGGATTACAGGTGCTTAATTATTGTACTTTTAGTAGAGATGGGGTTTCACCGTCTTGGCCAGGCTGGTCTTGAACTCCTGATCTTGTGATCCACCCGCCTTGGCCTCCCAAAGTGCTGGGATTACAGGCGTGAGCCACCACGCCCGGCATTTTTTTTTTTTTTTTGAGACAGAGTCTAGCTCTGTTGCCCAGGCTGGAGTGCAGTGTTGAGATCTCAGCTCACTACAACTTCCACCTCCCAGGTTCAAGTGATTCTTCTGCCTCAGCCTCCCAAGTAGCTGGGATTACAGGTGCATTCAACCATGCCTAGCTAATTTTTGTATTTTTAGTAGAGACAGAGTTTCACCATGTTGGCCAGGCTGGTCTCAAACTCCTGACCTCAAGTGATCCACCCACCTTGGTCTCCCAAAGCGTTGAGATTCCAGGCGTGAGCCACCATGCCTGGCCATGGCCTTAAAATTATTTTGTAGAGGTGAGGTCTCCCTGTGATACCTGGTTTTGACCTCCTGGCCTCAAGCAATTCTCCCACCTTGGCCCTTGGCCTCCCCAAGTGCTGGGTATTACAGGCATGAGCCATTGTGCCCAGCCTCAACAATTTTTTTTATTCATTTCTTTTTTTATTTTTATTTTTCTTACTTCCTTTTTTTTTTTTTTTTGAGACAGCGCCTCACTTCACTGCCCAGGCTGGAGTGCAGTGGTGCAACTGCAGCTCACTGGAGCTTCGACCTCTTGGGCTCAAGCAATTTTCCCACCTTCACCTCCTGAGTAGCTGGGACTACAGGTGCACACCACCACACCTAGCTAATTTTTATTTTATTTTATTTTTTCAGACAGAGTCTCACTCTGTCACCAGGGCTGGAGTGCAGAGGTGCAATCTTGGGTCACTGCAACCACTGCCTTCTGGGTTCAAGCGATTTTTCCACATCAATCCCCTAAGTATGTGGGACTGCAGGCTCGCGCCACCACGCCTATCTAATTTTTGTATTTTTTGTAGAGACAGGGTTTCACCATGTTGGCCAGGGTGGTCTCAAACTCCTGGGCTCAAGCAGTGCACCCCCTCAGCCTCTCAAAGTGTTGGATTTACAGGCATGAACCCCTGAGCCCGGCTACTTTTTCTTTATGTGATGTGGATTTTTCTGTAGTTTTGTTTTACACATTGAGCATGTATTATATATTATTCTACTATATTATTCATTATATGACATACATTACTATGATTAGTAAAAGTGAATACTATTTTTAAAATAACACGTGGTCATTATGAGAGACTTCAGAAATACAGAAATGTATGAACAAGAAAAATTTTGAAATCACCCATAAAAATGCTCATGTCATTACATTAAGGGGAAAAGGATACAAAATTATATATATAATTTCATTTTCATTAAAAAATATTTATGTGGCCGGGCTGCGGTGGCTCAAGCCTGTAATCCCAGCACTTTGGGAGGCTGAGGCGGGCAGATTGCCTGAGGTCAGGAGTTCGAGACCAGCCTGGCTAACATGGTGAAACCCCATCTCTACTAAAAATACAAAAATTAGTCCAGGCGCGGTGGCTCACACCTGTAATCCTAACACTTTGGGAGGCCGAAGCAGGTGGGTCACCTGAGGTCAGGAGTTCGAGACCAGCCTGACTAACATGGAGAAACCCAGTCTCTACTAAAAATACGATATTAGCTGGGCGTAGTGGCGCATGCCTGTAATCCCAGCTACTCAGAAGGCTGAGGCAGGAGAATCGCTTGAACCCAGGAGGCGGAGGTGAGCTGAGATGGCGCCATTGCACTCCAGCCTGGGTAACAAGAGTGAAACTCCGTCTCAAAAAAGAAAAAAAATTCAAAAATTAGCCGGGCATAGTGGCACACACTTGTAGTCCTAGCTACTCAGGAGGCTGAGACAGGAGAATTGCTTCAACCTAGGAGGTGGAGGTTGCAGTAGCAGAGATCACGCCCCACTGCACCCTAGCATGGGTGACAGAGCAAGACTCCATCTCTAAAAAAAAAATTTATGTAAGGCAGGGCACGTTGGCTCACGCCTGTAATCCCAGCACTTCGGGAGGCCGAGGTGGGTGGATCACCTGAGGTCAGGAGTTCCAGACCAGCCTGACCAACATAGTGAAATGCCATCTCTACTAAAATTACAAAACTTAGCCGGGCATAGTGGCATGTGCCTGTAATCCCAGCTACTCACGAGGCAGAGACAGGAGAATCGCTTGAACCCAGGAGGTGGAGGTTGCAATGAGTCAAGATCGCGCCACTGCACTCCAGCCTGGGGGACAGAGCAAGACTCCGTCTCAAACAAACAAACAAACAAAATATATATATATCCTGACCCCAAGTGATCCACCCACCTTGGCCGCCCAAAGTGCTGGGATTACAGGCGTGAGCCACTGTGCCCAGCTGGCAATTTTGTTTTCTACAATACTGTGTTTTAGTTTATTTCTATATCTCTACAATTAGTATGTATTGTTTTTCCATTAAAATTTATCTTTTTCCATATAAAGGTAACACATAATCGTAATAGAATATTTGAGAAATGCACAAAAATAGAAAGAAGGTTGAGGAGGTGGCCATCGTTGTCATATAGCCCAAAGACAAACAATATTTTTACTATATTTCCTTAATAATAGTTACTTAAAAAAATTTACTGTGTGCCAGGAATACTTTGCTTATTTAATCCTCACAACACTATGAAGAAGTATTATTTTACCTATTTTAAAGATTAGTGCTCTGCCTTGCATAATTTTTTTTTTTTGGAGATGGAGTCTTGCTCCATCGCCCAAGCTAGGATGCAGTAGCGTGGTCTCTGCTACTGCAATTTCCACCTCCCAGGTTCAAGCAATTCTCCTGCCTCAGCCTCCTGAGTTGCTGGGACTAGAGGAGTGTGCCACTACGCCTGGCTAATTTTTGTATGTTTAGTAGAGACGGGGTTTCACCATGTTAGCCAGGCTGGTCTCGAACTCCTGACTGCAATCTGCCCACCTCAGCCTCCCAAAGTGCTGGGATTACAGGCTTGAGCCACCGTGCCCGGCCACACAAATATTTTTTAATAAAAATAAAATTATATATATAATTTTGTATTCTTTTCCCCTTAATGTAATGACATGAGCATTTTTATGGGTGATTTCAAAATTTTTCTTGTTTATACATTTCTGTATTTCTAAAGTCTCTCATATGAGACTGAAAAATCATAATTGTTTTTGGCAGAGCCAATTAGCACATTTAACATGACTTTTCTCCAGCGACAACAATGCAGCATCATCTCATCAGCCTCTTCCTGTAGGTGCTATTTTCCAGTGCTTTTCTGAAGCTTCTTTACATTCTCTACATGATACTGGCATGTGGCACCTTTATTCTGACAGCAGTGAAGGCCTGTTTAATGCAGGCTGAAAGGGTCATCTTCTAGTAGGCAAATATAAAATTGTGTAATCAAATCCCAAAAACCAATTACAGAAAAGTAGTTGAAGGAGATCTTGGCCTGACCATTTATTTATTTATTTATTTATTTATCTGAGTCAGAGTCTTGATCTATTGCCAAGGCTGACGTGCAATGGCACGATCTCAGCTCACTGCAACCTCCGCCTCCCCAGTTCAAGCAATTCTCCAGCTTCAGCGTCCTCAGTAGCTGGGATTACAGGTGCCCACCACCATGCCTGGCTAATTTTTGTATTCTTAGTAGAGTTTCACCATGTTGGCCAGGCTGGTCTTGACCTCCTGACCTCAAGTGATCCATTCGCCTCTGCCTCCCAAAGTGCTGGTTTGATTACAGGTGTGAGCTACCATGCCCAGCCAGCCTGACTGTTTATTTTTAAATTGGGGGGTTTCTGTTGTCTCTGGACTCAATATGAACCAATGGTGTGATGAGCTGCCAAAACCCTAATGCTAGCTTGGTTGTCTTAAGATAAACATGCTTATCAGCTCAAGGGAAGGAAGCAACACTGTCATACTGGGCGTTGGTGAAATAACTTTTGCTTTGTTTTGTTAGGTACAATCCCAAGAAGAACCTTGAGAAGGCTCAACAGGACTTTAAGAAGTCTTGGAATCGCGCCACTGCACTCCAGCCTGGTGGCAGAACAAGACTCCATCTCAAAAAAAAAAAAAAAAAAAAAAAAGAAGTCTTGGGCCAGGCTCCGTGGCTCATGCGTGTAATCCCAGCACTTTGGAAGGCTGAGGCAGGCGGATCACCTGAGGTCAGGAGTTTGAGACCAGCCTGGCCAACATAGTGAAACCCTGTCTCTACTAAAAATACAGAAATTAGTCGTGCGTGGTGGAACGCTCCTGTAGTCCCAGCTACTTGGGAGGCTGAGGCAGGAGAATCACTTGAACCTGGGAGGCGGAGGTTGCAGTGAGCCGAGATTGCGCCACTGCACTCCAGCCTGGGGGACAGAGCGAGACTCTGTCTCAACAACAACAACAACAACAACAAAAGTCTTGAATCCACGCTATGCGAGGAAGGAACGAGGGAAGGACCACAGCTCTGTCCTTAGTTCTTGGCCCCCCTCCCTTCCCATGTCCTCCCTGGGGAGCCTCCCGAAGGGCTTGCTACACCCTGCTGGCTCCCGCACCACGTCCACTGGGACCTCCCTGCTGGTCCTGTGCATCCGGCTGGTCATCAGCTCATCGTGCCTCAGGGTTACAACGTGTATACCTGCTTGCTTCAACTTTCTCTGAAGAGCCATAGTCTGGATTTCAGGCAGTGAGGTCATCCCTCGCCCAGTCACGCGAGTGTGGGATATGATGAGGTTTCTCTTCAAATAGCCCTATCAATCCTTTATTCTTTAATTCATATACCCTTAAACCCCTTTTTCCTTTCTCTCTTTTTTTCCTTTCTGCCTTTGTTACATGCCCAGACACGCCACAGTACCAGGCTTATCAGTACCAGCTCACATTCTTTCCTTATTTAAAAAAAAAGATGACCGGGCGCGGTGGCTCACGACTGTAATCCCAGCACTTTGGGAGGCCGAGGCGGGCGGATCACGAGGTCAGGAGATCGAGACTATCCTGGCTAAAACGGTGAAACCCCGTCTATACTAAAAATACAAAAAAATTAGCCGGGCGTGGTGGCGGGCGCCTGTAGTCCCGGCTACTCGGGAGGCTGAGGCAGGAGAATGGCGTGAACCCGGGAGGCGGAGCTTGCAGTGAGCCGAGATCGCGCCGCTGCTCTCCAGCCTGGGCGACAGAGCGAGACTCCGTCTCAAAAAATAAAAAAATAAAAAAATAAAAAAGACTAGCTCGCTAACTCATTACAGATACCCTTTCCCCTTTTCCCCTCTCTCCCTTACGTGTCCACCTTATCTAAAAAGAGTTCAAATGTCTAGCCAACCGGGATTAGTTCAGTTTGTGCGACCCGACCCTGGCCAATGGGGAAAGGGTACAGGGGCAGGACTTGGCATCAGGAATAAAGGCTCTCGTGCGCCTTTGTTCAGGTGTGCTCTCATGGTGACCGGCCAAGGAAAAGCACCCCTCTGCGCAAAAGTAAAATTGCTTTGCTAAGAATCCTTTGTTTGAGTGTTCAATCTCCTTAAGATTTTAAGTGTTATTCCCAACACAAGTAATCTAGGACACGTATTTCTCAAGCAGAACACACATCAGTCACCAAAGCCTGTAGGTTCTAGCTGCACAATATTGTCCTGACTCCTCCTTTTCTTCATGCCCTCTGCTGTTGCCTTCGGTTAGGACCTCACTGCTTCCTGCCTGAATTACTGACTTCAGCCTTTGTGACTTCAGTCTATTTTCTAACTCGTCTTTCTGACTACAACCTATTTGTTCCCTTTGCTTCTTCAAGCCATTCTCCATCATTGTGCCAATGTTCTAAACGTAAACAGTTTCTATCATTTTCTTGCTTAAACTCTTTCAGTGGCTTCTCCAAATGTGTCAGCATGAAGCTTTAACTGTGAGCTGAGCACAAAAGGACTTTCCTCACCTGAATCCTGTTTACATCTGTAGCCTCATTCTTCTTCCACAACCAACAAACATGCTTTGCCCCAGACACTCCGAGTGACGCGACTATTTTATGCCACTGCGCCTCTTAGCTTCCCCCTTGTCCACCCAAAGGACACATGTCCTTCAAGCTGCACTGAAGCATCTCCGTGTCCAGGAAGCGTCCTCTGGTGTCCTAGCTTAGTGTGGATGTTCTTTGTCCGTGCTCCCCATAACATATTGTGCCTACATGCAGATCTCTAATCTCTGATTTATTTGTTTGCCTTCCTCTCTAGACTTTAATTGCTGAACTGCATGGACCCTGGTTTACTGAACTTCGTAAATCTAAATCTACAGTTGGATACCGTGCGTGGCACAGAAAAGACCTTCAATAAATGATTTCTGGTTTCGTTTTGGTTTTGTTTTATTTACTGCTTACTACAACCAAGTACTGCTCTAGTTGCTGGATATGCAATAATGAACAATTCACACCTGGGTCCTGCTCTGAATAAATGAACAAATAAATATTAAATAAATGAAGTGGGAGTATTTACTTGCAGAAGAGAGAAATCTTAGAGTGGCACTGACTAGCGTCTTCAAGGGGCTATTATTACGTGGAAGAGAAAGTAATACTTTTTTTTTTTTTTGAGATGGAGTCTCATTCTGTCACCCAGGATGGAGTGCAGTGGCATGATTTCAGCTCACTGCAACCTCCACCTCCCAGGTTCAAGCAATTCTCCTGCTTCAGCCTCCCAAGTAGCTGGGATTATAGGTACCTGCCACCAAGCCTGGCTAATTTTTTTTTTTTTTTGAGATGGAATTTCACTCTTGTTGCCCAGGCTGGAGTGCAATGGCACAATCTTGGCTCACTGCAACCTCCCCCTCCCAAGTTCAAGCTATTCTCTTGCCTCAGCCTCCCAAGTAGCTGGTATTACAGGCACCCACCACCATACCTGGCTAATTTTTTGTATTTTCAGTAGAGAACGGGGTTTCACCATGTTGCCCAGACTGGTCTCGAACTCCTGACCTCAGGTGATTCACCCACATTGGCTTCCCAAAGTGTTGGGATTACAGGCGTGAGCCACTGCATCCGGCCAAGTAATACATTTTAATCTTGCTCTTCAATCATCAAGTTAAATTTACAGAAAGGCAGATTTCACTTCACTGTAAAAGAAGATTCTTTGAATAGTTAGAATTGACCAAAACTAGAGTCGTCTGCCTCCCGATGCAGTGACTCCCAATGCTGTAAATGGAAAGTGATCAAATGCAGGCTGACGTGTCCTCAGAGATGTCAGGAGGCATTCCTCAGTGGGTGGGAGGTTGACCCACATGCCCCTTAAGGCATCTCTGGACCATGAAATCACAATGCACTTTTGACTTTCATTCTTCTCAGGCTCCATCTTGCTAAACACCCTTTGCACAATGGGAGTCTTTATCTCACTAACACCTTAATTTCAAAGAGTTAATGCATATCATTTTTTTTCCTTTCCACTTAATTTTCCTTCATAACCTATCCCTATTATGCACCAGCATATCTGGAAACTCGTTTATCCTCTTTGCACCCCTATGCAGCCTCTCTGATGCTGTTCCCCTTGGCTCATCACTACCAATCCAAGCAGAGTCTTTCTCTCAGATGAAGACGATGAAAGAGCTGAAAAAACACAGCTGGATGTTTCACATCCTGGTTGGATTGACAGGGGTGCCAGCAGCTGGGAGTCACCCTTTCACGTCAACGGAGTCAATTAGATTGGGAAGCCAATGAGGAAGAAATTAATCTAGTATCCCACAGTATCATTTTTATAGTTACCATAGTTACCTTAAGACAGAGCAACCCAGAACAGCTACCCGCTTAATGCTTAAGTGACTACAACCTGCAGGTACAGGCTAGTTTATGCCAATGCTCCAGATACCAGTGCAGTGTCAAGCAGTCAACCAGCATAAGTTTGCTTTTTATTTGCTGGAGTTAATGAACTCTTGTATATCAAGAAAAAAAACAATAGGATGGGAGACCTGGAAATACCAAGTCCTTGCTTTTCCACACAAGAGGGCAAGAAACGCTTAGCGGTTGTACAGACCTTTTCCACTCACCCAGGCAATGAGCAAGTCCTAAGTCAGAGTAATAAAATAACACTTTTTCATTTATATACACTCTTTCTTTCTTTCTTTCTTTCTTTTTTTTTTTTGAGACAGCATCTCACTCTGTTGCCCAGGCTGGAATGCCCTCACCGCAACCTCCGCTTCCCACGCTCAAGCGATTCTCCTGCCCCAGCCTCCCCAGTAGCTGAGATTACAGGCACGTGCAAGTACTGCCCGGCTAATTCTTGTATTTCTAGTAGAGATGTGGTTTCACCACATTGGCCAGGCTGGTCTTGAACTCCTGACCTCAAATGATCCACCCGCCTTGGCCTCCCAAAGTGCTGGGATTCAGGTGTGAGCCACCGCACCCGGCCCCTTTTTTTTTTTTTTTTTTTTGAGATGGAGTCTTGCTCTGTCACCCAGGCTAGAGTGCAGTGGCATGATCTCGGCTCACTGCAACCTCCACCTCCCGGGTTCAAGCAATTCTCCTGCCTCAGCCTCCTGAGTAGCTGGGACTACAGGCACACGCCACTAAGCCCGGCTAATATATATATATATATTTTTTTTTTTTTTGAGATGGAGTCTCACTCTGTAGCCCAAGCTGGAGTGCAGTGGTGTGATCTCAGGTCACTGCAACCTCCACCTCCAGGGCTCACATGATTCTCATGCCTCAGCCTCCCGAGTAGCTGGGATTACAGCGCATGCCACCGTGCCCAGCTAATTTTTTGTATTTCTAGTAGAGACGTGGTTTCACCACGTTGGCCAGGCTGGTCTTGAACTCCTGACCTCAAATGATCCACCCACCTCGACCTCCCAAAGTGCTGGGATCATAGGCGTGAGCCACTGCCTGGCCTATATACAATCTTTCATTCTTCAACCACTGTTGACCAATCACTGACCATCCCCCCAGAACTCCCCCCACTTTGATGGTTCTGTCATCTCCATTTTGGCCTCAGTCCCAACCGCCAACAAGAAATGCTACTCTGGGCCGGACTTGGTGGCTTACACCTGTAATCCCAACACTTTGGGAGGCCGAGGCGGGTGGATCACGAGGTCAGGAGTTTGAGACCAGTCTGACTAACATGGTGAAACCCTGTCTCTACTGAAAATACAAAAATTAGCCAGGCATGGTGGTGTGCGCCTGTAATCCCAGCTACTCAGGAGGCTGAGAATGAGAGTCGCTTGAACCCAGGGGCAGAGGTTGCAGTGAGGCGAGATCACGCCACTGCACTCCAGTCTGGGTGACAAAGTGAGACTCCGTCTCAAAAAAAAAAAAAAAAGAAATGCTACTCTGTGCCATTTGTTATGAATTTTAAGGTGAAGACACTATTTTTTACACTTCACCATCCAGCCTTTAGCCAGGAAATTTGATTGCAGTTGAGTTTCAAATGGGCACATGAGATGCGCTCACAAGGCCAGGGGACTAATTTGGGGCCTGTAACTATTAGAGACATTTCCACAGTTCCCAACCTTTGCAATAGATTGTTTCTGGAGATTTGTCTTTTCTACCATTAATTAAGAAGCTTGCTAACTCCTGTTATTTAGTCTGGCAGGGATGGGCCATTAGATCAGAGTGTTTTTATTTTTATTTATTTATTTACTACTTTTTAGAGATGAGGTCTTGCTATGTTGCCCAGGCAGAGTGCAGTGGCTATTCACAGGCAGAATGCCATTGCTGATCAGCATAGGACCTTTGACTCTTCTGTTTCTGACCTGAACCCATTCACCCCTCGTTGGGCAACCTCCTGGTTCTCTGCTCCCAGGAGGTCACCATACTGATGTTGAACCTAGTGTGAATACCCAGTTGGCATAGTGAACTATAGCCCAGAACTCCCAAGCTAAACTGATCCTCCCGCCTCAGCCCCCCATGTAGCTGAGGCCGCAGGCATGTACTATCACACCTGGCTATGTTTTTTTTTTCCGTAGAGACAGGGTCTCACTATTTTGCTCAGGCTGTTCTTGAAACCCTGGGCTCAATCAATCCTCCTGCCTCGGCCTCCCAAAGTGCTGAGATTATAGACATGAGCCACTGCAGCCAGAATATTTTTGTTGTTGTTGTCGTTTTGTTTTGTTTTTTGATTTTTTTAATTATACTTTTAAGTTCCAGGGTACAAGCGCACAACGTGCAGGTTTGTTACATATGTATACGTGTTCCATGTTGGTGTGTGCAGCCAGAATTTTTTTTTTTTTTTGAGATGGAGTCTCGCTCTGTCACCCAGGCTAGAGTGCAGTGGCGCGATCTCGGCTCACTGCCAGCTCTGCCTCCCGGGTTCATGCCATTCTCCTGCCTCAGCCTCCCGAGTAGCTGGGATTACAGGCGTCTGCCACCACACCCGGCTAAATTTTTGTATTTTTAGTAGAGATGGGGTTTCACCGTGTTAGCCAGGATGGTCCCGATCTCCTGACCTCGTGATCTGCCCACCTCGGCCTCCCAAAGTGCTGGGATTACAGGCGTGAGCCACCGCGCCCAGCGCAGCCAGAATGTTTTTAGAGGTCATCACACATTAGCTAATGTTTCTGTGGTTTAGGAGGGCACGTCAGAAGCTGTCTTCTGGACTGACTGCGATTTACCAGGAATGCCATGTTTTTTAGCATGATTAAACCTAACAGCATAATCATATCCATCTCTATGCAAGAATAACCACAGTTGTCACAGGGTGCCCCCCATCCTTTTCCTTTTTCACCAACAGGTCTCTTCCTACTAAATGTCCAAAAACCTTTTAGTTTTTCAGCCACGCAAAGACAAGAATCTCACAGACTCTGCTTCAGTTGTCGTTAATGAAGATAGAAGGTGATAGGGAAACCTGATTAACTTTAAAAATAATGAAAGTATACACATAATAGATTTGAAGTTCATAGGAATTTCTAGGTCTTCAACTCTTACAACAATGCTTAAAACATAGTAACTGTTTAGTAAATATTTATGGGGGAATAATATGAAAATTATTATTCATATTATTATTCCCCAAAATATGGGGAAAAATATGATTGGGGAAATCAAATTGGAAAACAATGTCAATCCCACAGTTGTATTCATAAAAAGGAAAATTTTTTTCTTTCCTTCTTTTTTTTTATTTTTATTTTTTGTGAGACAGAGTCTCACTCTCTCACCCCCATTGGAGTGCAGTTGTGTGATCTCACTGCAACCTCTGCCTCCTGGGTTCAATGATTCTCCTGCTTCAACCTCCTGAGTAGCTGGGATTACAGGTGCACGCCACCATGCCGGCTACTTTTTGTATTTTTAGTAGAGACAGGATTTCACCATGTTGGCCAGGCTGGTCTCAAACTCCTGGCCTCAAGTGATCTGCCCACCTCAGCCTCCCAAAGTGCTGAGATTACAGGCGTGAGCCACCGGGCCTGACCAAATTTTTTCTTTTTGGGGTAAAATAATGAGTATAGCTTATACAGACTAGGACTTTGTGTATTGTAATAAATAAGACAAATAGTTTTTACTGTAATTGGTGCAGGTAGCTTTAGGCTATATAATTATTTACTCCTCATCTTAAGTTAAAAGCAAGGGAAGTTAATTTCCATGTTCCTCTTTTTATTTTTTTTTTTTTTGAGACGGAGTCTCACTCTCTAAGCCCAGGTTAGAGTGCAGTGGCACCACTCAGTGCAACCTCTGCCTCCTGGGTTCAAGTAATTCTCCACTAAAAACACAAAAATAAGCCGAATTAGCCGGCCGTGTGGTAGGCGCCTATAATCCCAGCTACTCAGGAGGCTGAGGCAGGAGAATTGCTTGAACCCGGGAGGCGGAGGATGCAGTGAGCGGAAATCATGCCATTGCACTCCAGCCTGGGTGACAGAGTGAGACTCCATCTCAAAAAAAAATTAAAAAGATAGGCGGGACGCAGTGGCTCATGCCTGTAGTCTCAGGACTTTGGGAGGCCAAGGAGTGGATCACCTGAGGTCAGGAGTTTGAGACCAGCCTGGTCAAGACGGTGAAATCCCGTCTCTACTAATAATACAAAAATTAGCCTAGTGTGGTGGTGCATGCCTGTAATTCCAGCTACTCGGGAGGCTGAGGCAGGAGAATCAATTGAACCTGGGAGGCAGAGGTTGCAGTGAGCCGAGACTGCATTGCTCTCCAGCAACAAGAGTGAAACTCTGTCTCCAAAAATAAACATAAAAAATAAAAAAAGGGCCGGGCGCGGTGGCTCACGCCTGTAATCCCAGCACTTTGGGAGGCCGAGGCGGGTGGATCATGAGGTCAGGAGATCGAGACCATCCTGGCTAACAAGGTGAAACCCCGTCTCTACTAAAAATACAAAAAATTAGCCAGGCGCGGTGGCGGGCGCCTGTAGTCCCAGCTACTCGGGAGGCTGAGGCAGGAGAATGGCGTGAACCTGGGAAGCGGAGCTTGCAGTGAGCCGAGATTGCGCCACTGCAGTCCACAGTCCCGCCTGGGCAACAGAGCGAGACTCCGTCTCAAAAATAAATAAATAAATAAATAAAAATAAAAAAAGTGGCCAGGCGTGGTGGCTCACGCCTGTAATCCCATCACTTTGGGAGGCCGAGGCGGGTGGATCATGAGGTCAGGAGTTCATGACAATCCTGGCCAAGATGATGAAACCCCATCTCTACTAAAAATACAAAAATTAGCCGGGTGTGGTGGCAGGTGCCTGTAATCCCAGCTACTTGGGAGGCTGAGGCAGGAGAACCGCTTGAACACGGGAGGCGGAGGTGGCAGTGAGCCAAAATCGCACCACTACACTCCAGCCTGGGCAACAGAGCAAGACTCCATCTCAAAATAAAATAAAATAAAATAAAATAAAATAAAATAAAATAAAATAAAAAAAGTAAAGATAGAGATGGGGTCGCTGGGGTCTCGCTATGTTGACCAGGCTGGTCTCAAACTCCTGGCCTCAAGCGATCCTCCCATCTTGGCCTCCTAAAGTGTTGAGATTACAGGTGACAGCCACTGTGCCCGGCCCGCAGATTTTTCGTTTGTTTTTTGAGACAGACTCTCGCTCTGTTGATCAGGCTAGAGGAGTGCAGTGGCATGATCTTGGTTCACTGCAACCTCCACCTCCTGGGTTCAAATGATTCTCATGCCTCACCTTCCGGAGTAGCTGGGACTACAGACACGTGCCACCATGCCCAGTTAATTTTTTTGTACTTTTAGTAGAGACGGGGTTTTGCCATGTTGGACAGGCTGGTCTTGAACTCCTGACCCCAAGTGATCCTTTCACCTTGGTCTCCCAAAGTGCTGGGATTACAGGCATGAGCCACCACAGCGAGCCTAGAATGCCAGATCTTTTGAATGAATCCTACAAGACTGCTCTTGCCTTTTCACTATATTGCCTTCTCTACTACATATCACTTCATTATTTTTATTATTTTTCTGAGATGGAGTCTCGCTCTGTTGCTCAGGCTGGAGTGCAGTGGCACAGTCTTGGCTCACTGCAACCTCCACCTTCCGGGTTCAAGCAATTCTCCTGCCTCAGCCTCCCACGTAGCTGGGATTACAAGCACATGCCACCATGCCCAGCTAATTTTTGTATTTTTAGTAGAGACAGGGTTTCACCATATTGACCAGGCTGGTCTCAAACTTCAGACCTCAAGTAATCTGCCCTCTTCAGCCTCCCAAAGTTCTGGGATTACAGGCGTGAGCCACTGCACCCAGCCTAAATATCACTTTAAGTTTAAAAATTATTTCTAAACTAATTGCTTTTGAATTTAATAAAATCTTTATTTATTTATTTATTTATTTTTGAGATGGAGTCTCGCCCTGTGGCCCAGGCTAGAGTGCAATGGTGTGATCTGTGCTCACTGCAACCTCTGCCTCTTGGGTTCAAACGATTCTCCTGCCTCAGCCTCCCGAGTAGCTGGGACTACAGGCACCCAACACCACACCCAGCTACTTTTCGTATTTTTAGTAGAGACAGGATTTCACCATATTGGCCAGGGTGGTCTCGAACTCCTGACCTCGTGATCCGCCCGCCTCGGCCTCCCAAAGTGCTGGGATTATAGGCGTGAGCCACTGCACTGCACTCAGCCTACAATTTTATTGAAGTTTTTATATCCTGGATAAAGATAGCTAACTGTGTTTCTCACCAATTCAAGCCCCGTCTTCCTCATGAAGCATTTCCCAAACATTCTAGCTCACACTAAAAATTTTCTTCTTTGAGTTCCTTCCTCTAAAAGGAGCAATTGACTAGATTATTTCTAACACTTTATAACTTTAACACTATGTAGTATACTTATAGTCTATACTACACAGACAATCTTACTATTTTACCAATTGCATTAAAAACTCCCTGAGACCAGAGACTCAATTTTCTACCCAAATGTGTATTTCCATGTTGAATGAAATGAACTGAAGAAATAACTCAGGCCCAGCTAAAGAGTTTGAGTCCAGATGTGTACAACCCTGGGCACTTTGTCCACCAAAATAATGCGACCTTTAAACTGAGTAGGGATGGTTGGAGGCCAAAGGAATGACACAAGGACCTAAAATAATTAAAAAGAAAGAGAAATTTGGATTGTAGCCCTTTTGAAAAGAGATTAAGGAAGAACGCATTAAGATTCACCACCTTCTGAATGGCACTGAGAATTGAGATGCTACAAAGCTGTTTGACCTGGTGTCAAGCACAAGGGAAGATGCCACAATGAGATAGGCCAGAGCTGGACACTCCAGGAATTCAAAGAGGAATTCTGGAACAGAGCAGCATGAACAGGGACTAAGCAACCCAGGAGCAGCAAGAGAGCTGATTCTTAGAGTTTTTAGACTAGAATTGAACAAAAGCCCTTCAGCAGGACATAAAATCTGGTGAGGACTTTGGTCCTGAATCAAAGTGGATGCCCACGGTAGAAAGGACTCCCTCAGCCCCATTTTATTCCCACCACTGGGTACTGAGTGAACTAACATTTGTACTAATTTCCTCCATGGCTGCGTGTAGTGTGAGAACATATTTGTTTTTTGTTTTTGTTTTTTAGTTTTTTGTTTTTTGGTTTTTTTTTTGAGACAGGTTTTCACTCTTGTTCCCCATGCTGGAGTGCAATGGCGTGATCTCGGCTCACCACAACCTCCGCCTCCTGGGTTCAAGCGATTCTCCTGCCTCAGACTCCGGAGTAGCTGGGATTACAGGCATGCACCACCACGCCCAGCTAATTTTGTATTTTTAGCAGAGACAGGTTTTCTCCATGTTGGTCAGGCTGGTCTCCAACTCCCGACCTCAGGTGATCCGCTGTTCCCGGCCTCCCAAAGTGCTGAGATTACAGGCATGAGCCACTGCGCCCGGCTGTGAAAACATATTTGTTAGGATACAGCCCCCAGCTCTGATGCAGGCTGGCTTGAGCCAGAGCACAGAAGCAATACTCCAGAAAGCAGCAGCCTCCTTTCTCCGGGCTGAACTTCTTTCTCAACCAGGGTCAGGAGGCTTTCAAGCTTGACACTTGGGTTTCACGGCAATAACAAATTACCAATCTTAAGGGCCAAAATAAAGAGAGCTGCTCACGTAGGCTTGGTCTCAGGCAGCCTTGCAGCTGTTACTAAAGCACCAGGGAAGGACGTTGAGGCTTGCAAGCCCCACAAATCCACAGTAATGAAAGTCTCTGTTCTAAGGAGTGCTGAGAGTGCTGTGGCCAGGTAGAAAGAAGAGCCACAGTACGTTAGGCATGTTTCCACTTCAACCTGGGCTTTAGGAAAGGTAATTAACTGGAAAAATGCTTATAGAAATTTCTAGAAATGGGAGGACATTGATACAGAGCACAGTGTGATTAGCCAAATAATTTCTGACAGATTCTCTATTCGCAGTGAATGATCTTTTCTTTTTTCTTTTTGTTTTTCCTTCTTTCTTTTCTTTTTTTTTTTTTTTTAGATGGGGTCTCCCCATGTTGGCCAGGCTGGTCATGACCTCCTGAGCCCAAGGGATCTACCTGCCTAGGCCTCCCAAAGTGTGTGCTAGGATTACAGGTGGGAGCCATCTTTTTTTTTCTTTTCTTTTTTTTTTTTTTAGATAGGGTCTGGCTCTGTCCCCAGGCTAGAGTGCAGCGCGGTAATCATGGCTCACTGTAGCCTTGGCCTCCTGGGCTCAGGTGATCCTCCCACCTCAGCCTCCTGCACAGCTGGGATTACAGGCACGCAGCACCATGCCCGGCAAATTTTCGTATTTTTAGCAGAGACTGGGTTTCACCATGTTGGCCAGGCTGGTCTTGAACTCCTGGACTCAAGGGATCCACCTGCCTCGGCCTCCCAAAGTGCTGGGATTACAGGCGTGAGCCACCACGTCCCATCCATGGTGAATTCTTATAGTGACTGGCTACTTTTCCCAACATGCTTTTTTAAAAAAAACAAAAAACAAAAAACTTTCTGCCATTTTCTCTCTCCAGTAGTCTCTGTTATCTTCTTTCCCAGCTGGTGGCCTGTCAATCTTTTTGGAACCTCCCCGCAGTGAATCACTTTTCAAACTTGCTTCACAGAACATTCAACGCTGACAAACCTCCCATGGAAGGGGAAGTAATAGAGTGTAAGAACCACAGGGTCCATGGCAGCTTGGAGGGAGAGCAGGACAGAAGCTGGGAGGCTGTGCAACAGGAAGGAGACCTGAAGATGAGCTCAGATAGCATCTGTGACACGATAAAGGAAAATTTTGTTGAATTCCTTATGACTTACCCTTTGTTCCTTTACAGCCCATGTTTGCCCTAGATGCCAGGGCAGTGCTGTTGGCCTTAAAGGAAAAAGGATGAACAAATGCCTGTGTGGTTTCACTTATATAGTACTCAGCTTGACGCCATGTGAAATGAAGAGGTATGTGGAACTTGGTGATATGAAAATAGAAACCAAAAGCCTGATAACAATACAAGGGAAAAATCAGGATCAGGAAACAATCCCAAAAAGGATTATGGAAATCACTGAAAAGTGGAGAAACTAAGTGGAAATAGAAAATCAAGTATACATGAAAGGCTTAAACATAATCTTAAAATGCGGTGATTAGTTACGCAGAGCTGGGTGCAGTGGCACGTCTGCAGTCCCATCTACTTGGGATGCTGTTACCGGAGGATCCCTTGTGCCCGAGGAATTCAAGGACACAGCAAGCTATGATTGCTTCTCTGAATAACCACTGTACTCCAGCTTGTACAACATCGTGAGACACCATTTGAAAAACAAACAAAACAAAACACTAGGCCGGGTGAAGTGGCTCACGCCTATAATCCCAGCACTTTGAGAGGCCGAGGCCGGCAGATCAGTTCAGGTCAGGAGTTCGAGACCAGCCTGACCAATATGGTGAAACCCCGTATCTACTAAAAATACAAAAATTTAGCCAAGCATGGTGGCTCGTAATCCCAGCTACTCAGGAGGCTAAGACAGGAGAATCACTTTAACCTGGAAGGCAGAGGTTGCAGTGAACCAAGATTGTGCCATTGCACTCCAGCCTGGGCAACAAAGCTAGACTCCATCTCGGAAAAAAAAAAAAAAAATTAGTCCAAGCATGGTGACATGTGCCTGTAATCCCAGCTATGAGGGAGGCTGAGGCAGAAGAATCACTTGAACCCAGGAGGTGGAGGTTGCCATGAGCCAAGATCTGCCATTGCACTCCAGCCTGGGCAATAAAGTGAGACCCTGTCTCAAACAAACAAACAAACAAACAAACAAAAAACCCACTAGGCTAGGTACAGTGGCTCATGCCTATAATCCCAGCACTTTGGGAGGCTGAGGCGGGTAGATTGCTTTAGCCCAGGAATTCAAGATGAGTCTGGGCAACATGGTGAAACCCCATCTCTACAAAAAATAAAAAAATTAGCCAGGCATCGTGGTGTGTGCATGTGGTCCCAGCTACTTGGCAGGCTGAGGTGAGAGGATCACTTGAGCCCACGAGGTGGAGGTTGCAGTGAGCTGAGATTGTGCCCCTGCTCTCCAGCCTCGGTGCCAGAGGGAGACCCTGTCTCAAACAAAGCAAAACAAAACAAAGCAAAACAAAACAAAAGAACAGGCCAGGTGCAGTGGCTCACGTCTATAATCCCAGCATTTTGGGAGGCCGAGGTGGGCATATCATTGAGGTCAGGAGTTTGAGACCAGCCTGGCCAACATGGCAAAACCCCATCTCTGCTAAAAATACAAAAATTAGCCGGGCTGGTGGCGGACACCTGTAATCTCAGCTACTCAGGAGGCTGAGGCAGGAGAACTGTTTGAACCCTGGAGGCGGACGTTGCAGTGCACCATTGCACTCCAGCCTGGACGACAGAGTGAGAGTCCATCTCAAACAAAACAAAAAACAAACAACACCCCCCACCCAAAAAAAAAACAACCTAGGTTACATAGTAATAGCAAGGGTGTTGACACTTTACAAAGTATAATCTGCTAAAAATATAAAAATTAGCCGGGCATGGTGGCGGGCACCCATAATTCTAGCTACTCGGGAGGCTGAGGCAGGAGAATCACTTGAACCCGGGGGCTGGGGGGAGGTTGCAGTGAGCCGAGATTGAGCCACTTCACTCCAGCCTGGGCAAAAGAGCAAGACTCTATCTCAAATTAAAAAAAAAAAAAAGAGAGAGAGAGTGACTGGTGTTTTCTGTGAATGCTAAAGATTAGTAATGTACTACACATCTATTCCACAAGCATTTATTATGATCAATTATTTGTAGACTGCTCTAAGGGGGCAGGGAGAAAACAGAAGCATAGCAGCCCTATAGGCTCTTCTCAGTGGAAGAGCTGTGATTTAGTTAGAGAAAGAGGTGGAAGGGGTGAGTTGGGAGACACTGCAGTAGGCCATAGTGGTTAGGGAATCCTCGCCTGGAGTCTTTAAAAGCCAATAACTGATCATTTATTTTATTTATTTATTTTTTAGTGACAGAGTCCCTCTCTGTCGCCCAGGCTGGAGTGCAGTGGCACAATCTCAGCTCACTGCAACCTCTGTCTCCAGAGTTCAAGCAATTATCGTGCCTCAGCCTCCCAAGTAGCTGGGATTACAGGCACACCGCCACCACACCTGGCTAATTTTTGTATTTTCAGTAAAGATGAGGTTTCACCATGTTGGCCAGGCTGGTCTCAAACTCCCCACCTCAGGTGATCCACCTGCCTCGGCCTCCGAAAGTGCTAGGATTACAGGCATGAGCCACCATGTCCAGCCCCAAGAATCAATAATTTAGAGGGGCCAAGTGAGTACTGATTATTTAGGTTACTATAGACCAGCACTGCCCAATACAGTAGCCACTAACCACAGTGGTGAATTGAACTGCAAAATGTAACTAGTCCCAACCGAGATGTCCTGTAAATATACAATATAGTATACACCAGATTTCAAAGACTTGGCATGAAAAAATAATTTTTTAGTTCATTTTTTTTGTGTGTGTTGATTACATGTTGAAATAATAATATTTTAGATAGATTGGATTTAAGAATATATCTGGCTGGGCTCGGTGGCTCACGCCTGTAATCCCAGTACTTTGGGAGGCCAACAGGGGTGGATCATGAGTTCAGGAGTTCAAGACCAGCCTGGCCAAGATGGTGAAACCCTGTCTCTATGAAAAATACAAAAATTAGCTGGGCACAGCAGTGGGTGCCTGTAATCCCAGCTACTCGGGAGGCTGAGGCAGGAAAATTGCTTGAACCTGGGAGGCAGAGGTTGCAGTGAGCCGAGATTGTGCCACTGAACTCTAGCCTGGGCGACAGAGCGAAACTCCGTCTCAAAAAAAAAAAAAAAAAAAAAGAATACGTCCAAGAATTGTTGTTTCTTCCTTTAGGTGCCTCTTACCTTCCATTTCCTTTTGATAACCCTGGTCTCCATCCTGTGTCACGTCCTTTGCATCCCACTATTTTAGCCATTTCCTTCTTCTTTTTTTTTTTGTTTTTTTGAGACAGAGTCTTGCTCTGTTGCCTAGGCTAGAGTGCAGCGGCACCATCTTAGCTCACTGCAACCTCTGCCTCCAGGGTTCAAGCGATTCTTCTGCCTTGACTTACCGAGTAGCTGGGACTACAGGCGCACCCTACCACACCTGGCTAATTTTTTTTTTTTTGAGTTGGGGTCTCGCTTTCGCCAGGCTGGAGTGCAGTGGCGCGATCACAGCTCACTGCAACCTCCGCCTCCTGGGTTCAAGCAATTCTGCCTCAGCCTCCTGAGTAGCTAGGACTACAGGTGCCCACCACCATGCCCAGCTAATTTTTTTGTATTTTTAGTAGACACGGACATTCACCATATCGAGACCAGGCTGGTCTCGAACTCCTGACCTTATGATCCGCCTGCCTTGGCCTCCCAAAGTGGTGGAATTACAGGCGTGAGCCACCGTGCCAGGCCAATTTTTGTATTTTAAGCAAAGACAGGGTTTCACTATGTTGGCCAGGCTGGGCTCGAACTCCTGACCTCAGGTGATCTGCCTGCCTTGGCCTCCCAAAATGCTGGAATTACAGGCATGAGCCACCATACCTGGCCTATTTATTTTTGAGGCAGGGTCTTACTCTGTTGCTCAGGCTGGAGTGCAGTAGCATGATCTCAGCTCCCTCCAACCTTCACCTCTTGGGTTCAAGCAATCCTCCCACCTCAGCATCTGGAGTAACTGGGAC
This sequence comes from Homo sapiens, assembly GCF_000001405.40. NCBI lineage: Eukaryota > Metazoa > Chordata > Mammalia > Primates > Hominidae > Homo > Homo sapiens. Next base: position 17,363,774 of record NC_000022.11, read on the forward strand.
TACAGTGTGTACCAACATGCCTGGCTAAATTTTGTATTTTTTGAAAAGATGAAGTTTTGCCATGTTGCTCAGACTGGTCTTGAACTCCTGGGTTCAAGTGATCCACCCACTGCAGCCTCTCAAAGTGTTGGGATTACAGGTGTGAACCACTATGCCCAGCCTAATTTCTAAAAATTTTAAATTAGCTTGGTGTATAGCCCTCTTTGGGAATAGGGAGTTATGGAATGCAGCTCCTTAATGAGAAAAGCTGAGCTGTTCATGAAGGGTTGTCAAGAATTTGTGCCATACTCCCGGGCGCGGTGGCTCATACCTGTAATCCCAGCACTTTGGGAGGCCGAGGCGGGCAGATCACGAGGTCAGAAGATCTAGACCATCCTGGCTAACACGGTGAAACCCCGTCTCTACTAAAAATACAAAAAATTAGCTGGGTGTGGTGGCAGGCGCCTGTAGTCCCAGCTACTCCGGAGGCTGAGGCAGGAGAATGGCGTGAACCTGGGAGGCGGAGCTTGCAGTGAGCTGAGATCACGCCACTGCTCTCTAGCCTGGACGACAGAGCAAGACTCTGTCTCAAAAAAAAAAAAAAAAAAAAGAATTTGTGCCATACTTGGGCTTAGTTATACACAGTTGACTAAAGTGCTAACATAATGTTTATACTACACTCTCCTGGTCCAATTTGATTCTGGCACTGAAACAAGAAGTATCCAGGTCAGGTTGGCAAACAAAGGTAGAGAAAGGGCAATTTAAATAGAAGAGAGAGGCAGCGCACAGTGGCTCACGCCTTGTAACCCTGCTCACTTTGGGATTACAAAGTGCTGTGATCCCAGCACTTTGGGAGGCCGAGGTGGGTGGATCACAAGGTTCGGAGTTCCAGACCAGCCTGGCCAATATGGTGAAACGCCATCTCTACTAAAAATACAAAAATTAGCTGGGAGTGGTGCCACGCACCTATAGGCTGAGACAGGAGAACCGCCTGAACGCAGAAGGCAGAGGTTGCAGTGAGCTGAGATCACACCACTGCACTCCAGCCTCGGCAACAGAGGGAGATTCCGTCTCAAAAAACAAAAAACAAAACAAACAAACAAAAAAACAAAAAATAAGAAGAAGAAGAAGAGAGAAGTAGCATGATTCCAAAGAGAGAAAACTGGCTGAACAGTTAGATTTGGATGCTTGGCTGGGCGCAGTGGCTCACGCCTATAATCCCAGCACTCTGGGAGGCTGAGGCAGGTGGATCACCTGAGGTCGGGAGTTTGAGACCAACCTGACCAACATGAAGAAACCCTATCTCTACTAAAAATACAAAACTAGCCAGGCGTGGTGGTGCGTGCCTGTAAACCTAGCTACTCGGGAGGCTGAGGCAGGAGAATTGCTTGAACCCAGGAGGCAGAGGTTGCAGTGAGCCAAGATCATGCCACTGCACTCCAGCCTGGGCAACAAGAGTGAAACTCTGTCTAAAAAAAAGGAAAAAGAAAAAGATTTGGATGCTTGTCCTGGTTAACGACGGTTATGAAGAAGCCACACTTTCCTTTGTTCATCTCTTCCAAGGTTCAGTAATAATAAAGCAGAGCACACATTTTTAAATTAATCCTTTGGAAATAACAGTGTATTTCCCAAAGAAACAATGTCATAAAAAAGGTGGTTAGGCCAGACTCAGTGGCTCACGCCTGTAATCCTAGTACTTTGGGAGGCCAAGGTGGGCGGATCACGAGGTCAGGAGATCGAGACCAGCCTGGCTAACACGGTGAAACCCCGTCTCTACTAAAAATACAAAAAAAATCAGCCAGGCGTGGTGGTGGGTGCCTGTACACCCAGCTACTCGGGAGGCTGAGGCAGGAAAATGGTGTGAACCGGGGAGGCGGAGCTTGCAGTGAGCCAAGATGGCACCACTGCACTCCAGCCTGGGTGACAGATCAAGACTGTCTCGGAAAAACAAACAAACAAACAAAAACAAACAAAAAAATGTGGTTAGCCTGGCCTGTAGTGCCAGCTATCTGGGAGGCTGAGGCAGGAGGATTGCTCAGTAAGGTGGCAGTGAGCTATGACTGCACCACTCCACTGCAGCCTGGACAACAAAGGGAGACCCCCTATGTAAAAAAAAAAAAAGGGTGGTTCATTTCCCAGATTATCCTCCAGGAACCTATATAAATCCCAACATAGCTAACATTACTTCATATTTTGCAATGGGAAACATAAATATTTTTGCAATATTAATGAATAAGCAAAACAGAAAAACCAAACGAATTATTGTGGGATTTTTAAATAGAAAACATTTGATTCAAAGGGGATTATGGAACTCAGGGTCAGAGAATATGAAAGAATTACTTCTTGCTACTTTTAATACTATCTGAAGTTAATGGCACTGGCTCACAAACAGAAAACAGCACGAATGAGAAGGGGAAAGAAAATATGAGCTGTGTTTTTTCTTTTTTCTTTTTTTGAGATTGAGTCTCACTCTGTCGCTAGGCTGGAGTACAGTGGCACGATCTCCGCTCACTGCAACCTCTGCCTCCCGGGTTCAACCAATCATCCTGCCTCAGCCTCCGAGTAGCTGGGAGTACAGGGGCGTGCCACCACGCCCAGCTAATTTTTTGTATTTTTAGCAGAGACGGAGTTTCACCATGTTGGCTAGGATGGTCTCGATCTCTTTACCTCGTGATCCGCCTGCCTGGGCCTCCCAAAGTGCTGAGATTACAGGCGTCACCTACCGCCCCGGCAAACTGTGTGTTTTTAAGGAAGATGATTCAACTAGTGTTTCGAGGGTGAAAGAATGGGCCAGGCTGGAGAAGTACAATAGCACTCCGAATCAAAGGGAGAAGGGAAGAAGGGTGAGTGGCCAGCCTATTGGTAGGGGGTCATTAATCTAGATTCTAGGAGGTTAGGCTGGAAGTTAGTCCAGAAAATAGATCCGAGGCAGTTAAGTCCAAGGGGAGGCGTGGCACAGATGTTCAAAGCAGGGTCAAAGATTCAGGGTATCAATCCTAACAGGGCCAGAGAAGGTCCAAATGGAAAAGCTCTGGTTGGAGCCCAAACTCGGGGAACTCAAGATTGAGATTTACTGTTGATTCCAAGACACTTGAGACCCCTCAGCTCCTGGGGCCAGGATCCGTTCCAGAGGGTAGTTGAGGCCAGAGTAGCAGGGTAGGTGGAGGAACTAGGGAAAAAACTGTAGAGACAAACAGAGTTAGAGAATGGTGGGAGGAAATGGGTCTAAAGTTGGTGTGCTGGGCCACAGAACAGAGAAGACCCTCAGAAGGAAAGGGCAGCAGAAGGGAGGAGGAGCCCTGAGAGACAGGGCGGATCTCCGAGCAGCACCAGGGGGCGCGTGCCGTTCCCGGACAGTCTTGTTGATTTCCGGGGCTTGGCAGTAGGCGGAGGAGGCAGGAAGACAATGGCTCAGCCTTTAAATTGGGGCTGGGGTGGTGTTTGTAAACGACATTAAACACACTACCGTACTAAAAGGTAGCCAAATCATCTCATCCCTCTGCTTGCTGGTGTCATTAATATCCTAGGCACTAATATTACTAGGCTGGCTAGTGGTGACAACTGAGAGGCGAGGGAAGAAGCTTAAACGATGACAAAAGATAAAGGCAGGGAAACGCAGTAACACTTTTTTTTTTTAATTTTTATTTTTTGAGACGGAGTCTCACTCTTACTGCTCAGGCTGGAGTGCAATGGCGAGATCTCGGCTCATTGCAATCTCTGCCTCCCGAGTTCAGGCGATTCTCCTGCCTCAGTCTCCCGAGTAGCTGGGACTACGGGCGCCTGCCACCACACCCATCTAATTTTATGTATTTTTAGTAGAGACGAGGTTTCACAATGTTGGCCAGGCTGGTCTCGAACTCCTGACCTAAGGTGAACCACCCGCCTCGGCCTCCCAAAGTGCTGGGATTACAGGCGTAAGCCACCGCGCCCGGCCAACTCACACAGAGGAAAAAGTGTGCAAAGTCAAACTGTGAGGAAATAAAAGACGGAGAAGCAAGTCCAGAAAGCACCTCGTTCAGGTTACGTGACAATTCCGGGGTGGCCTGTGTCCCTCTCCCATCTCCCTTGCTAATGCAATACTCACGGGGTAGCTGTGCTTCACCAACACACACAAACGTAGGCTTGGCTTTTTGGGAGCAGTCACATGTGAGCTCATTTTTGCCAAACATTAAATAAAAAGCATGGTAGAATTTGAGGATGCACTTTAAATCATCAAATAGTTCCAGGGAATGAAAGAGCAGAACTTTGGGTTGTTTTTCTGTGCCAGGAGAGAGTGGTGGGGGGCGGAGGAGACCCTTGTTAGAAGATGATGTATTTTGAGATTACTAGATTCACAGAAGATGCACGTGAATATACTCTAACCATTTAAAATTATGTTTCTGAATGCTGCCTTAAAAAATACAACAAGTTATTATCATAATAAAGTGAGGGAGAGTGGAGGGGTAATTATCCAGACAGCCCATTCCAAAATCTATCATATAAATTATCTCCAGATTGTACACTACTTAAAGGTAGAAGAGGATCTTTGAGTTTAACCCTTGTACACTTTGTGATTGTGCCTGTCACTCAATAAATAGTTGATTAATTTGGGGGACGCACCAGGAGCAGTGTTTCCTATCTGAAAGGTGGACCACCGAACTCAGAGGCGGCCCTCTGAGACCAGCAGGATGCAAGTGCGACGACCAATACAAATATCTGAGCATTCAATGGAGTTTTTCCAAACTTCTAGCCTGTTTCTGGGGTGATTTTTTTTCTTAGGATTTAGCAGTACTCCACCGCGCTACAGCAGTTAGCATTTCTAAAGCACACACTCCAACACCCTTCGGCCGTAGCACATTCAATCCCTCCGCCGGGGCGTGGGGGTCTCCTCCCCTCCGAGCACAGTCCCCGGCTTCCCGATCTCCTCTGCCCCATCCCCCCGCCTTCCAAGCACATTGTGCTCACTCTTCCAGGCAGCTCTTTCAGCGGCCGGGCAGTAGCAGGGTTCCGAGCCCGTCTTCTCCGGGGCGGTCACACGTGTCCATTCCCTGGGGTTGGGGATCGCTCTTCCCGCTTGGCTGCTGATTGGTGCCTCCCCCTACCCCACCCTTCCCGCCGCTCTCCAGCCTCCATCCTACTTCGTTCCAGCTCAATCAGCCCCACCGCCTTCTTCCCTCGGAGAAAAAAGCCACTTCAGAGCTCCTTGGGCGCCGTTCTCGGCTGGAATAAAAGCGTTAAGAAACAGGTGGAAAGCACTTCACTTCTCTAGGCTTCATATTTCTAGGGTGGACAGCCCGCTCCTGCTCCGGCTCTGCCCTCGGCATCAATAATAACTGAACTCCCACACGTGCACGTTTCTGTCTCTAGCCCGACCGAAAGGACCACCCCGCGGGCCCTTTAAAAGGACGCGACCACTCAGGCCAAGTGGGGGTGGGAGAGCTCCTGGCCGTCCTCCCTTGGGAAAGTGCTTCAACTCCCCAGTCCCAAAGTCCTGGAGGGCGGAGGGCGCCTCGTGAGAGTTCTCGGGGGTGCGGCCCGCGCCCCCTGGGTCCTGCGGATCTGGGCCCGGGGGCGCGCGCCCCGCCCCTCCCCCTCCCTGGCGGTGCAGCTGTCCGGGCGGGGGTGGGGCGGGGGCGGGGGTTGTTGTTGTGGCGCGGGCAGCCCCGCCCCCTCCTCGTGGGCGGCCCCTCCCCCAGGCCCCGCGTCCGGCCCCTCCGCCCCTAGCCCCATCTGTTTCTCCGGCGGGGACTCGATTATATTGTAGGGGACTGGGGGCGGCCGCCGCCGCAGCCGCGGGATGGGGCGAGCGCGCGGACCCCGCGGGCAGCCGCAGCCGCAGCCGCCTCAGTAGTTCGGGCCCCCGCGCCGCCGCCCCCCGCCCGGCGCCCGCCCTCGGCTCCTGCACTCGCCGAGCGGCGGCAGCAGCGGGAGGAGCGCCCCGCCGCCCCCGCCGAGGACCGCGCGGAGGCTGCGGCGCTGCCGCGGCGGGAGTCCCAGGTCGGCGGGCAGAGCGCGGGCAGCGAGGGGCCGCCGCCTGTGCCGCAGCGGGGAGATGTGCCCAGAGGAGGGCGGCGCGGCCGGGCTGGGCGAGCTCCGCTCCTGGTGGGAGGTCCCGGCCATCGCGCACTTCTGCTCGCTCTTTCGCACCGCGTTCCGCCTGCCCGACTTCGAGATCGAGGTGAGTGGCCGCGCGGGCGGGAGGCGGCGCGCTGCGCCCCCTGCTCCCCCTGCCCCGCGCGGGGTGTCCCGGGCCGTCGCGCAGAGGGGCCGGGGCCCGAGGGACTTCGGCCGGGAGTCGGGGGCCAGGAGGAGGGCGCAAAAGGGCAGGAGGGCGGGCGGGGGCCGCCGGGCTGTGCCCGGGTGCCGAGGGGCGTCGGGCCGGGGACGCCGGATCCTGGGGTGGAGGAGCAGGCACCGCGAGGGCGGGGCGGGCCCGTGCTTTTGTGGGAGAGGGAGCGGGAGCGGGACCCGGCGACCCTCCCGGGACTTCTCCGGTGGGCTGGGGCTGGGTGTGGGCGCGAGGGCTGCGCGCGCTCGCCGCCCGGTGCCATTGAGGCGCGAGCCAGCTGCTCCGGCGGGGCCGGGCGCGGGGGGGGGGCCCGCGCGGGATTAACTCGGACCGGGGCGGGAGTCGGCCGCGGCCGGCGGGGAGGGCTAGCCCCGCTCTGGCGGGCGGGCGCGTGGCAGGGGCTCCCGGAGGCCCCAAGCTCCCGGGAGGCGCTCCGGCCAACTTCGGGCCGGTGGGGACCGGGCCTGGGCGCGGGGCTCTGGAGGTGTGGAAGGAAAGTTTGGGACTCCGTTATTCTTCCACAGCGTCCTTCCTCCCGTAATATCCAGCCTCTTTATCGCGGGGCTCGGGAGCCCTTGGAGTTGATCTCGCCACCATTATCCCCCCGGGCGAGCGCGGAGGACGGGCTGGCCATTCTGGCCAGGCCGGAGGTGTTTTCCAGCCCGGGGCTTTGTGATAACTGGGCCGAAACCCGAGGGTCCTGGAGCGCGGCGGGTGGCGGGAGCTTGCGGAGCGCGGCGCACTCGGCGGCCAGGCATCGGCCAGCCCAGCGGCAGCCCCCTTTCTCCTATTTTTATTTTTATTTTTGGAAGGAGCTGAGAATTAGTCGATTGGTTGGCAGGTTGAATTGCCTTCTCTTCTATGGCAATATGTGTCGTGACTTTTCACCTTTTGCCTTTGGACAAAGGTGAATGGCAACTGCGTTGGTCAGTTTTTGTTTTCTGTTCTGCGGATGGGTTCGCCGACGCAGTAATCAAAATTAGAGCCACTCTTTTGGAAGAGCAAATCGTTGTTGTTGCCTCCCCAGCCCCACGGATCTTACTTTGTGCCATTTTCGGGTTGATTTTAACTCGTTTATTTCAGAGCTCTTTGCCTCACCTTTATTTTTAGATTTAGTCGTGTTTGCTGAAATATCAGTTGCTTCTTCTGTGAATGAAGTGTGGGAACTTGCTCTCGTCGCAGTTAATGAAATCAGGAAAATAAAAAGATCAAAAGGGTTGGGGATGGGAGAATGAAGAGGAATGTAGACAGATAGTCTAGGGCCACTCACTGGCTTTTGGCGATTCTTAGTTCCTTAAGCTGATTAAAACAATGTGAGGAAATGTGGGCTTCTCCACTTTTTAGGAAGAGGTAATAACGGGCATTTTACGTGGCGCCACAGCGTTTGTTTTCAAAGTTTGAACGTGAATGTAGCAAGCATAATTTTATTAATGAAAATATTCTTTAGACAACTGTTAATATTGACGAAAGAAGAGAAACAGAGACACGGAAGCTAAAGAGTTGGGAATCCTAAAGGTCAAAGGATGTTTCTCAGTTACTCTGATGTCCTGTGTTTTCTTTCAGTTGGTACAAAATCGTGAGTAGTTTAATTATATCCTGCAGTCAAAATGGTGGCTGTGGTGGGAGGTGCCGCCTGTGACAGGGCCATCTTGGGTGCTGGTAAACTTGCACCTAGTCCCTTTTCTTCCTTGCGAGATAAAGTTGAGGTGGTGCTGGGATTATGAGTTCAGAGTTTAAAGACCCATCCTAAAAATATTGTTGGAAAAACTTTATGTCTCAAAATCCATGTATTCCCATTTTGTTGATGAAAAGCTAGAGGTAACTCATTTTGCCTTAAGTACTCGCAGCATATTTAGAGTAACCTGTAAATAACTTGTCTTCTGTTATAAGCAATAAACTTGTGGTTTCTGAGAATTAGCTGGTTTAATTCCTAAAGGAAATGTAAACTGATTAAAGAGGTCAAATTTATATGTATAACATGAAAAATCACTGTAGTTTACATGGTGAATAATCAAGGCTATTTGATATGACTGTCCTCTCTTTTGACTCCAGTGTTTCTTGGAAATGACACTTTTTTGGGGCTAAAATACATGCTGTTTGAAATACATGCAACAGAAATGAATATTTGGCTTCAAACATGCAGGTTTTAAGAACTATCCACACTCGTTTTTATTTGGAGATGTTCAGTCAGTGGATAACAAAGTGACTTTTCTCACCTGCAGTTTTTGTCTAATCCATCTCAGGTATGTTTTGATATGGCTAATGGAAATTTTAACTTACGCTTTTTAGTAGTTATCAAAAATTAGAATTTTATTGGGAATGATTATATGTGAGATTTAAAAATTAAGATTTAAGAATGTATTTTCTCGACTCGGTGGCTCACCCCTGTAATCCCAGCACTTTGGGAGGCCGAGGTGGGTCGATCACCTGAAGTCAGGAGTTCGAGACGAGACTGGCTAACATGATGAAACCCCGTTTCTACTAAAAATATAAAAAGTTAGCCAGGCATGGTGGCGCGCTCCTGTAATCCCAGTTACATCCGTAGGCTGAGGCAGGATGATCGCTTGAACCCGGTAGGCGGAGGTGGCAGCGAGCCGAGATCGTGCCATTGCACTGCAGCCTGGGCGACAGGGCGAGACTCTGTCTCAAAATAAATATATTAATTAATTAAAAGATAAAAAATTCAAATGCCGAGCCGTACCTGTTAGGCCATGTGGAAGGGCCCTACAGTCTTAATTTTCTGCAACTTTAAAAGGTAAAAATGATAAATAATAGCAAGTAGTAGAAGTTGGGTATCAGTTATTTCAGGAAACCAGTTTTCAGCTGTGGGAAAGATCTCACCAGGCTGAACTCATGGATTTATAGAAAATTGAGGAAGCAGAGTCTTCAAGGACTCGGCTTCCATTTATCTAAAGTGAAGCAATCTCTAAGACAGGTGAAGGGCTGGCAGGATTCATGCCCCACTTCTCCAAGAGATTAAGACCTTCCACTTAGAAAACTGTCCCCAAAACGTGGATATTTTTATTTTTGTGTGTATTAAATAAATTTTTTGTTTTTTCTGAGACGGAGTCTCACTCTGTTGCCCAGGCTGGAGTACAGTGGCGCGACCTCGGCTCACTGCAACCTCCACTTCCCAGGTTCAGGTGATTCTCCCGCCTCAGCCTCCGGAGTAGCTGGGACTACAGGCATGTACCAGCACACCCGGCTAATTTTTGTATTATAAAAAAACTTTTTACTCTATTAATCAACCTTGAATATACAGGATTGCTTTAGAAGAGTCAACGAATACTTGGTTCTTAGTTTTAGATAAGAAACCTGCCAAGTATATAATAGTAATGCCTTATCTCAGTTCAAAATTCCTAGTTGTAAAAATACTAAAAAAAAATTATATAAACGTGAAAATTATCATAAAATACAGGTAAAAATTAAAACCACCCATGGTCACCAATCAGGGATAAAAGTTAACTGTTAACATTGTATCCTTCCACTCAGGGATAAAAGTGATTCACTGTTAACATACTTAGAAATTCCTAAATATGCCCGCAGTGTAATTGTTCTGTAGGTTAGATGTTTTTGCTTTTCAGATGAGATTGAGGTATAGCTGGAAAACAGATGAATGACACTGAATTCAGTAGTTGATATAAACAGATGAATGACACTGAATTCAGTAGTTGATATAAACAGATGAATGACACTGAATTCAGTAGTTGATATCATTAAGCCCCTACTTTGTGCTTAACATGGAACTTGGAAATTTACCAAAGAAGCTCTTACCTGGCCTCCTTTGCCTCAGAAGATTATCTGTTAATATTTCAGAACCAGCAATTTTATACCACTTCAGTTAAATCAAGTATTTTATAATTGTTTAACATTCTAGTGGCTTAGGTTGGCTAAGTTTTGTCCTGATTCAAGAAAAGAAGAAAGGCTAATTGACCTCTCCAAGATTTACTACTGTTTTCCCCCTAGCCAAATGCGCTGTACAGTAAATACAGTGTCTCACTTGAGTAAGGTAAGGGAGGACAGAATGATTTTCAGTAATCATGATGGATGTGGGGCTGCATTGGTGTCTGTAGGTGGCCGTTGCAAAATGGTCGTGTAGAATTATTTGAATGGTTTGTATAGTAGCAGCATGATGAAAATAATCTGTCCTGTCTACCTTTTTTCCTGAGTGTCCTGCCTTTGAGTACTTAATCCTTTGCCTTCCTTGTGTCTCCTTCCTGGTTGTGTTTGTACGTGGGTAAGATCTCTTACCTAATCAGCATGAGATCTAGGGGCAATATTCAGATTCTTGAATTCCACCCTTGGTGCATCCTTGAAGAATCCAGCCCCTTAATCAAGTGCTGAATGCATGGATTGTTAAACATTAAGTAATAGAAATAGCTAAAAGAAACTTGTAAGTACATCCATCATATCAGTGGTTCCTAAACCTGGCACCAGGGTAGGAGACTTTGTTTTGGTGTACGTGTGTGCACTTTGCTGGAGGAGAGGGCCTATTGCTCTCATCACATTCTGGAAGCAGCCCCCAACCCATACGAGGTTAAGAAGCCCTGAACTAGTTGAAAGAGTAAGTTGGCCCCAATTAGGGGTTCAGAAGCCTACTTTTGTGACACAAGATGTGCCGCACTAGGAGTTAGGAAACTTGTATTCTGATTGTGCTGCTGTAACTGACTGTGATTTTGGGCAGGTCAAAATAACGTGATGATAAATGACACTGCGTAGTACTTGGTACATTTTCAAAATGTTATCCCATTTTCTCCTTAGCCGGCCTTAACCATCACCATGAGGCAGGGGTATTCTCATTTCACAGATGTGGAAGTTGAAAGTCTACAGAGGCTAATGCTTGCACAGGGACTCTCACCTGGATCTCAGGTTCTTTGAGGCCAAATTCTGCCTGTTTCTACCACATCGCACTGCTTCTGCAGGTCTTATTATCTTTAAAATGACGGGCCAGACCCATATGGAATGGCCAGATTCCACAGTGCACCTCTAGAGTTCTTTGGCTCTTAATAGTGTGGGGTACAGAAGATCTTTTTAAAAAACTTCTGAACTAAGTGCAAAGGGACAAATTCAAGTATTCATTCATTTATTTCAGCAAATATATATATATTTTTGAGTCAGAGTCTCACTCTGTCGCCCAGGCTAGAGTGCAGTGGTGTGATCTCGGCTCACTGCAACCTCCACCTCCTGGGTTCAAGCGATTCTCCTGCCTCAGCCTCCCAAGTAGCTGGGATTACAGGCATGCACCACCATGCCTGGCTAATTTTTGTGTTTTTAGTACAGACGGGGGTTTCTCGATGTTGGTCAGGCTGGCCTCGAACTCCCGACCTCAGGTGATCCACCTGCCTCAGCCTCCCAAAGTGCTGGGATTACAGGCATGAGCCACTACACCCAGCCAGCAAATGTTTATTAAGCATCTACTACATTAGGCAGTGTACTAGGTGCCGATATGGTTGTGAACATAATAGAGAAATACCTGCTTGCTTTTTAGTGCAATGAGACAGACAATGTATATAATGTCAAAAGGCCCCAAGTAGAGTGGGGTGGAGGCTTGCACAGGGCCATGGTGAGGTGTAGATTGTTGCTGTTTAAAACAGGGTGATTAGTAGGGCCTGCCTGAGGAGGTGAGTGATTTAAAGTGATTTTTAAAATAGTGCTTTGTCGCTGGTGGCTCACGCCTGTAATCCCAGCACTTTTGGGAGGCCGAGGCGGGCGGATCATGAGGTCAGGAGTTCAGGACCAGCCTGACCAATATGATGAAACCCCGTCTCTACTAAAAGTACAAAAATTAGCCAGGTATGGTGGTGCATGCCTGTAATCCCAGCTACTTGGGAGGCTGAGGCAGGAGAATTCATTGGAGCCGGGAGACGGAGGTTGCGGTGAGCTGAGATCGCGCCATTGCACTCCAGCCTGGGCAACAGAGCGAGAGGGAGACTCTTATCTAAAAAAAAAAAAAAATAGTCCTTTGTCACACTAATCTATTTAATGTAACATACTAGAGGATAAAATGCCTTCTAAAGATTCAGGATCTGCACCCTCACCAAGGAGGAAAGCCAAAGAACAGGATGTGAATTACAGAAGGACAGATCTGTGCAGGCTAAGATCCTGAAAGGGGAGAATGTGCTATCATAATGTAACTCTTTAAAAGTGAATACCAGGTCCCCTTTCTATTTATACCCACGCTTTGAAAGGAAAGGCTTGCTGCTTTGGTGTGTGTGTGTGTGCCCACCATGTGAAGCTTCAAAGGCTTCACAGTTGGGATCTTCTGCAGTTTAGAAGGGGCAGCGCCTTCTCATCTCTGAAGGGCGGCCTGCGTTAGCACATGGCTCGCTTTGCAACGGAAGTTAAGTTGCTTAATGTTCTGGAATACACTTAGGAAAGCCTAAAATACACCTTGGCAGCATTCAGTACTACCGATCATCTGCCCCTTTGATCAAGGGAGCTCAGTGTGGGATTCCATGGTGTGCTGGGGCTCGCACAATGCAGTGCGCTTGGCAGAGTGCGGAAAACTGCAGTGCAAAGGTGGTTTAGGTAAAAATGTGGTGTGTGGACAGAGCCAAAGGGGAGCTTCTAAGTACATGGTCTTAGATGTAGTTGATGTGACTAAACACATTTTCTTTTTTTTTGTTTTTTTTTTTTGAGATGGAGTCTTGCTTTGTCGCCCAGGCTGGAGTGCAGTGGCGTGATCTCAGCTCACTGCAACCTCTGCCTCCTGGGTTCAGGTGATTCTCCTGCCTCAGCCTCCCGAGTAGCTGGGATTTCAGACATGTGCCATCTGCCTGGCTAATTTTTGTATTTTTAGGAGAGATGGGGTTTCGCTGTGTTGGCCAGGCTGGTCTCAAACTCCTGACCTCGTGATCCACCCTCCTCGGCCTCCCAAAGTACTGGGATTAAAGGCATGAGCCACCGCTCCCAGCCCCTAAACACATTTTCAAAAGGCAGCAATCAGAAAGCTGGATTGTGGGCCCACCTGTCTTTAAGTTGTGTTCTTAGGCAGATGACTGTGGGTTTCAGGTGCCCCATCTATAGACTCAGTGATTCCTAGGTGTTCCTATGTCTAAAGTTCTGTGATTCTAGAAATGTTTCTCAGCATGCATAACACTCTTAACTAATCTAGAAAATTGCTGACTCACCAGTTAGGGTCAAGGTTAGGATCCACATCTTACAAATTAATTACGTACCAAGTGAAAACTGCAAATCCATACTTGGTGTGTTTGCAAATTATAGGAATTTTTTCTTTCTCTTTCTCTGGCATCTTGTCTGCAAATAAGCTACTTTGAAAGTAGCTTTTGAGACTTGAAGATTGACATGTTCACTATCTCTAGTGTTCTTAAAGTGACCTAAGATTTTGTGCTTTGAGATTTTGAGGAATTCTGGAGGCTGAAGGCATTGAATTATGTGATTCTTACTTCATTTTTTTTTTTTTTTAAAGACAGTATCTCACTATGTTACCCAGGCTGGATTTGAACCCCTGAGCTCAAGTGATCCTCCTGCCTCAGCCTCCCCAGTAGCTGGGACTCCAGGCACATGCCACTGCCTTTGGCTTCCTTTCACTTAGTCTGTTTCTTATATCTCATGTCATCAATAGCTAGAACTCTGAATAAGATCCACTTACAGCTTCTGGCTTGTGGTTTGCCTTTCATTTGCTATTATAACCTTTTCAGATGGCTGCTACCCTTCCTCCATATTTGCATATTTCATGGGATGCTATCCCTTGGATGCTTTTATTATATCTTTATATTAGCCTCTAACAAATATCAGTCAATTTATATTGGAAAACTTGGGGACAGTCATTTTTCAGCAGCTCTTAGGATTGAGAAAGGAATGAATGATTGGAAAGTAAGAGTGAGCTCCAGATTGTGTTCCTTTAATCCTCTGGGTTTCTCAGCCTCAGCACTATTGATAGTTTGATCTGAAAATCTGTTGTGGGAAGCTGTTATATGAGGAATGTTATATGCGTTTTGTTTTGTTTTGTTTTGTTTTTGAGACGGAGGCTTGCTCTGTTGCCCAGGCTGGAGTGCAGTGGCGCTATCTTGGCTCACTGCAACCTCCGCCCCCCGGGTTCACGCCATTCTCCTGCCTCAGCCTCCTGAGTAGCTGGGACTACAGGTGCCCACCACCACGCCCGGCTAATTTTTTGTGTTTTTAGTAGAGACGGGGTTTCACCGTGTTAGCCAGGATGGTCTGGATCTCCTAACCTTGTGATCCGCCCGCCTTGGCCTCCCAAAGTGCTGGGATTACAGGTGTGAGCCACCGCGCTGGGCTGTTTTTTTGTTTTTTTGTTTTTTTGTTTTTGGGAGACGGAGTTTTGCTCTGTTGTCCAGGCTGGAGTGCAGTGGCACGATCTCGGCTCACTGCAACCTCTGCCTCCCGGGTTCACACCATTCTCCTGCTTCAGCCTCCTGAGTAGCTGGGACTACAGGTGCCCACCACCACGCCTGGCTAATTTTTTGTATTTTTAGTAGAGACGGGGTTTCACCGTGTTAGCCAGGATGGTCGCAATCTCCTGACCCCCTCCTCGGCCTCCCAAAGTGTTGGGATTACAGGTGTGAGCCGGCCCACCTGGCCCTCGTTTTAAGATGTTTAGCAGTATTGTTGGCCTCTATGCTCCAGGTGCCAATAGCACCCCCAGTCATGACAAATATAAATGTCTCCAGACATTGCCAAATATGTCCGGCGGGGTGAAATTGTCCTGCTTTTGAGAATCATTACTTTAGTGTGTGAGGTAGAGATGACTTTTCAGTGTTGGTCATTGTATAGAAGGTACACCCTATGTGAGATAGATGAGTTTTTCCTTGTGATGGGCATTTTTTCCCCTAAATGCAAACCTTTAGTATTTTTGTTTATGGAAATTTAAGGAAGTTAAAGTTGCTCCCAGATGTGAATGTCATCAGCAATTGTACATGTCACAAACCTGGGAAACAGATGTTTTGTTAATTTTTTTCTTTCTTTGAGACAGAGTTTTGCTTTTGTGGCCCACCCAGGCTGGAGTGCAGTGGTGCGATCTCGGCTCACTGCAATGTCTGCTTCCCAGGTTCAAGCAATTCTCCTGCCTCAGCCTCTCAAGAAGCTGGTATTACAGGCGTGTGCCACCACACCCGGCTAATTTTTGTATTTTTAGTAGAGACAGGGTTTCACCATCTTGGTCAGGCTGGTTTCGAACTCCTGACCTCCAGTGATCAGCCCACCTCAGCCTCCCAAAGTGCTGGGATTACAGGCCTGAGCCCCCCGCGCCTGGCATTGTTAATTTTTTTCTCTTTCCTAGAACGTCATTTAAGGAAAGAAGAGAGTTTGGGGCTAGTAGGGAGGGAACTGTGAAGCTAACTGAGGCTGATAAAGAAAGGCCTTCCCCTACAAAAGGCCTCCCTGAAGCAGGGCCTGGCTGCCTAGTGCCGCAGGGAGGAGGGGTGAGGGGTGTTTGTGCTGCAGCCTGGGGCTGGAGCGGCTGCCATTGCCTGTCAGGGCACAAGGCTCTTGACAGATCTCTTGAGCATTGAGCAGTGGTGTACTGGGGAGGGCGTTATCCATGACCAGGTCAAAAGTTCAGTGGGACCTACGTTGAAGGTGTGTGTGTGTGTGTGTGTGTGTGTGTGTGTGTGTGTGTGTGTTTGCGATATATGCATATGTAAAGTTCATTATTCCGTCAGAATTTTCAGTGTAGAACACAGCGACCACATGAGCTTGAAGCTGCTCTAAATGTTTTTTAATGATTTTTCATGTTTAATTTTGCTCTCAGCAAGCATGGTGAAATATTTTATGGATTCAAATAGATTTTTATTTTGGTTTGGGGAGCAAACGGTATTGTGAGTGTGACTCAAGCAGTCTAGTGCACTGTGAAGGGCTTTGAGCTTCTTGGAAGAAAGATACCATAGAACTTCAAGGAAATGAGATCACATTATCTGTGGCTTTTGAAGATGTTTTTCATTGAATGTCCATCTCCAAGTCCTTCTTTTCCATCTTGGGGTATTCAATCCCCACAGAGACCCTGTGTCTTGTTTTTTATTCTTTATCTCTTTGGCTGGGAACTAAGGTCTGACCATTGTTTTTTTTTGTTTTCTCTTCTACTCCCTTGTGCTCTACTCATGCCCTAGGGTTTGTTCTGGGCATCAGTGGAGGAGGGGTAGAATTTCTGGCTTGCAGCAAGGTGTTAAATCCGAGAATTTGTGTAAATAAGTTGGTGTGAAGTCAATCAGTTCTACAGCCAAAAGCAGTTTTCTCCTCTTTAGAGGGCAGATGACCCCTCTGAATAATTCTCTCATGTGTTCTTTTTTGTACTTCGTTAGCCATACACTCATTTAAACTGTAATATGGTTTATGCAAAAATATATAGAAGATAGTATTTCATTCTCCTTTTTAAAGTCCCTGACCTCATGTGGCCTTTACAAAAGACATTGGCCGGTTTAAATGATGTCATATGCGTATAAGTTTCACACTGGAATGGTCAGCTTTTAGCTTTGGTTCTACAGCCCAGACTCTTTATGAGCTAAATCAGGTCTACTTTTTCCCTAGGGTGGGTTTGCTGGAGTGACGTGTGACTTGGCATTGTGTCACTGAGGCATGTGGCCACCTGAATTGAATGTGTGAGTGGCTGTCAGAACAGACTGTGTGTACCCTCCCTTGCTCCTCCCCACCCATCACCTCCAAAAGTAAGTGATGAAAATAGAGGAAGCCGTGGGGCCACAATTAAGCTCACTGCTTCACGTTTTCAATGTTGAACTTTAAATCACACCCAATTAATAATTCCTGAGAATGGATAAGTTCTTAGAATTGAAAAATGCTGTTCAGCAGTCTTGTTGACTGCAAGAGTGTTTTCTTCTCCTGGCCGGTTCCTTTTAATGAACAGCCCTACCCTGAGTGTTCATTGTCTCAGCAACAATGGCACTGAGGACAGTTGATTTGCTTGACAGAAAATGTGTTAAATTAACAGATCTACTTCTTTAGCAAATCCTTTCTCTTCTCCATTCCCCATTATGTCTCTCTGTCTTCCTGAAAGGTTGTTTGTGAATTCTTTTAGGTGTGGGGACAATTTTTATAGCAGAGGCCTGGAGTTCTTTGTTCAGGGAACATTGTTGTACACGGGGGTGGGCGGGGGGGAAGGTGCTTTAAAGAAAAAATTTCACCTGTTGTCATAATAAAGGAATTTAATTTTGGATTATTTTCCACTCTTACACTGGCATTGATTTGGGTTAGTATCCACACGAATGTACTGATGCTTTTCACATTGGTTCTGAAAGACTTTCCCCCCATTTTCCTTTGTGGTGTTAAAGCAGCCCCCCAGCCCTCCTTACAGGAATGTTGAAGATTGGGAGGGGGATGCTTGGTTGAGGATGCTTGTGACACGTAACTCTAGACTTTTTTTTTAACACGGAACACTTCACGACTCTGCGTGTCATCTTGCATAGGCCAGTTTTAGTGCAAGTGCTGCTGGAGTGAGTGCATAACCCTGGATTTTCATCGCTTTCAGCAATGGAACCCATCTTCCTTACCCCTGACTCCGCTTGGATTTCTGTAACATGCACATTTTTAAGGTTAAAGTGAAATGTTTTTAAAAAAGGGAAAATCTCAAAACCCAATCAGCCTTCCCTGTGTTATTGTCATCATTATTAATACTGAGGTTGCAGAGGTATGTGGCAGAGTCCCTGTTGTGCTGCTGCCCTGGGGGAATTTGTCTGTCGAAAAGGGGCAGGGCAGCAGTGGTATTGTGAAACCTATGTTGTTTGCCCAGTGAGCGATAGGGAATATAATTGCTGTAAGAGTTCAGAGGAAGGCAGAGATGGCGAGTGAAACGCTTCCTGGAGGAAGCATCATGCTTCTGGGGGTCATGCTGAGTAAGTCAGTGTAGTTAGCTAGGTCAGAGAGCCCCCACATTTTTTTTTTTTGTTTTTTTTGAGACGGAGTCTCACTCTGTCACCCAGGCTGGAGTGCAGTGGCACAATCTTGGCTCACTGCGAGCTCCGCCTCCTGGGTTCACCCCATTCTCCTGCCTCAGTCTCCCTAGTAGCTGGGACTACAGGCGCCTGCCACCACGCCCTGCTAATTTTTTTTTTTTTTTTTAGTAGGGACGAGGTTTCGCCGTGTTAGCCAGGATGGTCTTGATCTCCTGACCTTGTGATCCGCCCGCCTTGGCCTCCCAAAGTGCTGGGATTACAGGCGTGAGCCACTGTGCCCGGCCAGAGAGCCCCTTCCTCATAGAGACTAATAGAAAAAGAGGTTGAGAGAGAGAGATCATAGAGGCAACATTGCAACAAGCCTTGAAGACTGGCCTCACTGGTGATCATTTTTCTTCAGGCAGTGGAGAAACCAAGTTTTAGAGTAAGAAGTCCTGTATACTAAGTGTTTTAGGTTAAATCTGGTTTTGGTAGCTGGAATAGAACAGACTGGAAGAAGAAAGACTAGTTTTAGCTACAGGCACACCTCAGAGATATTTTGGGGTCAGTTCCAGACTATTGCCATAAGGTGAATATTGCAGTAAAGTGAGTCACATGAAATTTTTGGTTTCACAGGGCATATAAAAGTTATGTTCACAGTATACTATAGCCTGTTAAGTGTGCAGTAGCATTATGTCTTAAAAAATAATGTATATACCTTAATTAAAAAATATTTTAGGCTGGGCACAGTGGCTCACGCCTGTAATCCCAACACTTTGGGAGGCTGAGGCTGGCGAATGGCTTGAGCCCAGGAGTTTGAGACCAGCCTGGCCAACATGGTGAAACGCTTTCTCTACTAAAAATACAAAAATCAGTTGGGTGTGGTGGTGTGCACCTGTTGTCCCAGCTATATGGGAGGCTGAGATGGGAGGATCGCTTGAGTCCAGGAGGCGGAGGTTGCAAGTCAAGTTTGCAACACTGCACTCCCCCCTGGGCAGCAGTGAGACCTTGTCTCAAAACAAACACAACAAAACAACTATTACTTAAAAATCCTAGTGATTGGCCAGGCGCGGTGGCTCACGCCTGTAATCCCACCACTTTGGGAGGCCGAGGCGGGTGGATCATGAGGTCAGGAGTTCGAGACCGCCTGGCCAAGGTGGTGAAACCCCATCTCTACTAAAAAATACAAAAATTAGCCGGGCACGGTGGCGGGCACCTGTAATCCCAGCTGCTCAGAGGCTGAGGCAGGAGAATCTCTTGAACCCGGGAGGCGGAGTTTGCAGTGAGCCAAGATCATGTCACTGCACTCTAGCCTGGGAAACAGAGCAAGACTCCGTCTCCAAAAAAATAAAAAAAATCCTAATGATCATCTGAGCCTTCAACGAGTCATAGTCTTTTTGCCAGTGCAGGGTCATGTCTGAATATTCCTTTCATGAAAGATTTCTCCATAGCATGCCATGCCATTTGATAGCATTTAACCCACAGTAAAACTTCTTTCAAAATTGAAGTTGGTCCTCTCAAACCCTGCCACTGCTTTATCAGCTTGGTTTAGAATATTCTAAATCTTTTGTTGTCATTTGAACAATGTTGACAGCATCTTCACCAGGAATAATACATTGTGCCTCAACAAACTACTTTTTTTGTTCATCCATAAGAACCAACTCCTTTTAATCTAGTGTTCAGACCAGGTTAAAAAAGAAAAGAAAAGAAAAAACTCCTCCATTCCAGTTTCATCATGAGGTTGCAGTAATTTAGTCACATCTTCAGGTCCACTTTTTTTTTTTTTTTTTTTTTTGAAGTGGAGTCTTGCTCTATTGCCCAGGCTGGAGCGCAGTGGCAGTACGCTCTCAGCTCACTGCAAACTCCGCTTCCTGGGTTCAAGCAATTCTCCTCCCTCAGCCTCCCGAGTAGCTGGGATTACAGACATGCACCACCACGTCTGGCTAATTTTCTTTTTTTTGGATTTTTACTATAGACAGGGTTTCACTATGTTGGCCAGGCTGGTCTCAGACTCCTGACCTCAGGTGATCCACCTACCTCGGCCTCCCAAAGTGCTGGGATTACAGGTGTGAGCTACTGTGCCTGGCCCAGGTCCACTTCTAATTCTATTTCTTTTGCTGTATCTATCGCATCTGTATTTCTTTCCTCCACTGAAGTCTTGAACCCCTCAAAGTCATCCACGAAGGTTGGAATCAGCTTCTTCCAAACTCCTGTTAATATGGATATTTGGACCTCCTCCCATGAATTATGAATGTTCTTAATGGCATCTAGAATCATGAATCCTTTCTGAGAGGTTCTAAATTTGCTTTGCCCAGATTCATCAGAAGAATCACTATCTATGGCAGCTATTGCCTTACAAAATGTATTTATTTTATTTTTTGTAGAGATGGGGTCTCGCTGTGTTGCCCAGACTGGTCTTGACTTCCTGGCCTCACGCAGTTCTCCCATCTTGGCCTCCTAAAGTGTTAGGATTACAGGTGTGAGCCACTGCTCCCAGCCACAAAATGTATTTCTTAAATAATAAGACTTGAAAGTTGAAATTACTTCTTGATCCATGGGCTTGCAGAATGGATGTTGTGTCAGCAGACATGAAAACCACATTAATCTCCTTGTATATCTCCATCAGAGCTCTTGGGTGACAAAGTATATTGTCAGTTAGCAGTAATATTTTGAAAGTAGTGACTTTTTTCTGAGCAGTAGGTCTCAAAAGTAGGCTTAAAATACTGACTAAACCATGCTGTAAACAGATGTGCTGTTATCCAGGTTTTGTTTTCCCATTTAGAGAGCACAGGCAGAATACATTAGCACAGTTTTCAAGGGCCGTAGGATTTTCAGAATGGTGAGTGAGCACTGGCTTCCAGTAAGTCACCAGCCCCTAAGAGAATCAGCCTGTCCTTTGAAGCTTTGAAGTGGGGCATTGACTTCTCCTCTCTAGCTATTAAAGTCCTAGGTGGCATTTTCTTTCAATAAAAGGCTGTTTCACCTACAGTGAAAATCTGTTGTGTATTCATCCTCGTTAATGATCTTAGCTAGATCTTCTGGATAACTTGCTGCAGCTTCTGTATCCACACTTGAGGCCTTGTCTTGCATGTTTACGTTACATTTCCTAAAGCTTCACGAACCAACCTCTGCTAGCCTCCAACTTTTCTTCTGCAGTTTCCTCACCTTTCTAAGCCTTCGTAGAATTGAAGCGTAAGGGCCTTGCTCTGGATTAGGCTTTGGCTTCAGGGAATGTTGTGGCTGCTTTGATCTGTTCTCCAGGCCACTCAGACTTTCTCCTTATCAGTAATAAGGCTGTTTTGCCTTCTCATTACTGTGTTCACTGGAGCAGTGCTTTTTATTTCCTTCAATAACTTTTCCTTTGCATTCACAACTTGGCTAACTGGCTCAAGAGGCCTAGCTTTTGGCCTGTTTCAGCTTTCAGCACGCCTTCTTCATGAAGCTTAATCATTTCTAGCTTTTGATTTAAAGTGAGAGACATGGTGCTCTTCCTTACACTTGAACACTTAAAGGCCATTGTAGGATTATTAATTGGCCTGGTTTAAATGTGCTTCTGGGAATAGGGAAGCCCAAGGAGAGGGAGACAGGGAACTGGCCAGTCTGTGGAGCAGACAGAACACACGCATTTATCAATTGAGTTTGCTGTTTTATGTGGGCACAATCCTTGGTGCCCCAAAACATTTACAGTTGTAATATCCAAGATCACTAGTCACAGATCAACATAACAGATTTAATAATAATCATGAAAATGTTTGAAATATTGTGAGAATTACCAAAATGCAACACAGAGACATGAAGTGAGCACATACTGTTGGAAAAATGGCCCTGATAGACTTGCTACTCGCAGGGTCGGCACGAAATCTTCAGTTTGTAAGAAATGCAATATCTGCACGTTCAGTAAAGGGAAACACAGTACAACGAGGTGGGCCTGTATTAGAGCGGAAGGGGCATGAACCGCTGATGGTAGTGGTAACAGGAAAGGACATTTCTCACTGGTGCTATTGAAGAAAGAGTAGGTGGGACTGGATGACCCCCAGGGTGGGAGCATGTGATGAAGGTTGCGTCGCTTAGGATATTTTTGGCTGCGAATGATGGAATAACAGTGCCTTCAGCACTGCGGATTACCCTACATCATGTAAGCCGGAGGAATGGGGCTCCTGGCAGGCCAGGCAGCCCCATGGTAGGTGTCATTGAGCCCTCATACGGTGGTACCACTCATGGTCACAGGACAGACTCCGCAGCGACAAGGTCTGCATTGCTGAATGATGCAGAGAAGTATTAGGAAAATGACAACGGAAAAGAGCCTTTGAGTTGGTGATTTGAAGGGGTCAAAGATGACTTCGGAGAAGGGATTTGAGTTACTCTGACCGGAGAGGGAGAGGCTGAGACTTAAAAAAACTTCATTCTGCTGGAAGGAGAGAGGATAAGACCTGTCAAACAGAGAAGCTTAAGAGCATGGTGAGAAAGGAAGGGCGTTTTAAAAAAAAACTTTTTTCACAAAGAATATATAGCGATTGTAACAAGAAGAAGTTAAATTAATCTCAGTTCCTTCATTTGGTGTTGTATTGAAGAGGTCAGTTGTAGGGCCCCCTTTCTCAGCCTGTTTCCAAACTCTGCGCCATGTTTTATACCAGTAATCAATCCCCTTCTTTGTGCCACCGCTCTCTAATTGTTGGGATGTGGTTATGTCACCCTAGGACTGTCAGTTGCTCAGTATTTTAGCTTTCTGTTGAGTAAAATGGAAATGAAAATCCAGCCACAGAAATGTGCCTTTTTTTTTTTTTTTGAGACGGAGTTTCACTCTTGTCCAGGCTCGAGTGCAATGGCGGGATCTCAGCTCACTGCAACCTCCACCTCCTGGGTTCAAGCCATTGCCCTGTCTCAGCCTCCCAAGTAGCTGGGATTACAGGCGCATGCCACCACGCCCAGCTAATTTTTGTAATTGTAGTAGAGACAGGGTTTCATCATATTGGTCAGGCTGGTCTCGAACTCCTGAACTCAGGTGATCCACCCGCCTCAGCCTCCTACAGTGCTGGGATTACAGGTGTGAGCCACTGTACCTGGTCAGAGATGTGCCTTTCTTTCATTAGAATTTTAGATTTATTCTTGTTTGACTGTTGATTGTTTGGAATACTTCAGTTTTTAGTTTCTCTCTGTTACATGTTTAATGTTTTGTAGGACTACTAAATGTTACTTTGTGATCCTTTTGTAATGATAATTTGTATACAAATAAGCTATTCAGGTATTTATGTTCTGTGTTATGTTTAATAACAGGTTCCCCATGCCAGAGGGAGTTACAGCTCAACAGAAAGCCTTCTTTTGTCTCATTTCTCCACTGGTTCTACAGAAATTTTCAGAGGTTATCTGGCAGCTGTACCTGCCCCTCCTTGCCCTTGTCAAGCAAATCTATATCTTGGCCAGTAATCTATAACACATCTCGCAAGAAAAGATGAACTGGGCCAATGAAATTTCCATTCTTGGGAGCGTAACCTAGGAAATACAAGGATTATCGAGTTAGCGTGGAAAAGAAGCTGAAAGGTCATGGTGAGCAGCCACGACACAGCCAGAATCTTACAGATGAGGAAGCAAGCCTGGGAGAGACCCAGCCATAGAGGAATTAACGAGAAGGCCCCGGCTCCAGCCTGCTGGCGTGTGTCCAGCAGGAGCCACCACACCTGAGGGAGTCTTCCATGCCCTGCCCCTCAAAGAGCCTAACACTTCCTCACTTTTGTCTGTGTGCACATAACATGTTAAGTATCTTGTAAACACAAGATCGTACTTTTCTATATGCTTCTGAATCCTGTTCTATTCTGTTGACAGTGTTATATAACAGAATGCCCTTTCAATCACAGCACGCCATGATTTCCAGTAGCTGCAGAATACTCATCGGGTAGAGGGACTCTCATTTAGCCAAGGGGCGTTTGGGTTATCTGTAGTTGTTTACTATCATGACAACCAAGAACCAGAACAATTTTTTTTTCTAAGATAGGATTAGTGTTTTTAATCATTAGACTTCTGTTAGTATTACATTCTATATTTGAGGTTTTAAGTTTTGAGTTTTTTTTTTGTTTGTTTTTTGTTTTGTCCCGAGAGGGAGTCTGTCTCTGTCGCCCAGGCTGGAGTGCAGTGGTGCCATCTGGGCTCGCTGTAACCTCTGCCTCCCAGGTTCAAGTAATTCTCCTGCTTCAGCCTCCCAAGTAGCTGGAACTACAGGCACGCTCCACCATGCCTGGCTGATGTTTATATTTTTAGTAGAGACGGGTTTCACCAAGTTGGCCAGGCTGGTCTCAAACTCCTGACCTCAGGTGATCCGCCCGCCTCAGCCTCCCAACGTGCTGGGATTACAGGCATGAGCCACCGCGCCTGGCCAAGTTTTCTTCATAGTTACTTTTTGTTTTATATTTTATCATAAAAGTTACATGAATTTTGGTGCCATGCACTGTCTCAAGTGTTTCTCATGCCCGAACTGACCCATCTGTTTAATTCCCCCATGAGGCAGGCATCACCATGACAGCACTGTAGGAAACAGGCTCAGAGTGAAGCGATTTACCCAAGGCCGCATGCCCAGCGGGTGGCAGAACCCATACCGGCAGACTTCAGGAAAATGCGGAGGCATTTTTTGGTAAATGAATTGAACAGTACTGCTAGTGAGACAGGAAAACTGACATCCAGTGCGGGTTCTTGAGAGTATATGGGAAGGTGGGTGAGATTAAATTTTAGCTAGTGTCGTGGTATTAGAAAGGAATCTTTTACGCAATTTACGGAGAACACTGAGTCAGGAGACATTTTAGAAGTGAAAGCAATTCAGTTTTTTCTTCACTTGCTTAAATTACTTACAAAATATGTTAATAACTGTTAAGAGCTCCTTTTATCATTTTTCCACTCTACTGTAACTCTGGGTTGGGTTTTTTAAAAACTTTGTTTATTTTATTTTAGTATTTTTTTTTGAGGTGGAGTCTCACTCTGTCGCCCAGGCTGGAGTGCAGTGGCACGATCTCAGCTCACTGCAGCCTCAGCCTCCGGGTTCAAGCAGTTCTCCTGCTTCAGCCTCTCGAGTAGCTGGAACTACAGGCACACTCCACCATGCCCGGATAACTTTTGTATTTTTAGTAGAGACGGGGTTTCACCATGTTGGCCAGGCTGGTCTCGAACTCCCTGAATTCAAGTGATCCACCCTCCTTGGCCTCCCAAAGTGCTGGGATTACAGGTGTGAGCCACTGCGCCCGGCCTTAAAAACTTTATTTTTAAGTAATGTCAGACTTAACGGAAACTTAGAAGGCTGGTACACAGAATTCCTAAGCTCCCTACCCAGATTCCCCACGTGTTCAGTTTTACACCATGTGCTTTACTGCCATCTCCCTCTTTCTCCCCACCAAGCTATCTTCATAGTTACTTTTTGTTTTATATTTTATCATAAAAGTTACATGAATTTTGGTACCATTCTCTTCTGTCTCCCAACTGCCTGCCTGCCTGTCCGGCTAGCTAGCTAGGCATCTCTAGCTGTGTAATTACTGTTTTTCTACACTGAGAATAAGTTGAAGACGTGATACCTTTCACTCCTTGACATTTTAGTGTTTTTATGACTTAAAAACATTGTTTTTTTCTTTTGAGGTGGGGTCTCACGCTGTGTTGCCCAGGTTGGTCTTGAACTCCTGGGCTCAAGCAATCCTTCTGACTCAGCCTCCCAAGTAGCTAGGACTACAAGCATGAGCCGCCACGCCCAGCTCGGGGATATTCTTTTTTATTTATTTATTTATTTTTGAGATGGAGTCTCACTCTGTTGCCCAGGCTGGAGTTCAGTGGCACGATCTTGGCTCACTGCAACCTCCGCCTCCTGGGTTAGAGCAGTTCTCCTGCCTCAGCCTCCCAAGTAGCTGGGACTACAGGCATGCGCCACAACGCCCGGCTAATTTTTGTGTTTTTAGTAGAGACGGGGTTTTGCCATGTTAGCCAGGCTGGTCTTGAACTCCTGACCTCAGATGATCCGCCCACCTCGGCGTCCCAAAATGCTGGGATTACAGGCATGAGCCACTGTGCCTGGCCGGAATATTCTCTTATACATATAAGTACAATTATTAAAATCAGGAACTTAATACTGAGTAAGATCTGTAGATAATAGTATATCAAATGTTGCCAATTGAGCCAATAATATATATAATTTGTACATTATTTTTATGAATTTTAAATATATTATTATTTTAGAAATTGTTTCTGGTTCAGGTTTTCAGTCTAGGATCAGGCATTCCATTAGTTGTTGAGTCTCTTTAGTCTCCTTTAAAATAGAGCCGTTTTTCAGTGTTTGTCTTTCTTGAGCTTGACCTTTTTGGAAGACTAAAAGCCATTCATTCTATTGACGGTCCCTCCACTTGGGCTTGTTGGAAGTCCTCTCAGGATAACTTGGGTCATGTGTTTTTGGCGGGAGTGCTGAAGAGGGCCGTGCCCTTGGTGCATAGTATCAGCAGTTACATCACTTTCATTGTGCCCTTTATTGGTGGTGGTTACTAACTTTGATCACTTGGTTAGGGTGATGTCTGCTTTCCACTGCAAAGTTACTGTTTTTCTCTTATAATTAACAAGTACGTTGTGGGGAGATACTTTGCAAACATCCTGTTTCTTCTCCAAATTAACCCGTTAGGAATTGCCTGAATCAGTGATTACATCACAGTTGCCAGATTCCTTTTTACAAGTTGGCGTGCAGTTTTCATCCATAAAGTTTAAGCGTTTGATTCTAAACCAGGTGTTTTTATTTTGTTTTGTTTTGTTTTGTTTTTTGAGACAGGTCTTGGTCTGTTGCCGAAAGTGGAGTGCAGTGGCACCATCATAGCTCAGCAGCCTCAACCTCGCCGGTCCCAAAGTGCTTGAATGACAGGCGTGAGCCACCACTCCTGACCCAAAACCATTTGTTTTTAATATCTGATAAAAATATAATTTATAAAAAGACTTTGATTTTTTTAACTTTGAAAATTAATCTAAAGGAGATGAACACTGATAAACAATGTTCAGAAAGTGAAATTACTTTTTAAAGCTTCAGCTTTTTAAAGCTTTTCCTATTTTATTTTGAGAATTTTCAGATGTTCGGTGAAGTTCAAAGATAAGTGAACCCCTGCGTACCCTTTACTCTAGATGTACCAATTGTTAACACTTTTGCCACATTGGCTGAACCATTTGAAAGTAAGTCGACTGTGTCATGAGAGTCTACCCCTTCATAGTTTCACATGTACATGTACTTCCTATGAATAAGGACTTTCTCTTGTATGACCACAATGTTATACTCACATTTAGGAAAATTAACAGTAATTCTGTAATAACATCCAGTAAACAGTTCACACTGAAATATCCTCAGTTGTCCCCACAGTGTCTTTTATAGATGTACCACACCTCCATCCTGGTTTACACACTGGTTGGTTGGTAGGGGAATTGTTTTTAGGCAGGCTGAAGCCAACCCAGTTATCCTAGATGTAGGGAAACCGGGAAACATTGGTAAAATGATTTAAATTTCAAGCTGCAGGGCTACTAGTGAAGTAATTACAACAGAGAGTTGATTGGAATCACTCTGGCTCCGGTCCAGGCTTTGCCCAAGGTCTGGACCTGTCACTTAGCCCTGTTGAGCCTCAGCTTGTTCATCTGCATCTTGGTTGTCTCGTGTTCCATAGGGCTGTGGTGAGGTTCGAATGAGCCAAGCATGTGAGGGCCTGGCCCAAATAGATCTCAGCAACTGGTAATTATTGTTACATTTTCTTTCATTTTAGATTTTGATTATGGTAATAATATGGAAATTATAATCATTTGGGAGAAAGGAATTAACTGACAAATAAATTGAATGATCACATATTATTTTGAAATCAAAGTATAATGAAATAAAATTGTAAAAATATACCAATATAGTGTGCTTATGTGGATTAAAGTGATTGTTGAATACAGATGCTTTTGTTTGTTTGAGACGGAGTCTCACACTCTTACAGGCGGGAGTACAGTGGCGCAATCTCCGCTCACTGTAACTTCCGTCTCCCAGGTTCAAGCAATTCCCCCGTCTCAGCTTCCCGAGTAACTGGGATTACAGGCATGCGCCACCACACCCAGCTAATTTTTGTATTTTTAGTAGAGACGGGGTTTCACCATGTTAGCCAGGCTGGTCTCGAACTCTCGAACTCCCAAACTCAGGTGATCCACCTGCTTCGGCCTCCCAAAGTGCTCGGATTACAAGTGTGAGCCACCGCGTCTGGCCGAATACAAATGTTTTTTGTTTAAAAAAATAAGCGTGGCTTGGTAGCTCATGCCTGTAATCCCAGTCCTTTGGGAGGCTGAGATGGGAGGATTGCTTGAGGTTAGGACTTGGAGACCAGCCTGGGAACATAGTAAGACCGTGTCTCAACAACAAAAAAAATTTTTAATTGGCCAGGCGCAGTGGCCAGCCTGGCCAACATGGCGAAACCCTGTCTCTACTAAAAATACAAAATTACAGGCATGGTGGTGCATGCCTGTAATCCCAGCTACTCAGGAGGCTGAGGCAGGAGAATCGCTTGAACCTGGGAGGCGGAGGTTGCAGTGAGCCAAGATCGTGCCATTGCACTCCAGCCTGGGCGACAGTGAGACTCCGTCTCAAAAATAGAATAATAAAATAAAACAAAACCAGGCATGGTGTTGCATACCTGTAGTCTCAGCTACTTGGGAAGCTGGGCTGGGAAGATTGCTTGAGCCAGGGAGGTGGAAGTTGTTGAGTCAGGGAGATGGAGGTTGCAGTGAGCCGAAATTATACCACTGCACTCCAGCCTGAGTGACAGAGCAAGACCTTGTCTCAAAGAAAAAAAAAAACAGCTTTATTGAGATATTATTTACATACTATACAACTCATTCATTTAAAGTGTTCAACAAGTAGGCCGGGCACGGTGGCTCACACCTGTAGTCCCAGCACTTTGGGAGGCCGAGGTGGGCAGATCACAAGGTCAGGAGTTCAAGACCAGCCTGGCCAACATGGTGAAACCCCGTCTCTACTAAAAATACAAAAATTAGCCAGGTGTGGTGACACCCGCCTGTAATTCCAGCTACTCGTGAGGCTGAGGCAGGAGAATGGCTTGAGCCCAGAAGGTGGAGGTTGCAGTCAGTTGAGATCACGCCACTGCACTGCAGCCTGGGTGACAGAGTGAGACTCTGTCTCAGAAAATAGTGTTCCAGTTAGTGGGTTTTAGTATATTTACAAATAGTTACAACTGTTGCCACCGTAACCATACCTTTATAAGGTTTTCATCACCTCAAAAAGAAACCCTGTACCCTTGAGCTCCCTGCCTCCCCAGCTCTCCCTACCTCTTGTTTCCCCAGCCTAAGCAAATTACTCTCTGCTTTTATAGATTTTCCTTTTTGGGCCTTCATAATGAGTAGAATCATGTAGTATGTGCCCCTTTGTGATTGGATTTTTCATTTAGCATAATGTTTTTAGGTTTCATCCAAGTTGTAGAAAGTATCAGTATATAATTCCTTTTTATAGCTATATTTAAAGCTATACATTGTATATAATAATTTTTATTTTATTTACCCATTGGTGGACATTTAGGTTATTTCCCCCTTTTGGCTATTATAAATAATGCTGCTCTAAACATTTGTGTGCAGGTTTTTGTGAGGACATGTGTTTTCAGTTCTGTTAGGTATGTACTAAGAAGTGGAATTGGTGGGTCATACAGTAACGAGGCTTCACCTGTGAACTGCCTGGTTATAGAGTGGCAGCACTATTTTATGTGCCCATCAGCAGTATATGAGTGTTCCAGTTTCTCCACATCCTTGCCAACACTTATTATCTGACTGGTTCTAGCCATCCTAGTTGGTGTGAAGTGGTTTCTCCACCTGGTCTTGATTTGTACTTCCCTCATGCTTAATGATGTTGAGCACCTTTTCATGTGTTGCCATTTGTTATATATTGTGTGGAGAAATGTCTGTTCACATCCTTTGCCAGTTTTAAAAAATGGGCTGTTTGTATTTTCATTATTGAGGTGTAAGAGTTCTTTTTTATTCATTTTTTTTTTTTTTTTGAGACGGAGTTTTGCTCTTGTTGCCCAGGCTGGAGTGCAATGGCGCGATCTCAGCTCACTGCAACCTCTGCCTCCCGGGTTCAAGCAATTCTCCTGCCTCAGCCTCCCGAGTAGCTGGGATTACAGGCATGCAGCACCAGGCCTGGCTAATTTTGTATTTTTAGCAGAGACAGGGTTTCACCATGTTGGTCAGGCTGGTCTTGAACTCCCGACCTCAGGTGATCCACCTGCCTCAGCCTCCCAAAGTGCTGGGATTACAGGCGTGAGCCACCGCGCCCAGCTGCTGCCGCTGCTTTTTTTTTTTTTTTTTTTTTTTTTTAAGACGGTTTCTGGTTCTGTCGTCCAGGCCAAAGCAGTGGCATGACCATAGCTCACTGCAGCCTTAAACCCTGGGCTCAAACAGTCTTCCCACCTCAGCCTCCTGAGTGGGTGGGAGTACAGATGTGTGCCACCATGCCCAGCTAAGTTTTTTTCTATTTTTTTTTGTAGAGACAGGGTCTTACTATGCTATCCAGGCTGGCCTTGAACTCTTGGCCTTAAGTGATGCTCCTGCGTAGGTTTTCTAAAGCTTTGAGCGTGAACCACCACACCCAGCCTAGGTTCTTAGTTCTGTTCCATTGATCTATATATCTGTCCCTGTGCCAGTACCACTATGTCTTGATTAATGCTGTCTTGTGAGTTTTGAAATTGGGAAGTGTGAGTCCTCCTCCTTTTTCAGGATTATTTTGGCTGTTTGGGGTCCCTTTGGAATCAGTTTTGTCAATTTCTGCAAAGACATCCACTGGGATTTTGATAGGGATTACATTGACTCTGTAGTTGAGTTTGGACAGTGTTACCAATTTATCAATGCTAAGTGTTCCAATCCATGAGCATGAGATGTTTTTCCATTTATTTAGATCTTTGATTTCTTTCAACAATGTTTTATACTTCTCCAAGTATAGGTTTTTTTGCTGTTTTTGTTAAATTTATTATTTTGATCTTGTTGTGAATAGAATTGTCTTATTTCATTTTCAGATTGTTCATTGAAAATTGTTTTTTAAAAATCAATTTTATTGAGCTATAATTTAAATACATCAAATGCATTCCTTTTAAGTATGTAGTGTGAGTTTTGGAAAATGCATGGATCCTTGTACCTACCATCAATCAAGATACAGAGCATTTGTATCTAACCCCAGTGTTGCCTTGTGTCCCTTGGCGGTTGACCCCATCCCTACTCTGGTCTCAGGCAATCACTTATGTACTTTTTGTCACTGTAGATTAGTTTACCTTTTCTAGAATTTGCTATCCATAGAATCTCTTTTTTGGCAGAGACGAGGTCTCACTCTATTTCCCAGGCTGGTTTCAAACTCCTGAGCTCAAGGAATCCACCCACCTCTGCCTCCCAAAGTGCTAGAATTACAGGTGTGAGCCTCCGCACCCGGCTCGAATAGAATCTTACATATTCTCTCTTTTTTTTTTGAGATGGAGTCTCGCTCTGTCGCCCAGGCTGGAGTGCAGTGGCACAATCTCAGCTCACTGCAACCTCCACCTCTTGAGTTCAAGTGGTTCTCATGCCTTAGCCTCTCAAGTAGCCGCGATTACAGGCACACGCCACCATGCTGGGCTAATTTTTGTATTTTTAGTAGAGACAAGGTTTCACCATCTTGGCCAGGCTGGTTTCTAACTCCTGATCTCAAGTGATATGCCCGCCTCAGCCCTCCCAAAGTGCTGGGATTACAGGGGTGAGCCACCGTGCCCAGCTGACATTTGACTCTTAAATACTTAAGCACGCATTGAGTAGGAATATTATCCTGTACGACCACTTAACATTCATATTTCTACAGAAAAAAAATTTTGTAATATTGTCTAATGCAAGTCCAATTCCAGATTTTTTTCCCTTATCACAAAAAGTTCATCATGGTTTTTATTTTGTTGTAAAAGGGTAATAAGTTGTTTATTTTTATATTATTGATTAGAAATAATTTATTTGCATTAATAAAAGTATCATGAATATTCTTTCTCATTCCTGGGTTCTTTCACTTTCTAAAAACATTTTTAATTAAAAATATTTTGAGACCAGGCGTTTTGGCTCATGCCTGTAATCCCAGCACTTTGGGAGGCTGAAGTAGGTGGATCACTTGAGTTTAGGAGTTGGAGACCAGTCGGGGCAATATATCGAGACCTCGTCTCTACGAAAATAAAAAAAAAAACAACTGGCTGTGGTGGTGCGTTACTGCAGTGCCAGCTACTTGAGAGGGTGAGGTGGGAGGATTGCTTGAGCCCAGGAGGTTGAGGCTGTAGTAAGCCATGATCATACCACTGCACTCTAGCCTGGGCGACAAGAGTGAGACCCTTTCTCAAAAAAAAAAAAAAAAACAAGGCCAGGCGCTGTGGCTCACGCCTGTAATCCCAGCACTTTGGGAGGCCAAGGCGGGTGGATCACCTGAGTTCAGGAGTTTGAGACCAGCCTGGCCAATGTGGCAAAACCCCGTCTCTACTACGAAATACAAAAATTAGCTGGGTGTGGTGGTGGGTGCCTGTAATCCCAGCTACTTGGGAGGCTGAGGCAGGGAGAATCGCTTGAACCCGGGAGGCGGAGGTTGCGGTGAGCCGGGATTGCACCATTGCACTCCAGCCTGGCGACAGAGCGAGACTCTTGTCTCAAAAAACAAACAAACTGTGCATCACTTTGTTAAAAGGAAATTTTATGTAGAAACTGAACATATAAAATGGGTAAGAGTGAAGCACTGTTTGAAAATTGCTGTGGTAATGGCAGTTAAAGTTTAAGCAGGGCTGAGTGATGTGGTTGAGTGTTTAGAACATTCCTGGTATATAACCTGTGTGCAATAAATATTTGCTGAGTGAATGGAGAAGTAATCTCTGCAGAGTAGAAAGATCACTTCACTGTTAGTATAGAATGAACAGCCCAGAACCAGAAGGACAAGTTATGAGGGTAGGTGAGAGATGACAGGACGTGAAGTAGAAAGGATAACACATCTAATGAGAGCATGGATTTGAGAGTAGGAGACAGAATTAACTGCATGTGGTTGGACAATGGCTTGTGAGAGAGGAAAAGCCTAGCACAGTGCATCTTCAGGGCAGTGTCATCCCGAGGCAGTGTTGTGGGAATCTGTGGCAGTTAGTGGGTGGGACCTGCATGCTAGGTGTTATACAGTGTTACATACAATGCATGGGACATTCTCCACAGTGAAGAATTTGCTCCCTCCTAAAGAGCTTTTTTTTTTTATTTATTTTATTTATTTATTTTTGTGAGACAGATTCTGGCTCTGTCGCCCAGGCTGGGTTGCAGTGGCGTGATCTCAGCTCACTGCAACCTCCACCTCCCAGGTTCAAGCGATGATTCTCCTGCCTCAGCCTCTCGAGTAGCTAGGATTACAGGCACACACCACCACACCTGGCTAATTTTTTGTATTTTAGTAGAGGCGTGGTTTCAGCCAGGCTGGTCTCGAACTCCTGACCTTAGGTGATCCACCCGCCTTCGCCTCCCAAAGGGCTGGGATTACAGGCATGAGCCACTGCATCCAGCCTTGAGCTTTTATATAGGTTAAAAATTTGTATTTGAATCTAAATCCAAACCCTACGTATAAACACAAATTATTATTATTTTTTTTAAGACGGAGTCTCACTCTTTTGCCCAGGTCAGACTGCAGTGGCGCTATCTCTGCTCACTGCCATCTCCGCCTCCCGGGTTCACCCCATTCTCCTGCCTCAGCCTCCCGAGTAGCTGGAACTACAGGCGCCCGCCACCACGCTCGGCTAATTTTTTGTACTTTTAGTAGAAACGGGGTTTCACTGTGTTAGCCAGGATGGTCTCGATCTCCTGACCTCGTGATCCGCCCGCCTCGGCCTCCCAAAGTGCTGGGATTACAGGTGTGAGTCACCGTGCCCGGCTAACACAAATTAATTTCTGTGGTGTTTTAAAATAAATGGAAACTTTTAGTAATGCAGCTGTGGTGTGCATGTAGGAAAGATGATGCTTAGTATTGTTTGGAACATTAGCACGAGTTTCCACCGTTTTGGGAAATTCTGTACCATGTCATCATCTTTGTCAGTGGTCCTGTTGGATTGTTCATGCAACACTGTGTCTGTCGGCCTCTGTACTCTTAGCTTGCATGGGGAGGAACAAGCCCCTCTTTCATCTTCTGCTGAGGTCATGCTTAAGCATTTTCATTTTGACATTTATTTTATTATATATTTCATGGTATGTCTGCTTCTGATTACAGTTGAGGAATACATTGATTATATTTATGAATGTAGGAATTTGTATCATCTGTTAATTGCATTTTGGTATAACAAAGTGGGGGGGGGTATTATAAAATATAAAATACGTGTTATAAAGAGGGAGCGTTGGGCCCAAGAAAGCTGGACTGCCGGCCTGGTATGACTCGTCCGATCTGGCTCAGTGACTGCTCAGATGTTGCTTACTCTTCACTGAGATGGGAAAATTAAATGAGGGTTGAGTCTGGGGTGATGAGTATGTGAGGTCGTAAGTGTGGGACATGTTGAATTTGAGGTCTGTGTGAAACATTTAATTTGAGTTATGCAGTAGACAGTTGAGTGGAGATGTGGCCTTCAGAAGGGAGTTTTTGTCTGGGAGAAAATAACAGGAAACATTTATTGAGAGAAGTGGTGGTGAAGAATGCAGATTCTGGAGCCAGACGGGGTCTGTTTCCTGGTGCCATCCACAGTGCTTCTGTGACACTGGACAATTTACTTAACAGCCCTTACACTCAGTTTTCTCATCTTTAGAAATGGGAATAAACAGTACTGCTTGTGGAGTTAACGTGAGAATTAAATACCTTCAAGTTTGTAAAATACCCAAATTGTGCCAACTTATAAATTGTGCTCAAATTAGCTGTTACTATTCACTAAACATTCAGTATGTGCCAAGGATGGTTAATACAGAATTATCTCATTTGGTAGTTACATTACAAAACAATATTTTTATGAGATAATTGAGGCTCAGGGAGGCTTAGTATAGACTTGGGAGTCATAAGTAGTAAAGTAATGCTAAATTGGACAGGTTGAATCAGGTGATATTGGGCTCCCTCTGAGGTCCTCAGACCAGCATGGTGAGCACCTCCTGGGAATGTGTTAGAAATGCAGAATCTCAGGCCTTACCCTGGATCTGTCTACTCAATCAGATTCAGCATTTGAGCAAGGTTCCCAGGTGATTATTATGCACATTAAAGTGTGAGAAGCACTGGCTCAGAGATCTGAGTTGGTCAAGTTCAGCAGGGACAGAAAACTTGAAGGCCTCATTAATGGTATAGTAAAAGGCTCAGGAGGTGGGACGCCAGATGCCCATCCTGGCTTTAGCTCCAAGTTTTAGCTTTTGGACCTTGCAGTCTTTTTCTTTCTGTAGACCTCAGTTTTCTCATATTTTGGTGAGGCAAGTTCTCTTTTAGCTCTCACATTTTATGGTTCTCAGTCCAAAGTCTTCTCCTGGGAAGATGCTTCTTTTGAAGGGTGCTTAGGGTTTGGATTAGTGGAGGAGTTGAAGTAATGGTGATTTTTTTTTTTTTTTTTTTGGAGATGGAGTCTCCTTCTGTCTCCAGGCTGGAGTGCCGTGGCGTGATCTCGGCTCACTGCAACCTCTGCCTCCTGGGTTCAAGCGATTCTCCTGCCTCAGCCTCCTGAGTAGCTGGGATTACAGGCACGCGCCACCATGCCCAGCTAATTTTTGTATTTTTAGTAGAGACGGGGTTTCACTGTGTTGGTCAGGATGGTCTTGATCTCATGATCTGCCTGCCTTGGCCTCCCAAAGTGCTGGGATTACAGGCGTGAGCCACCGCACCCAACCTGTAATGGTGATTTTTATATGGGAGGATGAGCACAAGTACACTCAGATGCGACTATACCATGAGTGTAAAATTGTGGATTTTACTACAGTAAAAATTTTAGTGTAATTTCATCATTTCCCAACTTTCAGTATTTGAATTTAAGGGAAAATTTGTCTAGAAATCTTGAAATTTAAGAAATACATTCTTTTGGCATCTCTTTGAATTTTGGACCTCACATTTAATGATGACATGCTAATGCTCACATGATATGGTTTTTCATTATTATGCTTATTGTAATTCTGCAGTTAGCATTTTATTTATATATCATAGTTGGATGTATTTTATAATATATTAAGTTCTAAAGCACCATTACTTTTTAAAAAATCTGAAGTGCAGATTTGGCTTCCCCATTAGTCTTAGTTTCCTCATTTTCCTTCCTTTTGCCTGCAGGGACAATGTCCAAAGTACACATTAGTGTGACTTAGGAATTGGGTAATATGTTTTATATATAAGTGTTTTATTTACATTATATTTCCTGTAGTTTCAAAGTAATCTTTAGGATTACCCTCAACTGTTATATGCCAAAATCAGATGAAGTGACTGAAGAAGAGGAGTTTGTATTTTAAAAACAAAGCTGTCTGGGAAGGGCAGAACTTAGTGGCAGCCAGTCACTGAGGTGTGTGGAGTAGATGAGGAGGTCTGGAATGGATAGCAGGGTACAAAGTCACTCAGTGAAGATGCTTGCTGGGTGTTGAATAAGGTTAGAGAAGCTAGGCACACCTGCCAACTCTCTTTATCCTTAGGAGGCTCTTGAGAAATGTCCTTTTTCTCGTGAGTGATTTCATTTCTGAAGTCTTTGTTTTATGGCGGAGCTGCATTCTGACTCCCAGGCTGGCTGACATCTTCATTTCTCCCAGGCTTAAGAGCGAAGGGAAAGACAGAAAGTCTGAGAAGGGCAGAGAAGAGGGAGGTCAGAGGGTTTGTTCTGTAAATACCTTGCTGCTTATCCAGGTAATTGGGATCTCACTTGCCTGTGTATAGTTTGTTGGCAGGATCCCAGGAGAGTCTTTTTTGTTTGTTTTGAGACAGGGTCTCCCTCTGTTGCAGGCTGGAGTGCAGTGGCATAATCTCTTGCTCACTGCAGCCTCAACCTCATGGGCTCAAGCAGTCCTCTGGCCTCAGCCTCCTTAGTAGCTGGGACTACAGGCGCATGCCACCGTGGCTGGCTAATTTTTTGACTTTTGTTGTTGTTGTTGTTTGGTAGAGATGAGATCTCACTATGTTGCTCAGACTGGTCTTGAACTCCTGGGCTCAGGAGATTCTCCTGCCTTGGCCTTCCAAAGTGCTGGGATTACAGGTGTGAGCCACCGCGACCAGTCCCCAGGGGAGTCTTATTCTTGCAGGATTTTCTAAAGACTTCTTCTAGAACAAGTGTGACTACAATTCAGAATCTTCATCTCCCCTAAAGAAAGAGTGTTCCAGAGGTGAGGAGGGACGGGTGACAGAAACTGGTAGCTGAAGAGGTTTGTTGATGGATTAGTCTATTTATTCATAATGCTTGATATCAGAAGACCAGAAGAATATTTTTGCAACTTATTTTAAAAAACAGCTTTACTGAGGTATAACTGACATAATCTACTGCAAATATTTATGTGTACAATTTGGCAAGTTTTGACATATATATACACACTAGTGAAACCATTACCACGTCAAGACGAACATGTCCGCCAACGCCACGCGAGGGTGTGATATCCTTGTGTCCCTTTGTAATCTCTTTGCCCCCGTCTCACCCCAACCTGTGTTTCTCTCAGGGTGACCCCCCCAATCTGCTTTCTGTTACTGTATGTTAGTTTACATTTCCTAGACTTTTACATGAGATATACGCTCTTTTGATGTTGTTCCTGTTCGTTCTACTCAGTGTAAATGGAGATTCATTCATTCTGTAGCATGCGTCAGTAGTTGATTCCTTTTTATTGTTGAGTACTATGCCAGTTGAGGGATAGATAGTACTATAGTTTGTTTATTGAGTGCACCTATTGGCAAAAATTTGTGTACCATTCTTTAGACACATGCCTCCGTTTCTCTTGGGTAAGTACCTGTAAGTAGAATGACTGGGTCATATGGTAGGTGAATATTTAACACCCCCCCCCGCCCCCGCTGCCTTTTTTTTAACAGATGGGGTCTCACTGTGTTGCCCAGTCTGGTCTTGAACTCCTGGATACAACAAGCACTCCTCCCACTTCAGCCTGCTGAGTAGCTGGGGCTACAGGTGCTCAATACCATACCCAGCTCAACATTTTAACTTTTTTTATTGGAGACAGAGTCTCGCTCTTTTGCCCAGGCTAGAGTGCAGTAGCGCAGTCTCAGCTCACTGCAAGCTCCGCCTCCCAGATTCAAGTGATTCTCTTGCCTCAGCCTCCCGAGTAGCTGGGATTACAGGTGCCCACCACCATGCCCAGCTAATTTCTTGTATTTTTAGTAGAGACGGGATTTCACCATGTTGCCCAGGCTGGTTTCGAACTCCCGAGCTCAGGCAGTTCACCTGCCTCGGCCTCCCAAAGTGCTGGGATGACAGGCGTGAGCCACTGTGCCTGGCCAACATTTTAACTTTTTAAAAAAATAAATTTACTTTAGAATCATTTTAGATTTATAGAATAGTTACAATGACAGCACAGAGAAAGACTTCATGTATATCAGGGCTCAGCAAACTTTTCCTGTCAAGAGCCAGATAATAAATATTTTACACCAAATGGTCTTTCTTAAGACTACTGTGCTGATGTAGGGCAGAGGCTGCCATAAGACAGTGAGTAAATGAATGGATGTGTTCCAGTCAAACATTATTTATAAAAACAGGTGGTAGGCTAGATTTGGCCCTTGGATTGTAGTTTGCTGATCTCTTCTATAAACCCTCCACCCAGCTTCCTCTCATGTTTAATCTCTTATAATCATGGTAAATTTGTTAAAACTAAGACATTCACATTGGTGCAGTACTATGAACTAAACTTCAGACTGTTTAGATTCCAACAGTTTCCCAATCTTTTCTTTTCTTTCTTTCTTTCTTTTCTTCTTTTTTTTTTTTTTTTTTTGGAGACGTAGTTTCACTCTTGTTGCCCAGGCTGGAGTGCAGTGGCGCAATCTCGGCTCACTGCAACCTCCGCCTCCCGGGTTCAAGCAGTTCTCCTGCCTCAGCCTCCTGAGTGGCTGGGATTACAGGCATGTGCCACCACGCCCAGCTAATTTTGTATTTTTAGTAGAGACGGGGTTTCTCCATGTTGAGGCTGGTCTCGAACTCCTGACCTCAGGCGATCCACCCGCCTCGGCCTCCCTAAGTGCTGGGATTACAGGCGTGAGCCAGCGCACCCGGCAGTTTCCCCATCTTTTCATTTCAAGATTTGTTCCTGCATTCCACCTGACATCGCATGTCTCCTTAAGTCTGTTGTCATCAGCGTGGACTCATTGATACTTATCCTTTGGGTTTGAATCTAATACTGTTTACTTAGCTGCTCAAATTATTTCAAGCTTTGGCCATTGGAAATTCTTTCAGGTTGACTCCTTTCTCCTTTAGACATGTCCTCATTTTTTTCTTTTGGTACTGCCATTGTTTGGCTATACCCACTTTTTATCCATTCACCAGATGATGTATTGTTTTTGCTTTTGGATTGTTTTTGTTTGGGGCTATTATAGATAATAGCTGCACGTATTTGCTTGTAAGTGTGTGCTTTCTTTTTTTCTTGGACAAATACTTAGTAGTAGAATTGGAGTTATGTTTTAACTTCTAAAGAAACTGGCAAACTTGTTTTCCAAAGTAAACACACCAGTTTGTTTTCAACAGTAGTGAATAAGGGGCTCTAGTTTTTTCACATCATCAATACTTGTTATTTCCTGTCCTTTTGCTTATCACTATTCAGTAGTGGGGGGCGAAGGGCTATTTTAATGTGGTTTTGATCTGCATCTCCCTTATCATTAATAATGTTCACCTTTTTCTGTGTTAGCTATTTATATCTTTGGTGATCTTCTAGTTAAGGTATTCTGCTCATTTTAAAATTGGACTCTTTGTCTATTGAGCTGTTATATATTCTGGTTTTGCTTTTTCCTAATCTAAGGTCACAAAGGTTTGTTTCTTACATTTTCTTCTAGAAGTTTTATTGTTTTAGATTTACCATTTAAGTCTGTGCTTCATTTTGAATTGATAATTTGCATATGATATAAAGTACTGATCGAAGTTGGTGGGGTTTTTTTTGAGTGGGGAGGGGGCATGTGTTTAGTAGCATTTGTAGATAAGACCACCCTGGCCGGGCACAGTGGCTCACACCTGCAATCCTAGCACTTTGGGAGATGGAGTCAGGAGGATCACGAGGTCAGGAGTTTGAGACTAGTCCAGCCAATGTGGTGAAACCCCGTCTCTGCTAAAAATAACAAAAATTAGCCGGGCGTCATGTTGCACGTCTGTACTCCCAGCTACTTGGGAGGCCGAGGCAGAAGAATCTCTTGAACCCAGGAGGTGGAGGTTGCAGTGAGCCGAGATCGTGCCACTGCACTCCGGCCTGGATGACAGTGCGAGACTCTGTCCCCATCCCCCCGACCCCCCTGCCAAAAAAAAAAAAAAAAAGACTATCCTTTATTAGTTGCCCAAGTCAGTTTTCCATATACATGTGGGTTCATTTCTGGACCCTGTTCTTTCTTTTTTTTTTTTTTTTTTTTTTTGAGACGGAGTCTCGCTCTGTCGCCCAGGCTGGAGTGCAGTGGCGGGATCTCGGCTCACTGCAAGCTCCGCCTCTCGGGTTCACGCCATTCTCCTGCCTCAGCCTCCCCAGTAGCTGGGACTACAGGCGCCCGCCACTACGCCCGGCTAATTTTTTGTATTTTTAGTAGAGACGGGGTTTCACCGTTTTAGCCGGGATGGTCTCGATCTCCTGACCTCGTGATCCACCCGCCTCGGCCTCCCAAAGTGCTGGGATTACAGGCGTGAACCACCGCGCCTGGCCCTGGACCCTGTTCTATGTCATTGTTCACTCTGTTCTGTTTTCAAGACAATATCACAGTATCTTAATTAGTGCAGCTTTTAATAAGTAGTGAAATCAAATAATGTTAGTCCTCTCACTTTGTTCATTTTCAAAGTTGCTTTGGCTATTTTATATTTTTTATATTTCCATATGAATTTTAGAATTAGCTTATCAGTTTCTACAAAAAAAGCCTGCTAGCATTTAGATTGGAGTTGTATTGAATATCTAGGTCAATTTGTAGAAAATGGGCCTCTTAACACTATTGAGTCTTCTGACCCATGATGATGGTACCTCTCTCTCTCTAGGTTTTCTTTGATTTCTGACAGAAAAGTTTTATATTCAAATTCTCAACTCTTTAGGTATCTCCCATCTTTTGTCAGATTTATCCCAAAGTATTTCATTCTTTTTGATGCTATTATACATTTTTGAAAGTTTTAGGCCAGGCATGGTGACTCACACCTGTAATCCCAGCACTTTGGGAAGCTGAGGCAGGCGGATCACCTGAGGTCAGGAGTTCAAGACCAGCCTGGCCAACATAGTGAAACCTTGTCTCTACTAAAAAATACAAACAATTAGCTGGGCATGGTGGTGGACGCCTGTAATCCCAGCTACTCAGGAGGCTGAGGCAGGAGAACCGCTTGAACCTGGGAGGTGGAGGTTGCAGTGAGCCGAGATTGCGCCATGGCACTCCAGCATGGGCAACGAGAGCGAAACTCCGTCTCAAATAAAATAAGATAAGATAAGATAAAATAAGATAAAATAAAAAATATAAAATAAAATAAAATATAAAATAAAATAAATTAGACGGGTGTGGTGGCTGCCGCCTGTGATCCCAGCTACTCCAGAGGCTGAGGCAGGAGAATCGCTTGAACCTAGGAGGCAGAGGTTGCAGTGAGCCGAGATCGTGCCACTGCATTCCAGCCTGGGCAAAAGAGTGAGACTCCATCTCAAAAAAAAAAAAAAAAAAAAAAAAAAATTTTCAATTGTTTGCTAGTATTAGAAATAGCGTTGAGTTATATTACTCTTGTATCTGTAACCTTCCTAAACTCCCCCCTTTTAGCAACCTGTTTGTAGATTCCATTGGATTTTCTGCATAGATGATCATGTTGTCTGTAAATAAAAATAGTTTTGCATCTTTTTGCAATGTGGAAGCCACTACTTCTTTTTCTTACCTTAGTGCACTGTCTAGAGCCAACCATAAAATGTAGAGGCCAGAGTAGACATCCTGGTCTTGTTCCTCATCTTAGAGAAAAAGCATTCAGGTCTTCCCCTTTTCCCTTTCTATTTCTTCCTGCAGCCATGGGTTATTTAGAAATACGAATATATTAGAAGTGTATTAGTTATTAGAAGTGTGAAGAATATTAGTTTTCAAATATTTGGGAATTTTCCAGAGAGCTTTCTATTAATGATATCTAATTTAACCCACTTTAGTCAGACAAGACATTTTGTATGACTTGCATCCTTTTAAATGTATTGAGACTTGTTTTATGGCCCAGAATATGGTGTCTTTTGGTAAATGTTTCATTTTCACTTGAAAAGAATGTGTAGGACCGGGCATGGTGGCTCACGCCTGTAATCCCAGCACTTTGGGAGGCCAAGGCGGGAGGACCACCTGAAGTCAGGAGTTCGAGACCAGCCTGGCCAACATGACGAAACCCCGTCTCTACTAAAAAAATGCAAAAATTAGCCAGGCGTGGTGGCACACGCCTGTAATCCCAGCTACTGAGGAGGCTGAAGCATGAGAATCACTTGAACCCAGGAGGCGGAGGTTGCAGTGAGTCGAGATTATACCACTGCACTCCACCCTGGGGGGTGACAGAACAGGATTCTGTTCCTCCCCCCACCCCTCCCTCCAAAAAAAAGAAAAGAATGTGTATTCTGCTGTTCTTGGCTAGAGTATCTTATAAATGTCAATTCAGAGACTTCTTTATCTTTTAATACAATAGGGGTGAAATATG
The DNA here is from genome assembly GCF_000001405.40 of Homo sapiens. Classification (NCBI taxonomy): domain Eukaryota; kingdom Metazoa; phylum Chordata; class Mammalia; order Primates; family Hominidae; genus Homo; species Homo sapiens. Next base: position 17,406,649 of record NC_000022.11, read on the forward strand.
AAATGATTCATTTCCCTTCCCCAGATTCTTAGCATGAGTCTGGAAATCCTGCCAGCTCTTTCTTCTAGCTGAAGAGCTGTCTCCTGATTGCAGTGACAGCTTTGAACTGGAAGACATTATTTCATTAGTGCACTAATCAACCACAGAGATTACCTGATTGGCTGCTTAATAATTACATGAAGTTGCTTGTAATTCTTTGAGCATACACAGAACTAATTAAATTAACCCTTTACTGCCTGGCATGCCTGGGGTATTCTCGTGCGAAAATGGAGGAACCTAAAATCCTTCTTGAACACTGGTGAGGTAAACAAGCAGATGTGTCAGTGAGTTTCAAAGGGAAGCACCTTGTATAAGAAGCATTTAAGTACAAATCAAAAAATGCAGATTCAGAAACTACCAGTCCTTTGATAACTTGAGTATTAGCTTATTAGCCGTGTTCTTGAAGTTTAATGGGAAGCTTTTATACCAATACTTTCTTTGGATAGAAACTTAAGATAAACTCTTTTCATAGCCACTTACTGACTTTGAGGAGTTTGTTGTTGTTTTAAGGATCATTCAGTGTAAAATCATTTCCTTAGTTATTTCAGTATAAGCTTGCATCATCCTAGTGAGATATAGAGCAAGGCTGGTGAATGAGAATACCGTACTGGGCTATAATTGAAAGAGGCCGGGTGCGGTGGCTCACGCCTGTAATCCCAGCACTTTGGGAGGCCAAGGCGGGTGGATCACCTGAGGTCAGGAGTTCGAGACCACCCTGGCCAACATAGTGAAACCCCATCTCTACTGAAAACACAAAATTCGCCAGGCACGGTGGCGGGCGCGTGTAATCCCAGCTACTGGGGAGGCTGAGGCATGAGAATCGCTTGAACCTGGGAGGCGGAGATTGCAGTGAGCTGAGATCGCATCACTGCACACCAGCCTGGGCAATAGAGTGAGACTCTGTCTCAAAAAAAAAAAAGCCATGAATTAGAGGGCCTTATTTTAGCCTCAGGTTTTAGGTGGATGATTAAGGAAATTAAGATAGGAGAAGTTAGGCACCCTGTCTAACAGTGGTTCTCAACGGGGTGATTTGCCCTCTTAGAGGACTTTGGCGGTGTCTGGAGACAGTTTTGGTTGCCACAACTCAGGGGAAGAGGGGTGTGGGTAGAGGTCAGGAATATTGTCAAATAGCCTACAGTGCGTAAGACAGCTCTTGAGAACAACAGCAAACATCATCTAGTCCAAAATGTCAGTACTGCTGAGATTGAGAAACGCTGGTCTGAAGCCAGCTTATCTTGAGTTTTCATTAGAACATGGGTGTCCGAAACTGTACCTTTGGTGACTAATAATCTTGTCATCAGTTGTTGGTGATCCCCTCTAAATTATTATTTTTATTTTTTCAAGTTCATTTGTTAAACTGAAGCAAAATTTACATAACGTAAAATTAACTATTAACCATTTTAAAGTGTATGATTCAGTCACATTTAGTGAATTCAATATGTTGTGCAGCTGTCGTTTCTATCTAGTTCCAAGACGTTTTTATCACCTCAAAAGGAGAGACCCTGTACCCCCCTCAGCCCCCTCACCCCCCAGCCCCTGGCAATCACTCGTCTGCTTTCTGTCTGTGGATTCTAAATTATTTTTATATTTGCTTTTTTGTGGTGCTCTGGAAAGAACCCTGGTCAGGAAGTCAGGAGAGTGGACTTCACATCCCAACGTCTCCATTCTTCCTCTTGCTAGCTGTGTGATTTGGGCAAGTCATTCATCTGTTGTATGCCTCAGTTTCCTTTTCATTTATGTGGCAGCTGTCATGGTAGCCAGAATGCCATTTTTTTCTAAGTAAGATCTTTAAAGTCTGAAATTCTAGCCCACATGTTGTTTGCTCAGCATTTTTGTTGGACATCCGTAACAACATTTTTAATCCTACACTGATTGCTTTCTCACCCAAGATGTTTCCGAAACACCATTCCAGGTCCTGCATTAGTGTCCTGGGATTGGTGTGCTTGGAATGAGAAGTTAATGCTACTATCAGTTCACATAAAAGGTTAGCGAGGTAAAGATGCCACCAACATGTTAGTTCATCCCATAGCTAAACATGAATATATTTTGGGTTACCTGATTTAGCACCTACCTTGTATTACCTTGTATTCATGAAACAAAAGCAAGCATAGTATCTTTCTCTCTTCCCATTGTTGCATAAAGCCCTCCAGTGGCTTTCTCTTGCATTTAGAATAGTCTAAGTCCCTTACCATTGCTTAGTGGGGCCCACGAAACTTTCTGCATCTTCTACCTTCCTTACCTCGTACCATTCTCTCCTAGCTTTAGCTGTATCAGCTTTCTTTTCTTTTCATAAAGGCTCTGAACTCCATAGGGCCTTTGCACCTGCTCATGGTTTCCAGCTTTCAGCTCAGATTCATCTCAATGAATGAAACATGCCCTGATCAGCCTATCTATAGCTTGTTCTGTTTTATTAATTTTAAATGTTGTTGTTTTCTTGTTTTTTTTTGTTTGTTTGTTTGTTTTTGAGACGGAGTCTCACTCTGTCACCAGGCTGGAGTGCAGTGGCATGATCTTGGCTCACTGCAACCTCCACCTCGCGGGTTCAAGCGATTCGCGTGCCTCAGCCTTCTGAGTAACTGGGATTACAGGCGCCCGCCACCACACCCAGCTAATTTTTGTATTTTTAATAGAGACGGGGTTTCACCATGTTGGCCAGGATGGTCTCAGTCTCTTGACCTCGTGATCTGCCTGCCTCCCACCACACCCAGCTAATTTTTGTATTTTTAGTAGAGATGGGGTTTCACCATGTTGGCCAGGATGGTCTCAATCTCTTGACCTCGTGATCCGCCTGCCTCGGCCTCCCAAAGTGCTGGGATTACAGGCATGAGCCACTGTGCCTGGCCTAATTTTAAGTAAGTTTTATAAAGAGAGTAACACAATGAATTCCTGTCAGTGTCAGTGATTATTAATATTTTGTGTTCATGATCACCCAGTGAAAAGTATATCCTCGCCTCTCTTCCCAACCCAGTCAATCTCTGTCATATAACTCTTTTCTGTTTTCTTCTTCTGGGGTGACCTTTTTGGTTTACTTTAGTCTGTTTTCTCCCTAAGAATGTGAGTTATATCAGAGCAGGGATCTTCTCTATCCTATGCATTCTTGTATTTACAGTACCTAGAATTGTCCTATACATAGTAGATGTACTCAATAAATATTTACTGAGTGAGTGAATGAATGAAATAAAATTTCCAAAAGCAGGGACTGTGTTTTATCCATATTTGTGTTCTGAACTGTGTCTAGTAAAGGGCTTCACACATATTCAATCAAGTGTTTGCTGTCTATTTATTTATTTATTTATTTATTTATTTATTTTTGAGACAGAGTCTCACTCTGTCACCCAGGCTGGAGTGCAGTGGCAGTATCTCGGCTCACTGCAATCTCCACCTCCTGGGTTCAAGCGATTCTCCTGCCTCAGCCTCCCGAGTAGCTGAGATTACAGGCACGCACCACCACACCCAGCTAGTTTTTGTATTTTTAGTAAAGATGGGTTTTCACCATGTTGGCCAGGGTCTTGCACTCCTGACCTCAAGTGATCTGCCCACCTCGGCCTCCCAGAGTGCTGGGATTACAGACGTGAGCCACCGCGCCCGGCCCTGTCAACTATTTTTTTTGTTGTCACTGCCCCACTCTACTGACAGTAGATTTGTTTATATAGCGTAAGCCTTGTCAGGATTTTTCTAATGGGAGGAGAATGGTATAGTTTTCTTTCATTTACTTTCTGATCCCCCTGTTTGTATAATAAAAACAAGCGTTTTTTTGTTTTGTTTTGTTTTTTGTTTTTTGAGACAGTCTCTCTCTGTCGCCCAGGCTGGAGTGCAGTGGTGCAGTCTCGGCTCACTGCAACCTCCACCTCCTGAATTCAAACGATTCTCCTGCCTCAGCCTCCTGAGTAGCTGGGACTACAGGCGCACGCCACCACACCCAACTAATTTTTGTATTTTTAGCAGAGATGGGGTTTCACTATGTTGGCCAGGCTGGTCTCGAACTCCTGACCTTGTGACCTGCCTCAGCCTCCCAAACTGCTGGGTAATATTACAGGCATGAGTCACCACGCCTGGCCAAAACAAGCTTTAATTGAATAGAAATGTTTTTCCTTGCCAGATTCACTTGGTGGTTGTCTCTGCCTAGGTAATTTATAACACATTCTAGAAGCCCACATTTGTCTTTCTTTTCTCTGATTCATTGTTTCTAGAGCTACAGAAGGTAAAAGCTGGAAAGGATGTTAGAGATAATTTAGGTTTAACTCATAGTTTTACAGATGAGGATGTTGCCCAAGGTCATATAATAGGTAGTGAGTTGAATTGGGATTAGAACCGGTAGAGCCAAGCCTAGCAGTTAATAGGAAGCCCAAGACTTAATCATTTTCTCATTGTTTCATATTTACGAGTTCTGTTTTATCAGTTGGATTCTAAAGTTCTTTGTCATGACTGGCCGTGTATTATATTATGCTCTTTTAGTACTTTGCATGGCCTTTAGCGTTAGGCACAGGGTAATGTTTTTGGATTGAGAGAGTCATGTGAAGGCATTGCTTTAGTTGAAAATAATTTAATTTCATATATTTCTACCTGCCTTATGGGAAGAGACACCTGGAGGGCAAATCTTGATTACTTGTACAATGGGTATGTAAAAAGAATTGGGAATGGGACAGATGAGATGGAGAAAATTAACAGAAGGCTGCAGATGGTGGCTTAGCACTTTGGAACGAGTCCATCAGTTCCTGCTGTCCAATCCAGTGTGAAAGATCCATCTGGGCCTCCCTTGAGTGCAAGAATGTGATGTAATGGGCCTGGGATGTGCAAGCTGGGTTTCACTGAAAGTAATTATCGGGCTGGGTCGGATAGATTTGGCAATGTTAGATATAAGATACAAGATGGGAAGAACTCAAGACTTGGGTTAGGCAGATCCTTAATATAGGACCTATCTTCCCATTTATCTGGTAAAATCCAGACCCTTGGCACCTTGGTCCTTGTTTTTGTTTTTTATTAAAATATCTTACATAAATCTCAGAATTTAAAACAGCACCTTTCTCTTTCAAAAAAATTATTGTAAACATTTTAGGAAATTGAGAGAAGCAAAAAGAAAATAATTATAATTACTTCGAGCCTATATAGGTCTACCTATGTATATATACAGATACATGTAAAATGTATCATATGATATATATTTTTATGGCTTTTTAAAGGTAATATATAATAAATGTTTTTCATGTTAATATGTAGATCTGATGTCACTGTAATTCAGATATGGCCATGCTGTCACTTATGCCCTGTTGTCGGACGTCAAGGTTTTTTCCAATCTTAAATGGACTAACAGTGCTAAGATGACATCTCTGTGTAAGTGTATACATGACTCTTTCCTTAGGATGTAACTTTATAGTGGAGTGTGTAATCTCAAAGTCACGTACTGGTAAATTTCTAAAATATTCTAATGGCGAGTATTCTCTAATATCATGGCTAATATTCTCAAAACTTGCCTTATTTCTTCTGCATGTCAAATAAACAATGATCCTTAGCTGTGGCTGCAGTTCTGTTTACTATAACTAGAAAAGACTGGGGAAGGGTCATTTCTATTTGTTGAGTCTGGTTCGCAAAATACAGTAATAGAAGTTGTCACCATTGATAATGTGATTCAGTCCAGTTGGTAAAGTCATTCTGCTGCTTACAGTTGCGCGTCATTTTCAGTTTCTAGCTCTTCTTTCCTTGTTCATTCCCCGCCCCACCCCCACACTCTTCACTACTTTGTGTGCCCAAAGCATGCCTGGATTTGGCTTGGCTCCCATTCTTAGGGCTAAAGAGGCCTTTGGCTCCCAGCTCCTAATTCGATAGCATTTGCTGATTTTCACATTCTGGGGAGACATAAGGGCTGTCTCCGCCCTCCTACCTTCACCAGAGGTAAGTGATGGAAGGGTATTGCTATGGGATCAGAGACAAGGTGGAGAACCCTCTTTCCAGAGGCTCTTGCTAAAGGAAAATTAGGACTTCGGAGGCTGAGGAAACTGTCCCTCAGCCTGCCTGGAAAGCTCTTTGAAGCCATTCTTGAGTCTCCATCCGCCTTGTATTGTGTCTTTGTGTGGAGACAGGTGGCGGGCGGCCTTCTGGGTGAGGGGGATGGAACCATGACCACCTTTGGCAGGCATCGTGCAGAGCCGCCCCTTTCCTTTCTCGTGGCAGTGCGGGTGCGGCCAGTCTGTGTATCTGTGCCTCCACATTCTGTTCTTTGAAGACGATGCTGCTTTTTTTGCGGCTAGGCTGCAGTCGGACTTCTGATTAGACGTTGTTAAGTTTTCCTCAGGAGATGCCTGACATCCTCTTTAAAACTGGTCTGAGGTTGAGAGTGCCTGGCCCTGTCCTCCACCCTCTCTTGGGGCGCACATGCCTTTCTTTGGCCTTGTTGGGAATACTCCTTTTGCAGAGCCTTTTGTCTTCCTGGAGTCAGTGGTGAGGCTGGTGATGGATGAGGGTTATCTGATGGGGAATGGACCTCCCATAAGGGAAGTAGTATCAGAAAAGTATTCTTGTGAGGAAAACACAGAGGAGAACAAAGAGAGCAGGTTGATGGTTCTAACCTTGGAGAGTGTGGAGGAAAACAGGGCACTGACAGCAGCAGAGGGCATGACATACTCCTTTGCAGGATTTCTTCGTTTCCAAGCAAATACCCTGTAAGATCTGCAGTCTGTTTTGGTTGCTTTTAATTGTTTTGAGGCACGTTCTTAATGTATTGCTGTGTCTTGGCCGTGATTACCTCACTTCCTTAAGCTCACTATTCTGCAGCTGCCTGGCTTGTGGACTCCATTAACATTGTTCAGACCTGGGGATCTTAGCAGCAGGGAAAATAGGTAGAGTCCTTCACTGCAGGACTCTACCTGTAGTCTTTCATTTAGTATTCAGTATGACATTTTGGGCCTGCTCGCCAAACTATTCTGTAAGCTAGATGTGTGGTCTAAAGATAGTCCAAATTTCATGTGCATTTGGAAGGAGGATTATTATTATTATTATTATTATTATTTTTTGAGATGGAGTCTTGCTCTGTCGCCCAGGCTGGAGTACAGTGGCGCGATCTCAGCTCACTGCAAGCTCCGCCTCCCATGTTCACGCCATTCTCCTGCCTCAGCTTCCCGAGTAGCTGGGACTACAAGTGCCTGCCACCACGGCCGGCTAATTTTTTTTTTTTTTTAGTAGAGACAGGGTTTCACCATGGTAGCCAGGATGGTCTCGATCACCTGACCTTGTGATCCGCCCACCTCGGCCTCCCAAAGTGCTGGGATTACAGGCGTGAACCACCGCGCCCGGCCTATTATTATTTTTTGAGACGGAGTCTTGCTCTGTCACCCAGGCTGGAGTGTGGTGGTGCAATCTCCGCTCACTGCAAGCTCCGCCTCCCAGGTTCACGCCATTCTCCTGCCTCAGCCTTCTGAGTAGCTGGGACTACAGGTGCCTGCCACCACGCCTGGCTAATTTTTTGTATTTTTAGTAGAGATGGGATTTCACTGTGTTAGCCAGGATGGTCTCGATCGCCTGACCTCGTGATCCGCCCGCCTTGGCCTCCCAAAGTGCTGGGATTACAGGCGTGAGCCACTGCGCCCGGCGGAAGGAGGATTATTAATCACTCTAGATCCCTAGGAGACAGATTCTCAGTGTTGACAGAGTTTTGAAGTGTATTGCAGGTACTTTATTACTGATTGTGAATTCCCTAAGTTGGCAAATTATATACCTAAAAAGTTAGAGTAGATTTAAAGTTATTTTTGTAATTTTCTCACTCAGTTTCTTTTTTCTTTTTTTTTTTTTTAGAACGAAACCCATTTATTATATCAGTTTTCTTTTTTTTTTCCTGATTTTTTTTTATTATTATACTTTAAGTTCTAGGGTACATGTGCACAACGTGCAGGTTTGTTACATATGTATACGTGTGCCATGTTGGTGTGCTGCACCCATTAACTTGTCATTTACATTAGGTATGTCTCCTAATGGTATCCCTCCCCCTCCCCCCACCCCACGACTGGCCCTGGTGTGTGATGTTCCCTTTCCTGTGTCCAAGTGTTCTCATTGTTCATTTCCCACCTGTGCTCACTCACATTTTCACATGCTCTCTAGGACGGGAGAAAAATGGTTGGGGTGAGGCGTTAGGGGCAGTGGGAGTGGATTATAGCTAGTACCCCCCAGAGCCTGTGTGTGATTTATCTTGAGCCTTTCTTAGTGGTGTACCTGTTTGGGGGCATGCTTACATGTTTAAGGCATCTGTTGGTCTCCAGTGATTAATTTCTGAGGTGTGGTTTTTAAAGTGAGAATCAATTTTAGACAGTGTAAAATATATGATATACATGTTTACTAAATTGTCTCTTACTTGGGGCATAGGAGTATGTGTAAGATGAATGGTTAATTCACTTAGAAGCCATTCGTGTTGGTGCCTTCAGTGCCTAGCGGTGGGCACTATAAAGTCATTACATGAGTGAATATGAACCTTACCTGTTAACAGACATATGGCTTGTAGTCTCAGTTATTGACTTTTCTTTATTTTTTCAGCTGAAATGAAGCTTCTCTTCTTCTCCTTCTTTGTTCTTCTTTTTTTCTTCTTCTTGAGACAGGGTCTCTGTCGCCCAGGCTGGAATGCAGTGGCACAATCTCAGCTCACTGCAACCTCCACCTCCCAGGCTCAAGCCATCCTTCCACCTTAGCCTCCCAAGTAGCTGGGATCACAGACAGGGGCGCGCCACCGTGCCTGGCTAATTTTTGTATTTTTTGTAGAGATGAAGTTTCGCCATATTGCCCAGACTGGTCTCAAACTCCTGGGCTCAAGCGATCTTCCTGCCTTGGCCTCCCAAAGTGCTGGGATTACAGGCGTGAGCCACGATGTCTGGCCTACTGTTTTTTAATGGTTCATTTAAATTACTGTGCCTTCTACAGTTGGTATTTACACCATGCATTGGATAAAATGGGGAGATGTCTTAAAGTAGTGTAGGGAAGCCTCCGACAGGAAAACCTGGGCCTGGGTGGATCAGGACTTATACTTACTTTTGCCTTAGGCTATCTTCGTGAAATGGAAGGTTTGTGTTTTTAAGTGGGTCAGAAATTGGAACTTTAAAATGTTGGTTTCAGCAATTTTGGTTTATCTGTTCTTTACTTTCATCTACAAATAATTTGAAACTTTTATCTCTCTGTTGTTTGTTCATCATCCCATCAATCCGTCGGTCCATTGTGTAGCATCCACTGCAACACACCTTTCTCTTAGATTTAATTTTTTGTTCACTGGAGATTTGAGGGCTCATCACCAAATCCAGAGGTCCAGGTTTCCCAGTACACTCACGATTTCTGGGAAGAAACTGTTTTTAGGATTGCCATTAATGTTTCCAGGCCCTTCCCATTTTTGTGTTGGATTAAAATGGTGACAACATGAAGCCTGCAGTCAATGTGAAGGGAGTTGGGTGCCTTTCTTAGTGAGATACCTTAAAGGGAACCTTTGAATATGGCTCTCTAAATAGTGACAGATCTCTTATAAAATATGTTCGCATATATAGAGTTCAAAGGTAAGCTAGAGACATGAAGAAAGGAGCAGTGATTTATATTTATCACTTCCTTAAAATGATTACTAATATGGAATTTGGAATTTCTTTTTGCTTTGTGAGTCAAGAAGATGGAATATATATATGTTTAGTTTTTTTCTATACCTTTATTGTCACTGACCTTTTTTTGTATTTGTTTCCTTTGCCCTCAGATATTGACAAATTGCATCCTCCTCATTAATGCTCTGAATGATAAAATGGGCAAAACCAAATAGGGTATGTTGGTTAGGATTTTGGTCCCACAATCTAGGCTATAGGAGTTCAAATCTTGATCATACTGTTATTATTATATTGTTATTTTGAGACAGAGTCTTGCTCTGGTCGCCCAGACTGGAGTACAGTGGCACTGTCTTGGGTTCAAGCAATTCCCATGCCTCAGCCTCCCTAGTAGCCGGGATTACAGGCACGTGCCATCATGCCCAGCTAATTTTTGTATTTTTAGTAGAGACACGGTTTCATGATGTTGGCCGAGCTGGTCTGGAACTGCTGGCCTCAAGTGATCTGCCTGCCTCAGTCTCCCAAAGTGCTGGGATTACAGGTGCGACCCACCACGCCTGGCATTGATCATACTATTATAGATGGATCATGGTTCTTCCAATTTGGAACCTTAGATTGTGTCAGTAGCTTTACTTTTTCTCTTTCTAAATAAATAAAGCACCATTGGATACCAAATGTGCACATTTATGATTATTTCCATATAGTAACTCCTTAAAAGTGTCACAGTATGAATCTTTTTAAAGTCTCTTGATACGTATATCACATCAACATTGTCAGATTCTTTTTTTTTTTTTTTTACGACAAAGGGACTTTAAAAAAAATCTAAGAATTTAACTTTATCACATACAGTGGTAGATGTTTTACCCTCGTTAATTCTTGAAGAAACTTATTTTTTGATTGCCTTTACTCCATGCGTTTCAGAAGTTTCTGTTGTAGGCATTTGAATAGAAATGGCATTTAGATAAATTTAAATGTAGGCCTACCAACAACCATTGAGTGGCACTATCTTTATAACAACTTAAAAAGCTGTACTTAGTGAAACTAATATTAATCACTGTCAAGTTTTGACAAGTCTTGTAAAAAGGGAGAAAAAATAATTAGGTTAAAGGTGTTATTGCTACGATTTCTGCTTAGGATGAAAAGTAAAATTGTGGCTCTCTGGAATTTACTTGGAAGCAGATCTTCTGGATAGCTGAGATTTCCATATAATGGAGTTTACTACAGTTTACTACTTGTGGCCTGAAAAAAAATTTTTTTTAAATTGATACAGGATCTCGCTATGTTGCCTCAGGCTGCCCTCCAACTCATAGCCTCAAGCCATTCACACGAGCAGCTGGGACTATAGGCAGCATTCCACAACACCCAGTCTGGCCTCTTATTTTATTTTAGTATTTTTTTGAGACAGACCCTTGTTTTTTCAGCCAGGCTGGAGTGCAGTAGCGTGATCTTGGCTCACTGCAACCTCTGCCTCCCGGGTTCAAGGGATTCTCATGCCTCAGCCTCCCTAGTAGCTGGGACTATAGACACGTGCCACCATGCCCGGCTAATTTTTTTGTATTTTTAGTAGAGACAGGATTTCACCATGTTGGTCAGGCTGGTCCTGAACTCCTGACCTCAAGTGATCCACCTGCCTTGGCCTCCCAAAGTGCTGATACTACAGGTGTGAGTCACTGTGCCCGGCCCTCAATTTTAAATTTTCCGCTTTTGAGAAGAATCTTGATAGAACGTATTATACTTCTTAGCCTTAAAAAAAAACATAAAAACCAATCATCTTTGAGGTATAATTTGTATACAATTAATTACACAGATTGTAAGTATACAGTTGAGTTTTGACAGCTGTATACAAGTGTATAACCACCACCCCCCAAAAAATATAAATCATTTTCATTCCCCAAGAAAGTTCTCTCATGCTGCGTGCAGTCAAATCTGCCCCACCACACATACCCTGCCCCAGGCAATGGCTGATCTGATTTCTCTCACTACAGATAAATTTGTCTGTCCTGGAAAATAAGTGCAATCATAACATATGCCGTTTTACTTGTCCTTCCCAGGCTAATGTATGGGATATACTTTTATCTAGTCCCAGTAATTGTGCATCCTCAAGCCTATGTGTTACTGCACTGCGCTGTAGCTTAGTGGTTCATTTTCGTTCTGTTGAGCTGTGTCTGTCTTTGCCCGGAACTGTAGTAGCCCCACAGGTACTGGGAGAGGGAGGTTTCTATTGCACCTCTTGTCAGAAACCAACTCCCTTTTACTTGTATCCGTTCACATACTTTCCTAATAGTTTTCTGTTTCTGTTATAATTAGCTGTGAGCTGTGCAATCATGTAACTAACTTTGTTTAAGTATTGTTTAGTCTTTCTGGTCTCCAGATGAGCTATATAAAAATGAGGTTAGGTCAGTCTCGCTGTGTGCCAGACACTCGCGAGGGGCAGCTCCTCTAGTGCCCGGCGTCAGACATGGCGGAGGCGATGGATTTGGGCAAAGACCCCAATGGACCCATCCATTCCTCGACTCTGTTGGAGAGAGGGAGGACGGGAGAGGGAGGACAGCAGCTCTGTGTTCTTCCACGTGGGGCCCAGCCCGGCCGAGCTCATCCTGCAGGGTGACCGCACTGTCAGGTCCAGGAGCCCGGGAGGCGCGGGCCGAAGCCCTGGGCCACTTCATTTCCACAGGTACATCCTGGACTGGTGGAGCCAGCGAGAGGCTGGAGCTGGAGCCTATCGGCTGGGCCCCGCCTCGCCTCAGGGGACACTGCTCGGAGACAAAGCCCGGGGCCCTGGCCAAGGGCACCGCGGAGGCGCCTTCCCAGACGCGGATGACGTGGCTGTCCTGACTGACGGGAAGGAAAATGGCTGCTCGCCCAGCTCCATCACCAGCAGCGGCTTGTGGACAACTCGCCCACGCATCCCTGGTGGCGGTCCCTGAAGCCCCCGCGGGGTCAGGAGCACGAGCACTTGCCAGGGGACGCCTGGGGCGCCCCTCCTCCCAGAAGCTCCCGCGGAAGACTGGAGCAGGCCACCTGGCTGCGGATAATGGGAACCACAGAGTGAGAGAACTCCACATCGGCCTGAAGGAAGAGCATGTGAAGGTAGAAATCCAGGAGAGTGAAGAAGCACTGTAAAAGATGCTTGCAGAAGCCACCTGGGGATTGGAGGAGGTTGTGGTGGATGAGAGCCCTGATTTGGAAATACATTTAACAATGTGTGATGAGGATCCCCCACGCCTGAGGAAGACTCAGAAACAGAGCCTCATCAGGAAGAGGAAGAGGAGGAAGAAGAAGAAGAAGAAGAGGAAGAGGAAGAGGAAGAGGAGGAGGAGGAGGAGGAAGAAAAGAAGAAGAAGAAGAAACAGTTTCTCCACTGGAGGTGGGAGCTGCCATTATGATGATTCCGCAGTTAATGGAGAAGTTTAACTTGGATCTATCAACAGTTACACAGGCCTTCCTAAAAAATAGTGGCGAGCTGGAGCTAGAGAGCTGATGGATAAATTTGGTCCCAACAAGATGACATAGGTTTGTAAAAAGATGATGGGGATAACAGAGAGGCATTGGTCAAAAAATTTGGTGCTCAGAATATAGCTCAGAGGATTAGAGGATTGAGTTTCGAAAGAAATAATTGGCAAGATAATGAGAAAAGAAAAAAGTCATGGCAGATGAGGTGGTTAAAAAAAATTGTGACCATTTAACTTTAGAGAGTTCTTGCATTGGAACTGGCACTTATCTTCTGACCATTGCTGCTGTTGCTCTGTGAGTCCTAGATTTTGTAGCCAAGCAGAGTTGTAGAGGGGAGGATAAAAAGAAAACAAATTGGATGTATTTACAGCTGTCCTTGAACAAGTTTCAATACTTACGAAAGGAAGATTTAAACCAGAGGGGGGTTGGTCTACATAGTAGTAATCCTTTGTTGGAATGGAACCCTTGCTATATTAGTGACAAAGTCAAAGGAAATTTAGGAGGCATAGGCCATTTCAGGCAGCATAAGTAATCTCCTATCCTTTGGCAGAAGCTCCTTTAGATTGCGATGGATTCCAAATAAAGAATTTAGAAATATGGGAAGATTTAATTATGAGGCCTTGAACACGGATTATCCCCAGACCCTTGTCATTTCTCTCAGTGAGCTCTGAGTTCTAGACTGCTTTGAAAATGCCATATTCATTTTGCTAACTTAGTATTTGGGGACCCTGTTCCTTGGCTGTTCTTTTCTTGGAACCCTTCTCAGTCAAGCCTGTAGGGTATCTTTCTTTACCCACCACTCATTCAATTTTGTTTAAAACATGCACGCAACCCTAAGGAGTCTCAAGAATAAGCTTACTTGGTTAGTGTGTTATTTATTGAGCATAGCTTGTCCCAACCACTGTGTTAGATTATAAAAATTAGTGGATTGAGTCCACTTTGTTGTGTTGTTTTCATTATTGAAAATAAATATAACTTTGTATTTGAAAAAAAAATGAGGTTGTGTTATGGCATGATAAAACAGTAAAGTTGTACCTCAGCATTTTGATGTAGGGATTTTCTGCTTATCTTATTTATACTTTTATCACTTTAATGTTTATCCGTATGCATTTATCACTTATTATCTTAAATAAACTCTTAATTTCTCGAAAAGTTTTAGATTTGCAGCAAAAGTGGAGAGGAAGGTACAGAGATTACATAACTTATATCACCCCTGTCCCTCACCCACATTGAGAGGTATTATGAGGACCTCGTAATAACTATAGTCCTAATTCTTCCTCCCATCCCTGTATCGTTGCTGTCCGTCATTTTACTTAGAGACATGTATAAGTACACATCAATGTATATAATAGAATACATTGTTGCCATTCCTATTTTGAACACACCCATTAGCTAAGAATTTTTTTTTTAAGTTTTTATTTTAGCCTCATTCATTCTCCAGTGCTGTTTCTTTATGTGGATCGGAGTTTTTGACCTGTATCATTTCCATTCTCTCAAGATTTTTTCTTGGCTGGGCACGGTGGCTCACACCTGTGATCCCAGCACGTTGGGAGGCCGAGGTGGCGGATCACAATTCGGACCAGCCTGGCCAACATAGTGAAACCCCGTCTCTACTAAAAATACAAAAAAATTAGCCAGGCAAGGCCGGGCGCGGTGGCTCATGCCTGTAATCCCAGCACTTTGGGAGGCCGAGGCGGGCGGATCACGAGGTCAGGAGATCGAGACCATCCCGGCTAAAATGGTGAAACCCCGTCTCTACTAAAAATACAAAAAATTAGTCGGGTGTAGTGGCGGGCGCCTGTAGTCCCAGCTACTTGGGAGGCTGAGGCAGGAGAATGGCGTGAACCCGGGAGGCGGAGCTTGCAGTGAGCCGAGATCCCGCCACTGCACTCCAGCCTGGGCGACAGAGCGAGACTCCGTCTCAAAAAAAAAAAAAAAAAAAAAAAAAAAAATTAGCCAGGCATGGTGGCAGGCGCCTGTTATCCCAGCTACTCAGGAGGCTGAGGCAGAAGAATTGCTTGAACCCGGGAGGCAGAGGTTGCAGTGAGCCGAGATCCCACCATTACACTCCAGCCTGGGTGACAGAGCGAGACTCCGTCTTGCACTGGGTGTTCCCTTCCCTTGGGTCAGTTAGGCTCTGATAAAACCGCATCTCTACTAAAAAAAAAAACAAAAAAAACTTTTTTTTTTTTTTAAATTTCTTACAAGGCAGGTCTACACATCTCCTCAATTGTTGTTGCAGAAAGTCTTTATTCTCCTTCACTACACAAGGATTCTTTGTCAGGGTACAGAATTCTAGGTTGGTGGGTTTTTTCTCATCACTTTATTTCACTCCCCTCGTCTTGCTTGTCTGGTTTCTGAGAAGTCAGATATATTGTAATTCTTATCGTCTATAGAGAAGGTGTTTTTTTTTCCCCCCTCTGGCCTCTTGCAGGATGTTTTCTTTCTTTTCTTTATGTGTATTTTTCTGTAGTTTGAATGTGACATGCTTAGAGTAGTTTTGTTTTGTTTTTGTTTTTGTTTTGAGACGGAGTCTCACTCTGTGGCCTAGGCTGGAGTGCAGTGGCGCGATCTCGGCTCACTGCAACCTCCACCTCCTGGGTTCAAGCAGTTCTTCTGCCTCAGTCCCCCGAGTAGCTGGGATTACAGGCGCGCGCCACCAGGCCCAGCTAATTTTTTGTACTTGTAGTAGAGATGGGGTTTCACTATGTTGGCCAGGCTGATCTCGAACTCCTGACCTCACTCAGGTGATCCGCCTGCCTCAGCCTCCCAAAGTGCTGGGATCCCATGCCTGGCCTTAGAGTAGTTTTTTGAGCATTTATTGTGCTTGGTGTTCTCTGAACTTCCTTAGATCTGTGGTTTGGTGTCTGACATTAATTTGGATAAATTTTCAGTCATTGTTGTTTTAAATATTTCTTCTCTTCCTTTCTTCTCCTCTTGGTACTTTCATGTGTTTATATTACACCTTTTGTACCTGTCCCAGAGTTCTTGGGTATTATCTTCTGTTTTTTTGGTCTTTTTTTTTTCCCTTTGGTTTTCAGTTTGTATTGATACATCCTTAAGCTCAGAGATTATTCTTTTTTTCAGCGGTGTCCACTCTCCTAATGAGCCCATCAGTGGCATTCTTCATTTCTGTCACCATGCTTTGCTCTCTGGCACTTCTTTTCATTTTTTCTTAGAATTCCTATCTCCCTGCTCATGCTGCCCACCTGTTCCTGCAAGCTGCCTACTTTCTCCATTAGAGTCCTTCACATTAATCAGAGTTGGTTTCAATTTCCTGCCTCATAATTCCACTTCCCTGCCCTCTCTCAGTCTGCTTCCGATGAGTCTGGTCTGATGCTTGTTCTGCCTCTTCACACTACTTTTTGCCTTTTAGTGTGCCTTGCAGTTTTTCTTGGTAGTTGGACAGGATATACTGGGTGAAGTAGGCCTTTAGCAATGTGGTGGTGAGGGGTGGGAAAGCAGGAAGCGTTCTTTAGTCTTAGGATTAGGTCTCAGCCTTTTAGTGAGCACCTGCCTCTGGATGGCGAACTTCACACATGCTTCTCTGTTATCCCCCCACCCTTCATGGGACAAGATGGCTAGACTGGACTGGAGTTGGGTGTTCCCTTCCCCTGCGTCAGTTAGGCTCTGATAAAACCCTCTCTCTACTAAAAATACAAAAAATTAGTTGTGTGTGGTGGCACACGCCTATAGTCCCAGCTACTCAGGAGGCTGAGGCAGGAGAATCGCTTGAACCCAGGAGGTGGAAGCTGCAGTGAGCCAAGATCGCGCCACTGCACTCCAGCCTGGGCGACTGAGCGAGACTCTGTCTCAAAAAAAAAAAAAAGAAGAAGAATTAAGTGCTCTGGCCTGTTTCAGAATGGCTCCTTTCCAGAGTGGTCTCCTGCTTCTGGCAAGAGAGGATTTTTCTGATACTCACCATGATAACCTGGTAGAACTCCAGAGGTAAATCTTAGAAGAATTGCCCCCTATACACCATGAGTGGGTTCCCCTGGAGTTTTTAGCTCTCAGATTTGTTCACCCTGAGGCACTGGTTCCCTTGTAGGTTTCTTCTCTGGTCAGTTGTGATGCTTGGTATTCCCGGCTGTCTCCAGTTTGGGGCACTGTGATTTGCCTTGTGACGTCATCTCTTTGAGGAATCTGAGAAGACTTGTTTCGTCTTCAGTGTGTTTACCTTTTTACTTGTTAAGTCGGACTTCCAAACTCCTCACATGCTGAACCGGAATCCCATTTAGCATCGTTTTAAAGCCTCAATATGCATAAATAATAATTTGCCTTTTCCACCTTAATATTTTCCATTCTTTTTGTTTTTTGTCACTCTGCATCTTCTATTCAGAGCCTATAGCTCTTGAGATTCTGTCATTGTAAGCACATCTTAAAATATTTTTATATTATGTTATCAGAATATGCTAAGGAATTAAATGAACTTTGAGAAGATAATTGTTACCTACCAGGCTAGTCTTGAACTCCTGGGTTCAAGCAATCCTCCTGCCTCAGCCTCCCCAAGTGCTGGGCTTACAGGTGTGAGCCACCACACCCGGCCATGGTTACTTTTTTTTTTTAAGTTTGGTAAAGTTTTAATGACCAAGTCTAAGGGTTGGAGTGAGTAGGGATTACTCTGTTAGCAGGCTCTGGGAATCTCATGGTCATGTAGAAAAAGGGATTCCTCCACAATGGGGAGTGTGGTCATCTCCCTCAATTGCAGACACACCTTGAGTTCAGGGAGACATCTCTCCACACTTGGACCATCTTCACAGACCCTGGCAGCAGTCGATGGGCAAAGCTGTGTAACAGTGATGGCCGTTTACCATTGCCTGGTATTCATTGTCCAGCACGATGATGTGGAGCTCAAATACTCTGCCATCCTCAGCGGGCATATTGTTGGATCTCTCCTCACACTTCCAGGCCCACACTCATGGCTGTTCATGATCACCCAATGGCCAAAGTACACTCAGAAATGGAAGGCGATGTCTGAGTGCTCATCGTCCCCCTGTGGAAATGCACCTGCAGCTGTGGGTTGTTGATGAAAGGGAGGATTGGTGTCCCTCTCTCATGCAAGAACCAGTAGACAAAGACACAGGCCATGTGTGGGGCATGGGCAACAGTGATACTGTTGTCTCCCTCTGGGCAGCTCCTATGAATTGTGACCAGTCTTCTCCATGGTTACTTCTAAAGCCATGTTTTTGCCCTAGACATTAATGTAAGAAATATTGATTGCTTGCTTTTTACTAGGTGTTTTGCCAGACAACAGAGAGGTCGAAGACAAGGCGGAGTCCTTGTGTTTCAGAATGATATAATCTAATATCTAAAATTAAGGCTTCTTTCTTTACAGTGTCTATTCTTGAAGCTTGGCTTTTACGTTAACTATGCATTTACTTGCCTTTTGAAAAATGCTAAGAAAGTGTCTTGTGCTTGTTCTCACTACTTTTGGTTTGTTATTTTGTTTAGTAAATTTGTTTGGAAAGATGAATGTGGTTGCTTCTCCTTTTAGCGTCCAAGTGTAGTGTGGTATGGTCTTCAGAGGTTATAAATTGCATCTAGTATCTGAGGAAGAGGATCTTAATCTCATGTATGTGAACACAGGTGAATATGTATGTAGCAGCACCCTGGAATGATTTTTGGTGTGAGAACAACTGTGCTTAGAGCCGTCAAACTGCCTTCTGTTCTGGACCTATTTGGTCCTGGTTTTTCTTGTGCTTTGTAATTCTTACTTTCAATACATATTTATTGAGGGCCTATAACATGTCAGGTTTTAGGTGCTGAGTATAGGAAGTCAAATAAGTTAAAGATAACTAAACTACTATATGGGCTCTGATAGGAATAGGACTATGCAAAAGGATACCTTGGGCACACTGAGCAAATACATCTAAATGAGACTTGGGATTGAGAACAGCTTCCCAGGACAGCAGAGCTTGAGTTAAATGTTGAAGAAGCAAGTGTAGGAATTAGCTTGGGCAGAGTTGATGGGTCTTAGAGGAGAAGCAGCATTCTAGACAGTGGAAACTATTTTGACTCTTGGTTTCTAGTCTAGGCGGATAGACCAAGGGTCTAATCTAGAGATAAACCAGATAGGAGGTTAACACTTAATTAAATGAGAGATGATGATGACTCTGAACTAGACTGATGGTGGTGAGAATAAAGAATAGGGGCCATAAAAGCGATGTTAAAGAGAAAGGAAAGGAGATAAGATCTACAGAAATTGGTGAATAGTTCAAAATGGGACTGTGGGAAAGGCGTCTGTGCTCCTTCCCAGAATTCTGCTTTGGGTGGCTGAGATACAGAGGAATTTCCTTTTTAACCATATATCAAGCTAAGAGATTAGGAAATAAACCCTCAGGTACCCATCATATGTATAGCTTCAGCAGTTACCAACTGAAGGACAGTCTTGTTTTATCTGTTTCCCCCCACCCAGATTATTTGAAGCAAATCCCAGACATCATATCATTTCATCCATGAATGTATCCATTTGTCCATCCAAAAGACACTGGTCTTTAAAAAAACAAAAACCCACAATACATTATCACACAAAAAAAGATTAAAAAGAATTCCTTAATGTTGTCAAATTTCAGATTTCCATAGTAGGAAAAAATCCTACTTTTTACAATTTGTTTAAAGTCACATTCAAATAAAGTCCATATGTTGTAAATGGTTCTATTCTTTTAATTTTTTTTTTTCTTCCCTGAGACGAGTCTCTCTCTGTCTCCCAGGCTGGAGTGCAGTGGCGCGATTTCAGCTCACTGCAACCTCCGCCTCCCAAGTTCAAGGGATTCTCCTGCTTCAGCCTCCCAAGTAGCTGCGACTGCAGGCATGCACCACCACGCCCAGCTAATTTTTGTATTTTTGGTAGAGACGGGGTTTTGCCATATTGGCCAGGCTGGTCTCAAACTCCTGACCTCAGGTGATCCGCCCGCCTCAGCCTCCCAAAGTGTTGGGATTACAGGCGTGAGCCACTATGCCCGGCCTAAATATTTTTTTATTCTATAGCTTTCCCCTTTTTCTTGCAGTTTATGTTTTGGAGAAACCAGGTTTCTCTTTTTCTGTAGATTTTCCCAGTTTGGAAGTTGCTGATTTTATCTCCATTGAATCATTTAACATGTCTTCGGTTCTCTCTGTGTCCTATAAATTGGTGGTTAAATTTGATCAAATTCAGATTTATGTTGGGGGAACACAAATTTTTTTTTTAAATTATACTTTAAGTTCTAGGGCACATGTGCACAACATGCAGGTTTGTTATATAGGTATACATGTGCCATGTTGGTTTGCTGCACCCATCATCATTTACATTAGGTATTTCTCCTAATGCTATTCCTCCCCCAGCCCCCCACCCCACGACAGGCCCTGGTGTGTGATGTTCCCCACCCTGTGTCCAAGTGTTCTCATTGTTCAATTCCAACCTAAGAGTGAGAATATGCAGTGTTTGGTTTTCTGTCCTTGTGATAGTTTGATGAGAATGATGGTTTCCAGCTTCATCCATGTCCCTGCAAAGGACATGAACTCACCCTTTTTTTAATGGCTGCATATTATTCCATAGTGTATATGTGCCACATTTTCTTTATGCAGTCTACCATTGATAGACATTTGGGTTGATTCCAAGTCTTTGCTATTGTGAATAGTGCCACAATAAACATATGTGTGCCTGTGTCTTTATAGTATCATGATTTATAATCCTTTGGGTATATACCCAGTAATGGGATCACTGAGTCAAATGGTATTGTGTTCAGAATTGATTCCTTCTGGTGGGTTCTTGGTCTCGCTGACTTCAAGAACGAAGCCGTGGACCTCATGGTGAGTGTTACAGCTCTTAAAGGTGGCGCGTCCAGGGTTTGTTCCTTCCGGTGGGTTTGTGGTCTCGCTGACTTTAGGAGTGAAGCCGCAGACCCTTGCAGTGAGTGTTACAGCTTTTAAAGGTGGTGTGGACCAAAAGAGTGAGCAGCAGCAAGATTTATTATGAAGAGCAAAAGAACAAAGCTTCCACAGTGTGGAAGGGGACCAGGGCAGGTTGCGGCTGCTGGCTTGGATGGCCAGCTTTTATTCCCTTATTTGGCCCTGCCCATGTCATGCTGATTGGTCCATTTTTACAGAATGCTGATTGGTGCATTTACAATCCTCTAGCTAGACAGAAGTTTTCCAAGTCCCCACCTGACCCAGAAGCCCAGCTGGCTTCATCTCTCAGTATTTCTCGTTCTAGATCCTTGAGAAATCGCCACACTGTCTTCCAAAATGGTCAGACTAATTTACACTCCCACCAATGGTGTAAAAGCTTTCCTATTTCTCCACATCCTCTCCAGCAGTTGTTGTTTCCTGACTTTTTAATGATCGCCATTCTAACTGGCGTGAGATGGTATCTCATTGTGGTTTTGATTTGCATTTCTCTGATGACCAGTGATGAAGAGCATGTTTTCATGTGTCTGTAGGCTGCATAAATGTCTTCTTTTGCGACGTGTCTGTTCATATCCCTTGCCCACTTTTTGATGGGGTTGTTTTTTTCTTGTAAATTTAAGTTGTTTGTAGATTCTGGATATTAGCCCTTTGTCAGATGGTTAGATTGCAAAAGTGGGGGAACACAAATTGTTAATGGATGGTGATGGGAGTAGTCACATAATGTCTGCTGTCTCTGAGATGTGAGCAGACATTGATTGTTACTGCCTAGATCCTAGATCCATTATTTTTTAGGGCTTGTACAGTGGCGATTTTTTTCTTTTTAGCGTTAGTACCTTCAGAGTGCACAGTACTTACACAATGGCGGTAATTTAATTTTTGGTCATTCATTCTTCAAAGATAACTGGAATATCTTCATAAAGAGAAACTTATCAAACATTTGGTTATCCTGGATACAGTTCAAACAGGTAAGATAAAAGCATGATTATTTCCCCCCATATTTCACAATAAAAGTTTTCAAAATATTGAGTTTATTCCTAGTGAAAAATACTGTTTCTTTTTCTTTCTTTTTTAAATTTAAATTAAATAGAGACATGGTCTCCCTATGTTGCCTGGGCTGGTCTCGAACTCCTGGGCTCGAATGATCCTCTTGACTCAGCCTCTGAAAGTGCTGGGATTACAGGTGTGAGCTACTGCACCCAGATGAGAAAAATAATGTTTTTATTTGTGTGTGTGTGTGTGTGTGTGTGTGTGTATATAAAGGCAGCAGAGTCATCTGGGAATGCTCAGGGAATAGGCGTGGTGGGGTAATGTGCTCAAGAGAGACAAATGTTTGGAGTGGCCTCTAGGAGAACAGGAGAGGGGTTGTGGAGCTTGGTTGATGATGGAGATAGCTTATAGTGGTACCAGTGTACATGTGTGAGTCTATTGTTTTTCATTTTTCCAGTGCTCAGATAACTGCCTAGGAGAACATGTAAATGCAATCATTGTTCATCAGGGTTGGGATTTTGCATGGAGGCGTAAAAGAAGGATTGGTGGGATAGGGGAGAGTCTGGAATCATGGGGAGAATGACTGAAGTGACTGATCATGGTGGTGGGGGGATGGTCTAGGGTGGATATGGAGAGAAATGCACAGTGATTGGTACAAAGAAGGTCCTCAGTAAATATGTGGTAGAATTAATAGATGAAGGGAACTAATAGATTGGAAGAAAATATAGTATTACAAGGACTAGAGATTCCAATGTAGTCAGAATAGGTATTTTGGATATGAATGACATGTGACATAGTAAGATAAAAGACAGGAGGTGAGGATTTGAGAGCAGGGCATATGAAGATCTCACAAGGGAGACCGGGCGCGGTGGCTCACACCTGTAATCCCAGCACTTTGGGAAGCCGAGGTAGTCGGATCGCTTGAGCCCAGGAGTTCAAGACCAGCCTGGCCAGTAGGGCACAACCCCATCTCTACCAAAAACAAAAACAAAAACAAAGAAAAGAAAAGAAAAAAGAGATCTCACAGGACAGCATCTCTGGATTAGCTTATACAGAGTAAGTTATATCAATGGGGGTTGACTTATGGAAGATAAAAAGGAACTATACAGCGTTGGATGAGTTCTAAGTAAGGATTTCACAACCATTTAGGTTGATGGTGGGAGGGACAGAAGGAGATTACAGCTTATTATAAGGAAATGGGTAGGTTAGTGAATAACAGGGAGAAGCAGAGAACTAGAGCTTGATTGCATGAGCCTCAAAAGATGTTTTCATTCATGGTCAGAGTGGCAGTAAGAAGTCCTATATGGCTGGTGGAAGACTAAGCCACCATTAGTGCAGTCTCTAGGGAAGGACTTTCTCCTTAGGAGAAAAAATAGTTTAGTTACGACAAAGAGGAGAATATTGCCAAATTGCTATGCATAGAGGTTAAACCAGTTTAGACCCCCCACCAACAGTGTATGAGAGTATTCGTTTCCTATATGGGGCATTCTTTATTTACCACAGGGTTGATGATAGTTTTCCTTTTTATTAGATTTATAATTGGTACATTGGAACTTGATTCACATCATCCTGTATTCAGTGATGTCTGGCTTCTGAAATGCTGCTGTTATCATTTTATCTGCATTACTTCTTTCATAGGTCAGGCCTCTTACAGTTGTCAAACTTCAGTACAGTTCTATATGAAAAATGCACATAACCTATACCCGCATTTGTTTAGCAAAATGGTGTGCACGGGTTCCTGATGAACATTGCAAATGTGTATCTATAGAAAGGGCCCTACCTTTCTGCACCCTCCCTCTCTTCCCACATGTCCTTTGGCCATCCTTCCATCTGGCACACTTATTCTACCCCCTAATTCTTCAAGATGCTCTATCAGCCAATTTATTCTCCATCAGCCCTTGTAGTTCATCACACTCAATTATCTCTAACCCTCTCCCACCTCCACTCCCACCACACACCCCAGTGCTCCTGCCTCTCAGGATGTGATTGATTTTCCTTCTCCTTCTGCCAGCTTTCTCTCTGGGTTAGACTGCCCTGTCAGATTGTAGTGCTGAGGAAAGAAGGGTTCATCCTAAGCCTGACTTGTACTCTGTACAGCTGGAGTTGTTTCTCAGCATCCAGCCAAGGCTTCTTTGAAAACACTCACTGGGGAAAAGAACAAGGTTGCATCATCCCTTTGGGTCATGGCTGCAGTGTCTCTTGGTGGTTTTAAAAACAGCTCACTCCTTGGCTCTCAAATGACCCTGGAAAACAATTGCATTGGCTACGTAAGTCATAATAGTTATAGTCAAATCATTGCCTACTATTTATATATATATAATTATTTACCATGATTATGCTAATGCACATCATTAAACCAGATTAACTCTGTTAGTTTTATTTGATCACAACAGTGCCTCGTCTGTGAGTGCCCTGTCTCTATAGTTCTTGTGCATGCTGCATGGTCGAGTGCTCACAACTTAAAGGGAATCTTGGTGAACCTGACAGTGTTGATGTTTGAGTATTGATCATAACCCTGTTCATCCATACACATTTTGCTAGCTTCTGAATGCTGTATCTGTTTTTGCTAAAGCTGGGGTAAAAAAGAAAACTCTGAAATTTGAGTGCCCATTTAATCAGGCATTTAATATATCTTATTTCATTTAGCTCTTACAACTCTGATGTATGTAGGATTGCTGTTTCTTTTACAGGTCAAGAAACTGAAACTTACAGTAATTAATTGAACTGGTCTTGAGGATATTTGGTTTTGAGCTATTTCAAATGAAGACAATACTACTCACCTCACAAGGTTGATGGGAGGATTATAGTGTCTGTGCAAAACATGAGTCATAGTGCCTGACACAGAAGTTATTGTACATACATGTTTCCTGTTCTCAGTAAATTTATGGTCTAGAACACTCTTCAAAACATATATTTTGTTTGAACTTCATCGGCTCTAAAAGTGATCCATTCCATCTGGAGCTATGGCATAAAATTATTTGCATGTAGATCTTGAATAACTACCAGCAGTTCCTTGCTTTTATATACTACTGTTTCACCTGAATTCAATAAATTAAAATAGGAGCAAAGAAAACTATATTTATATTTTGAATTTATATTTTGAACAGTATCATTGGAGCATGACTTAAAATGGAAAAAAAAAGACTAAAGTGGTAATTCTTATTGATGCGTGTTGTAACATCAAACACGTTTTCTAGTATCCCTCGTATTTTTTTTTTGGGAGGGGCGCGGCTTATTGAGATATTCACAAACCGTACAATTAACTCATTTGAAGTATACAGTTCAGTGGTTTTAGTATATTTAGAGTGCGCAGCCATGACCACAGTCAATTTTAGAACATTTTCAACACCCCAAACCTTTCAGCAGGCACACTCCACTCACGTTTTTCCCCATCCTCTGGAAACCACTGAGCTTTGTGCCTGTATGGATTTTGCCCACTCTTGACATTTCCTGTAAGTGGAATCACACAGCCCCACTTTGTGCCTGTATGGATTTGCCCACTCTGGACATTTCCTGTAAGTGGAATCACACAGCCCCACTTTGTGCCTGTATGGATTTGCCCACTCTGGACATTTCCTGTAAGTGGAATCACACAGCCCCACTTTGTGCCTGTATGGATTTGCCCACTCTGGACATTTCCTGTAAGTGGAATCACACAGCCCTACTGTGGCCCTTTGTGCCTGGCTTTTTCACTTAGCAGAATGTTTTTATGGTTTATTTATGTTGTGGCAGGCATTAGTACTTCATTCCTTTATTGCCAGATACCATTCCACTGTGTGGGTAATACCACATTTGGTTCATCTGTTCATCAGTTGTTGGACATTTGGGTTGTTTCTACTTTTTGGTTATTATCCATAATACTGCTATGAATATTCCTGTAAAAGTTCTTTGTGTGCTCCTAGGTTTTTATTTCTCTTGGGTCTATAGCTAGTTGAATTTCTGGGTCATATGATTACTGTGTTTAACCTTTTGAAGAACTGCCAGACTTTTCCAAAGTCACTGCATTACTTTACATTCTCACCAGCAGTGTATGAGGATTCCAGTGTTTCCACATCCTCGCCAACACTTGTTTTTTATTTTTATTTTTTTAAGAGACAGAGTTTTGCTCTGTTGCACAGGCTAGAATGTCATGACATGATCAAAGGTCACTGCAGCCTCAAACTCCTGAGCTCAAGCAACCCTCCTACCTCAGCCTCCTGAGTACCTAGGACTGTAGGCGCCACCATGCCCTGCTAATTTTTATTTTTGTATAGGCAGGGTCTCACTGTGATCCTCCCACCTCACCCTGTGATTACAGGTGTGAGCCAGCTCACCCAGCTCTATCTGTCTGAGTGTGGCTTTAACAGAGACTTGTTCATGTCAGTATTGATGACAGTCAGATGCTTTATTGTTACCCATAAATATAACACATTCTGTATGGTGTTTTTCCTGGTACATTTCTAAGCATGCACTCTTATCACCGAGCTACATCCCCACCTCGTGTGTTACATTTCTGGTTGCCTAAGTACTGCACTGATTTTTGGGTGGAATCCTTTATCGCTTATATCGTTGGCAAACTGGAGAGTTAATTCTTTGAACTGATACGAACAATATCACTTTCTGGTTAAAGTCAGTATGTGTGTGAAGGCCTCATATTGCTGTATTTAAAAAATCTTTAGAAACACTTTTCACATGTAGTCTGTCTCAATAATAGTGTGTAGATTTTAAAGGAATGCTGTTAATATAATACCCAGTTTGGGGAAAGTTTATGTGTAGAACTGATAAAGGTATTTTAAAGGTTGTCAGTAACACATGTCAACTCAAACCATGTGTTGATTTGCTCAAAGAAGTTAAAATTAACATTTTAGAGTTACATTCTCCCCTGTCATCACATTGTTTTTGTCTTCCTTATTGTTGTTCTTTAAACAGACTCTGGCTCTGTTGCCCAGGCTGGAGTACAGTGCCTCGATCACTGCTCACTGCAGCCTTGACCTCCTGGGCTCAAGTAGTCCTCCCACCTCAGCCTCCCAAGTAGGTGGGACTACAGGTGCGCACTGCCATGCCCGGCTAATTTTTGTGTTCTTTGTAGAGACAGGGTTTTTCTGTGTTCCCCAGGGGTGGTCTTGAACTTTGGAACTCAAGCGATCCACCCACCTCGCCCTCCCAAAGTACTGGAATTACAGGCATGAGTCACTGTACGTGGCCTCCTATCTTCACAGTGTTACTGTGAATATCCAAATACAGTTGAATGCATTATCAAGGAGGAGCTATTGCTGAAAATTGGTTCTTTTAGGGGGAGGTGATGAAGAAAGCTTAGCTATTATGATGGTTTTTGCAATACACAACCTGTTTCTGTCATACTAAAATTTCATGGTTTGGGGACAATGGGGAGCGAATCTAAAAAGATTCCTTAAAAGGGCGGTAATGAAAAATAGGTTAAGAAATAGTTCCCTGGGCATAAAACAGTTGCTAGAATATAACTAAGGTCACTAGAGATCATTTAGTCAGACCTTTTCCCCCAGTGTTTTAAAGTAAGGCACAGAGTGAAATAACGTATTTCACTTACTTACTCTGTGTCAGGCCACTTTTTCTGTCCATGAGGGTAAAAAAAAATGAAGAGGCCTTTTGCTTCTCTTGGGAGAATGAACAGTTAAAGCATGGTGTGACTATTGTTCTGTCAAGGTGAGTGGGAACACAGAGGAAAGGCCACTCACGTTAAGTCAGCTTGAACGAAGGCGAGGAAGGATCCAGGAGAGGTCATGCTCTGAGTCCAGACCCATCCTTCTAGGCAGCTGTAGTGGAATTTAGTTGTTTTCCAAACTTGAGTGTTTGAGAACCTTGGATTGTTTAATTTGAAATGCAGCTTCTGAGGCCGGATTCTGGAGACTCTGATGCAGGCAGTGCAAGAATCTTGCTTTAGGATTCACCGCTTTACATGGTGGCAGTACAGTAGGCCTTCTTCACGGGCAACTTAAGTTAGTAGTCTAACTTTTCTTTTTGGACACTAACCCTTTAGGCTGCTGCCTTAATCACTTTCCGAGCAGTCTAGAAATAAGTTCACCCCCACCATGGATTAGAACCCCCCACTCTTTTTATGCCCGCACCCCCCCTGCTGCTCCCCGTAGCTAAGCTGTCACTCCTGTCTTGTTTTATGTTCTGTTTGTGTGTATTTTCTTGAGCACTTTCTTTTGTGGTCATTTTGGGTGTGGGATACCTTTACCTACTGCTGTTCAGAATAAAGGCAGTGAGTCTCATCTTTTTACCTAGTCAGAGAGTATTTTGTTGAATCCTGGGTGTTACAGTGAAAGGATAGTGTCAAGTCAAGGGGGACTTGAGAGCAGCCAGCATTATCTGGCACTGATGGAAAGAAAGGAAGGAACACACATGGGGTATTGTTGAAGTACGAGCTAACCTGCTCCTCATTGATGTAGGGCTAATGTCGAAACTCAGAAGCCTGCAGGGCCAGACAGGTAACTTAATGGAGGGGATGGGGCCGGATGTGCAGTTAATGAGTTGGAGGATCCATGTCCAGTCTAAGAGGCAGCCCCCTGTTAGTGCCAGCTGAGTCATGAAGAACTGTGAATCAGTCAGACTTGATTTTTCAAGCAAAGGGAGATACCCAGATTTTTGTGTAAGCTCCTCCAAAGTTTTTTCTTTCTTTCTTTCTTTTTTTTTAATGTTGGACAACCAGTGAAAAGCAAAACAAAACTACAGACCAAAACAAACGTTGCTGCCTGCTACCAGTTTGCAATTTCTTATGCATTCCATGAAACTGACTAGTTGACAGTCTTTTCAGATTGACAGTCCATGAACAGGAATTTGCTAATATTTCTAAGACTCAGACCTTGGCAGAAAGATCGGAAAGCAAGGTAGAATTTGGAGACCGGGTTTTATAATTGTAAGATCTCACTTTTGTGAATTGCTGATTAGAATTCACAAAAGTTAGATCCATGGTGCAGTGCCTCTTCTCTCATCTCTAAGTTTAGGAAGCCCTCAGCACCTTTTGAACTGTGTAACCTGACAAGAAAGATGTCTGGGGAATTAGCAAGTTCTATTTTTGTTTGGTCCAGTGAAAATTCTGGACAGGCCACAAACACATTCTAGGGAGTCTAGAATAGACTCCCTTGAGCTCTTTTAATTCTTAAAAAAAAAAAAAAAAAAAAAAAAAACAGGAGCAGGACCATCCAACTTAATCCAGTGAAACGGTGATTTTTTCTCATAGTCATCCCATCCCTTATACAGTGTCTCTCTGGCCAAATTAATTAATACATCAGATGTTCTGAAACACACTGTACTAAATTAGATTTGGGGTCATAGCTATGAATTATCAGTCATCCTCCAAGGGTGCTGGGCAAAGCAAAGGTAAATTTTTTGAAACTTTAGTTTCTTTCTTTTCTTTTCTTTACCTTCTTTCTTTCCCTTCCTCCCTCCCTCCCTCTGTCTGTCTCGCTCTGTCACCCAGGCTGGAGTGCAGTGGCACCATCTCAGCTCACTGCAACCTCCGCCTCCTGAGTTCAAGAGATTCTCCTGCCTCAGCCTCCTGGGTGGCTGGGACTACAGGTGCGTGTCACCACGCTCAGTTAATTTTTTATATTTTTAGTAGAGACGGGGTTTCACGGTGTTAGCCAGGATGGTCTTGATCTCCTGATCTCGTGATCTGCCCGCCTCGGCTTCCCAAAGTGCTGGGATTGCAGGTGTGAGCCACTGCACCCGGCCTTTAGTTTCTTGATGTACCATTTGCTGTTAGCTTAAATTATGCCAACTACAGCCCAAGCTTAATTCAACATTTAAATAAAGTTCTATGCACAATAATACAACACAGCACTTCTATTATAGCAACAACATTAGCTGTCTCTAGTTCCTAAAATAAGAAACTGGAGTGACGGAAGAAAGACTTGGGTTGCTTGTTCCCACCTTTGACTTGTAAACTTCCTTAATGGTCTTTCATCAGATGCTTAAGCTGCCAGAGTATCCCTTATGAATTAACCAGCTACTCTGTGGGAAACTGCTTTTGTACTACTTCCAATTCTGACAACCTTTTTCTCAAGTTGAGCTGCCTCTGTTCCTACTTCTGAAATGCCTGTGCAATGCTGACTGAGTTTGTCACCAGTAAGTTCTCCCCAGACAGGGAAGTCCTGCGGGACCAGTATCAGTCCTCAGTCAGGAAGAGGTTGTATAAATAGCGGGTGCTCACACTCTAGAAAAAGGGGCGGAGGAGAAGGTAAGTGTTGAGCCCCAGATGTGAACTCCTATTTTTGTTTCAGGGTAATTAATGTTTCCTTAAGTGAGCTAAGCCTTGGGCTCTTGCGCCTCTGGCTTTCAGGCCTGAATCAGCAATCTTTAGGCAGGAACTGGGGGTGGGGAAAAGGATTTTGTATTTCATGTCATCCCCAAATGAATGAAGTAATATGAGAGCAGCACTTTCTGAAGCTTGGCCTTGAGGCTGGAGAATGGGTTGTGGAAGGTGAAAACTTTCCTTTTAAAATCCTAGTGACTTGGGGAGAACTGGCCTCTGACAAGTCTCTTGCTGCAGTCTGATGACTGCAGCTCTCAGAGATGCTGTTGGGTTGTCTGGTGTTTGTTTCTAGTTCTCTGCTCGAGTGTTAGTGCCATTAGATGGTCTTGCCCCTGTCTGCGGTTCTGCCTTCCATGTCTTCCCCTTCCCCCTTGGCCTCCTAAATTAGATACATTCCCCCTCTGCTCCCAGACGTCTCCATCTCCTCATCCCCTGACAGAGCAATCATTTATCAAGTTGTTTCACGCGTTGTCGGGAGGGGGGCCCTGGGGACTCAGTTTGTTTCGTCCCTTTGTTGAAGCTCCACAGGATCGGCCAGCTTAGTCTCCAGCCAACTGCTGAGAGTTGCTGGACTCCAGGAGCAAATGTTAAAGGGGCCGCCTTTCATCTACTTGCTGTGACTTCAACCTTTCTATTTAAATTCCAGCTTATTGGAACTCACATACGTACACTTCCTCGACATGTTTTTGATCATATGATATTTCTTTTTCATTATGTACCTCCCCATCCATACCATCACTGAGGACCTGAAATAGATTTTTCATAGTATATTACTGTAGACATACTTTGTAAGTAGGAGTTCCTGCTTTTTTATGACTTCTTTTTATGTATGCTTTGACTTATCAAGGTGTCACACTGTTGACCATAGAAATTTCTAAATAGTATAGGGATTAAAAAAAATTTTAAAGTTTGTCAGACTTTAAAATGCAAGGTGAGCATCACTGCTTCTTAGCAGGAGTGATGAAGGTTTTCCATAGTGTCTACAAAGATAAAAGGAAAAATTTCCTTCGACTTCAAGGATGTATAGTGTGAATGTTAACCAATGTTGACCATGAATTTGAAAGATGGATGTTACTCACTGTAACTTAATAGTTTAAAAGGACAAAGTTTCTTTTGTGGAGTAATAGAAATGAGACTTTAATGTTAATGAAAATTTTTTTCTGTGATCTAGGAATATTTCCTCCCAGTATTTTATTATGAAAACTTCCAAATGAACAGAAAAGTTGAAAGAATTGTACATTATATTTGGGGTTTTAAAAATGCATTTCTTTAGCAAGCTGAATATTACATGCAGTAGTATCATAATGCATTGTAAAGTTATGCTTGGAAGCAAAGTAACAACAAAAATGCCCCAGATGACATGCGTTACAAACAGAACATTTCAAAAATGAGTCCCTTTCAACCTGAACAGGGCTTATCTTGTGTTTATTGTAGACAAGCTGAGCCCAGAACCTAAAGTTGTATAGTATTGAGAAGTTTAGTGGGGAAAATGTTTTCCTTTCTCATCACATGTTTTGGGTTGAAAATATTTAATCACTTTGATGAGACTTGTCGACTGACAAGTAGTTTATAATGAGAGTAAATTGTCCTTAGTACCGTGATTTGGTTCCTGTATATGGAGTCTCTTAAAACAACTTACTCAATTTAACATCAAAATGAGCCCAAAATGTTTTCCCATAAGGCAAGCTTGTCCAACCCACCTGCCCGCAGGCCGCCTGCAGCCCAGGACGGCTTTGAATGAGGCCAACACAAATTCGTAAACTTTCTTAAAACATTATGAGATTTTTTTTTTTTGCAATTTTTTTTAAAGCTCATCAGGTATCATTAGTGTTAGCATATTTTATGTGTGGCCCAAAACAATTCTTCTTCAAGTGTGGGCCAGGGAAGCCAAAAGATTGAACAACCCTGTCATAAGGTATGTCATTATTGGGATGATTTCCAGCTGAAAAACTTCAGTGTGTTATTTCTTATTGATTTTTCACAGTGAAACTTAATAAAATTGTAATCGCTAAGAAAAAAAAGTTGTTTTCTTTTTTTCTTATATTAATACTGTTTGGCTGGACATGGTGGCTCATGCATGGAATTCCACACTTTGGGGGAGGTCAAGTTGGGAGGATCACTTGAGGCCAGGACTTAGAGACCAGCCTGGGCAACAGAGTGAGACCTCATCTCTACACATTTTTTTTAAAGTATGTATATATAAAAGCAAGAAGACCTAGCATTAATTCTGAAAATTAATGTGTACTACTTGCTAGATATTTTTTCTAGCAGTGAATAAGACACATAAAAATCCTTTTGGAACATGAATTCTATGGGAGAAGAAACACTCCCTTTTTTTTTTTTTTGGATGTTCCGTATAGCTAGTATTGGCAATTTTTTTTCTGTAAAGGGTCAGATATTAAATATTTTAGGCTCTGAGTGCCAGATAATTTCTGTTCCAGTTACCAAATTTACTACAAAAATGAATGGGCAAGGAAGGCTGTGTTTCAGTAAAGCTTTATTTATACTAATGGGTGGTAGACCATAGCTTACTAACCTCCTGTTCTAAGGCATAAAAAAACATGGACAAGCAACAGATTTAAGAAAAAAGTATTTGCAAAGCAGATGACAGACGGTTAATATTATAATATACAAACAGCCCAGTGGAACAATGGACAAAGGATATGAGTAGGTTTCAAGTCACAAAAGAATAAATCTTAATGACAAAAAAAAATATCTGAAAAGATCTGACTGGCAAAAATTATTAAGTAATATCTGTATTGGAAAGGAAAAGGAATACTCATACTTTACTAACAAAAAAATTAGACTGATCAGCCTTTTTGAAAAACAATCTGGTAGTACCTATTAAAATTTAAAATACATAAATATATGTACTCTCATTGCTCCAGTAATGCCAGTCCTGGAATTTTAATCAATGGGTACAAAACAACTGCCGTGCAATGGACAAGGAATGTCATTGCAGCGTGGTTCTGTGTGGCCTAAAATGGAGAACAGAGTGAAAGCCCGTCATTAGCGGGGTGGCTGAATAGGATGTTACCTGCGTACCGTGGAGTATTAGCCCACCTTTTAATAGAATGAAATGGACCTACACTATACCACTTGACTTGGAGAGATTTGCACAAGATAGAAAATGTGCAGGCAAGCATGGGTAGTATCAGTCTATTAGAAAAGGCCTACGCCCATACATTGATGCATGTGTCTGCATGTATGTATATATGAATATGATTACATTGAAAAAAAAAACAAAAAAAGTATACTTGTTTGTATATGAGGGGAGTTACTGAAGTAGGGAGTAAAAAAAGGAAAGAAAATTGTATACAAACAACCCCCAGAATGAATAGTATGATTGTTTTTTGAATTTATATAAAACTGTGTGTGTGTGTGTTGTGGGGGGTATCTGTATTTATTCACATCATTTTTTAAAAGGAAAAACTAAAATAGTCATTAGTCATTCAGGCTCCATCAGCTTAAAGATTTGTCAGAGGGCTTCCTAGCTCCCACTCGATGTTGTAAAATAGGCTCACCTTTATTACATTCCCAATTACTTGGCCTCTTTTTTGCCTTGTTGATTGAAAAATGGAACTCTTTCTCTGTCTGTTATGGCATAAAAACTTTATGGAAAAGACAAAGTGCCTCAGAGAAATGACTCTCTGTAGGTCTCACTAGTAACTAAGGAACTAAAATTTGAGTGGAATTCAGGTCTGTCCTTACACTTATTATGATATCCCACACTGTCTATTCCCTGTCTCTTGAAGTGAAGCTGGGACTTTTATTGATTTATTGATCTGATATCTGACTTGAAGTAATGAGAGGGAAGGTTGTATAGCATTATATAGCAAAGTGATGTAAGAAAACAAGAAAAACTTGATTTCAAGTCTCCGAACAGATTTATTAGAAACAGAAATTTGACTACCACCCTCTGATCCCTACCCCTCCACTCCTTTCTCAACATGATGATTATACAATCATTACAGACATCCCCTGTGTTTTCTGGGACTTTTTTTTAGTAACCAAATGTTCAAGAAAGTGTAGTGCCTTGTATCTGTTGATGATTATATTTCTAATTTCATGGGTATTCAGCTGACTGTCAGGTCTTATTAACACTGTTTTTGGGGGGGAGGGGCAGGGGGCAGGGGGCGGGATGGAGTCTCACTCTGTCACCCAGACTGGAGTGCAGTGGAGTGATCTCAGCTTACCACAACCCGGGTTCAAGTGATTGTCCTGCCACAGCCTCCAGAGTAGTTGGGATTACAGGTGCATGCCACCACGCCCGGCTAATTTTTATATTTTTAATAGAGATGGGGTTTCACCATGTTGGCCAGGCTGGTCTCGAACTCCTGACCTCAGGTGATCCGCCTGCCTTGGCTTCTCAAAAGTGCTGGGATTACAGGCGTGAGCCACCATGCCTGGCCTATTAACACATTAAAATGATGCGTGTTGAGGGAGCAAGTATACTGGTTGTTGTTGGGAATCTGGGATGGCCCTAGATAGATCTTTCCTGCTGCCAGATATAGGAGGAATATGATGGAACGCACAGCTGTGATACTGTACTAGGCTGATAATCTTAACACAGAGCCCTTCAATTTTATTTTAGTTTAGCAAATAATATTTGTATTGTAGTATGGTAATTTTAAATCACTCACCATGATTTGTATAGAATAGTGCGTCATTTATTCTAACGTGATGAAAGCTTTCTTTTAAAAAGTAGCCGGGGGAGATTGACTAGGGGTTAAATGCTTTCCCTGTGTCTTACTCTGTGGACCCCACCCCCCGTTACTTGAATGAATGAATGAATCCTTCTTTTTTGAGGATATTGCCAGAGGATAATAAGTTATCTAGATGTCTCAGTCCTGGATCTATGAATAGATTGTTTTTCCAGTCTTGATAGATTATTTCTGGTTTGAAGAATTTTACATGGAAACAAGATTAAGAAAGATGATAAATAATTGTTTGGCTAAAGTCCTTTATGAAACAGAATTTACAGAAATGTGATTAAGATGTATAACTCACCTTGTAAGAATTTCATGGAACATGTTGAAGTATAAAATAAAGTTCCATAGGGAGGTGATATCACACACCATACTCTGTCTTACAATTTTTGTCTCTCACAAGGAAAGGATTTGGATGTTCTGAACATATTTCTCTGCAGGAAGCGGGTGGCAGACCTGTTGACTTCATTTTCATTGACCATCTTCTACTAGAATCAAACTCTGGTCTCTTTGAAATTATACAAAGTTGGGAAGCTGTTTACATTATCAACAGCTTTACCTATTTTGAATTCAGAAGAAGATTCAAGGTGGGAAAGACAGAAAAAACCGCAAAACAAGAGCATGTCATACTAGAAGAGTTCCGTGTGAAATTCAGAATTTGGTCCCCTTAACACTATTCACTTTGGAGCTCATGGGAATCCATGGTGAGGGAAGCTTATTAAAAAATGCAGATCAGGCCAGGTGTGGTGGCTCACACCTATAATCCCAGAACTTCAGGAGGCCAAGATGGGAGAGGATAGCTTGAGGCTAGGAGTTCTGGAGCAGCCTGAGCAACATAGCGAGACCCCCATTTCTACAAATACATATATATTTTTAAATTAGTTGGGCGTAGTTGATGCACATCTTGTAGTCCTAGCTACTAGGGAGGCCGAGGCAGGAGGATCACTGGAGCCCAGGAGTTCAAGGCTTGCAGTGAGCTTTGATCACACCACAGGTTTTTTTGTTTGTTTTGTGTTTTTTGAGATGGAATCTCACTCTGTCGCCCAGGCTGGAGTGCAGTGGTGCGGTCTCAGCTCACTGCAGCCTCCACCTCCCGGATTCAAGCAGTTCTCTGCCTCAGCCTCCCGAGTAGCTGGGATTACAGGCGCCCGCCACCACCGCCTGGCTAATTTTTGTATTTTTAGTAGAGACGGGGTTTCACCATCTTGGCCAGGCTGGTCTTGAACTCCTGACCTCATGATCCACCCTCCTCGGCCTCCCAAAGTGCTGGGATTACAGGAGTGAGCCACCGCGCCTGGCCAATCACTAGATGATAGTAGTAATTCACAGGCTTCCCTAGAATCATTCACATTTTTGCTTCATGACTGAATGAGTCATAGGTGTTAATGGCATTTTGCATTTGCAGTTGTTTTATTTTTTAAACTTTATCTTGGAAGAAAACCCTTTCTTCTATTGGAATAGTGGAACCTTTTTCTATTCTTTCATCAGGCTCCATTTACTTGCTGTCCAGTCTGCCAGTGGTATGTCCTGGTGTGTTTCTTTGTACTGTTTGCTTCTGAGCGTCTCTTCCTGCCCTCTAGCTCGTTTTCTTAAAGGACAAACGAAACTTCTCAGCAGCCATTCTACAAATCCTTAAATCCATAATGCCCAGGAAAGCAAGGCAGGTAGAATGTTGGGCATCCAGTTAGAGCTGATGTGCTTTAAAGGTAAGTTTCCCGTTTTTAGTTTTAACAGTCAATAATGTTGCTCTGGGCGATTTCTCTATTAAAATTCTGTTTGGCTGTAACTTGTTGGTAATTGTAATAATATTTTACATAGTTTTATTATCTGTGGAATTAATCTTAGAATATTCAGAAAGGAAAAAAGGGCAGAATCCCTTTAAGCAGCAGGAGTCTTAGAGACTCCCTGGGAGCCAAGGGCAGATGGTGGAAAGGCACCAGCAGGGAGGAGACAAGATCATATTCAGTCCCAGGAGTTTACTCATCTCTAATTCTGACCCAGAAGAAGAGATGGAAAAAAAGTTACTGCTTAAAATTGACTCCGGCTTAGCAGCTTCAGTTGTCTGAAGTAGGCAGCGAGGACGGGCCTTTCTCTGCCGCAGCACCCCGCACCTTCACATCGCCTGTTCTGTGCACCACTGTTGTCTTTAGAGCGACTTCCGGGTGACTCCCCACTCCTCGTAATCTGCTTCCTGGTTTAGCCTACTTTATCTTTTTAGGTTACTTACCAGATTCCAGGAGGCATTGAGGGGTGTCAGCTCTTAAGATCAGCCTGACAAGCTGAGGGGAGACATAAAAGTTGATAGAGGCACGGAGATTCAGACTGGGAAAACATTTTGAAATGTAGGACGGAAGAGAACAAAAGTAATTTAGCCGTACCGTAAACAAGCAGAATGAGATGACTAAAGGCAAGGTTGTTTAGATAGTTCACCACCTTTTTTGGTCCACTAAAACATTAATTAAACTCTCTAGGCTTCACCCTTCCTCCCAGGTATTTGCATGTGCAGGCACACATACGCACTTGGCTGGTCGGACTGGCAGTGCACCCGGCCTCTGGTTAGTCGGTCTGTGGTCTCCCCTGGAGCTTAGTACAGCTCAGTCATCTTGTCACCCTCTCTTTCAGGCCCTGGTGGTTTCTTTTCACAGTATACTTCCATAGTTGATTGCAGACAGTGAAGCGTTTGCTGGCTAATACAGTTCGTGTTAATTCCTCAGCTGGCATCTGAAGCACCAGGTGACATATGAATAAGCAACTCTTTTAGGTTGTCAGGCTGGTAAGGAGTAATTAAAAATAGCCTTGGCCAGGTGCAGTGGCTCATGCCTGTAATCCCAGCACTTTGGGAGACCAAGACGGGCAGATCAGTTAAGGTCAGGAGTCCGAGACCAGCCTGGCTAACATGGCAAAACCCCATTTCTACTAAAGATACACAATATTAGGCGACGTGGTGGTGCACACCTGTAGTCCCAGCTACTCGGGAGACTGAGGCACGAGAATCGCTTGAACCCGGGAGGAGGTTGCAGTGAGATCATGCCACTGCACTCTAGCCTGGGCGACAAAGTGAGACTCCACCTAAAAAAAAAAAACTTGAACTACCACCATCAAGATTTCTCATGGGAGAAGTCATACAAAATGAGAAATTGCAATAGCGTCCTTTTCACACCAAACTGAACCCAGCCTAGAACTAATCCTGAAAGAACTAGTCAGGGCAAGCTAAGGCTTAAACAGAAGTAAATATTTTTCTTCTACTCAAAATCAAAGGGTTAGTAAAAGCTTTCAGTAGGAGCACCGTTGGGTTTACTGTGTTAATTACATCAGGATAGTAGCAGTACTTTTCCAGGAAGGTGATACAGATAATAATCTGATCGCTAAACCAAAAAGAATATTCCACAAAAAAACCAAGTATCCTTACTATGAAAAATAATGTGCTGATTTCTCTTTGAAGAACTGATTTGATCTTTGACTTCTCAAACAGCTATAATTTTATTTTTCTCTTTATTTTGCTACTTTTATATCCTTAAATGCTTTTGAATACTATAGTACATATTCACAATTTGGATTTGTTAGACTATTCATATACCTCATATTAAGTTATAAGTCTAATTGTTGTATGTAAGGGAAGCATTATACTTTATGACCTAAGATCTATAGGTTTTCATTTCCTTGAGAAGAATTTGATGCAGCCAGGTGTGGTAGCTCATTGCGTGTAACCTCAGCACTTTGGGAGGCTGAGGTCAGAGGATTGCTTGAGGCCAGGAGACCAGTCTAGGTGACAGAGCGAGACCCTGCCTCTAGAAAATAATAAATGAACTCATGAATTGGATGCCATAACAGTTTAATTGGTTCAAGAGCCTTGCTGTTCAAAGTGCAGTCATCTCTAAGTTTCCATGGGGGATTGATTTCAGGACCCCTGTGGATACCAAAATTCGTGGATGCTCAATTTCCTTATATAAAATGGTATAGTATTTACATATAACCTATGCACATTCTGCTCTATACTTTATTATTATTATTATTATTATTATTATTATTATTATTATTATTATTATTTGAGGCAGAGGCTCACCCTGTCGCCCAGGCTGGAGTGCAGTGGTGCAATCTTGGCTGACTGCAATCTTGGCTGACTGCAACCTCTGCCTCCCAGGTTCGGGCAGTTCTCCTGTCTCAGCCTCCTGAGTAGCTAGGATTACAGGCGGGCACCACCATGCCTGGCTAATTTTTGTATTTTTAGTAGAGATGGGGTTTTGCCATGTTGGCCAGGCTGGTCTCGAACTCCTGACCTCAAGTGATCCTCCTGCCTCAGCCTCCCAAAGTGCTGGGACCCTGCACCTGGCCACTGCTGTATACTTTAAACCATCTCTAGATTACACAATGTAAATGCTATAATGCTATATGCATAGCTGTTACACCATGTTGGTTTTTTATTTGTATTATTCCCGAATGTTTTCTGTTCATGGTTGGTTGAATCTGCCAGCATGGGCCCTGTGGATGTGGAGGGTGAACTGCACAGTCCTTGGATCAATGGTGCCAGCATCACCTAGGAGCTTGTTTACAGATACCTCACTCCAGACCTAGATGAATCAAAATAGCCATTAAAAAAAACTCAGGAGGTGCTTTCTGTGCACACTGAAAAACACTGTTCTGGAGCAGTAGTTGTTTTATTTTAGCTACACTTAAAAATCCCAAGTCAGGTGTTGCGGCACATGCCTATAGTCCCAGCTGTTCAGGAGGCTGGGGCAGGAGGATTGAGTGAGCCTAGGAGCTATGATTAGCTATGATTGTGCTGTGTCCAGAGTTGGTTCCTTCCGGTGGGTTCTTGGTCTCACTGACATCAAGAACGAAGCCACGGAACTTAGCGGTGAGTGTTACAGCTCTTAAAGGTGGTGTGGACCCCCAGGGCGCGGTGGCTCTTGCCTGTAATCCCAGCACTTTGGGAGGCCGAGGCGGGCGGATCACGAGGTCAGGGGATCGAGACCATCCTGGCTAACACGGTGAAACCCCGTCTCTACTAAAAATACAAAAAATTAGCCGGGTGTGGTGGCGGGCGCCTGTAGTCCCAGCTACTCAGGAGGTTAGGAAGGAGAATGATGTGAACCTGGGAGGTGGAGCTTACAGTGAGCTGAGATCCTGCCACTGCACTCCAGCCTGGGTGACAGAGCGAGACTTTGTCTCAAAAACAAAACAAAACAAAAAGGTGGTGCAGACACAAAAGAGTGAGCAGCAGCAAGATTTATTATGAAGACCGAAAGAACAAAGCTTCCACAAAGGGGATGCGAGCAGGTTGCCGCTGTGAGGTGGCCAGCTTTATTCCCTTATTTGGCCCCGCCCACATCCTGCTGATTGGTCCATTTTACAGAGCGCTGATTGGTCCATTTTACAGAACACTGGTGCATTTTTACACAGTGCTGATTGGTGTGTTTACAGTTCTTTAGCTAGACACAGTGCCGATTGGTGCATTTTTACAGAGTGCTGAGTGGTGCGTTTACAATCTTTTTTTTTTTTTTTTTTTGAGACAGAGTCTCGCTGTCTTGCCCAGGCTGGAGTGCAGTGACGGGATCTCTGCTCACTGTAAGCTCCGCCTCCCGGGTTCACGCCATTCTCCTGCCTCAGCCTCCCGAGTAGCTGGGACTACAGGTGCTGGCCACCATGCCCGGCTAATTTTTTGTGTTTTTTAGTAGACGGGACTGCAAGCTCCGCCTCCTGGGTTCTCGCCATTCTCCTGCCTCAGCCTCCCGAGTAGCTGGGACTACAGGCACCTGCCACCACGCCCAGCTAATTTTTTGTATTTTTTAGTAGACACGGGGTTTCATCGTGTTATCCAGGATGGTCTCGATATCCTGACCTCGTGATCCACCCACCTCGGCCTCCCAAAGTGCTGGGATTACAGGCGTGAGCCACCGTGCCCGGCTGTTTACAATCCTTTAGCTAGACACAGAGTGCTGATTGGTGCGTTTACAGTACCACTGCACTCCAGCCTGGGCAACAGAGCAAGAACTTGTCATTCATTCATTAGTTCATTCATAAATAGTAATTAATAAAATAAAATCACATAGGAGTAATAAATAAAATAAAATCACATATTATGCCTGAGTCCCATGCCCAGAGACTTAAAAAAAAAAAAGAAAAGCCGGGGGTCGGGGGCGGTGGGGGGCTTTAGTTTACTCATTAGGATCTAAAAAGTTCTCCGTGGCAGTTTTAGTGTGCAGCCAGGATTGAGAACAATTGTTCAGAGCCCTGTTGTCCAATGTATTAGCCACTGGCAGCTGTGTAAGTTTACCTTAAATAAAATGTAAAGATTAGTTCTCTAGCCATGGTAGCCACATTTCAAGTGTTTTTTTTTTGTTTGTTTGTTTTTGTTTTTAAGTGGCTATGTGGCTCGTGGCTGCTGTGTTGGACAGTGCAAATAGAGAACAGGTACAGGTCCATTAGAGCAATTTCCATCTTAATACTTTGAGATAATGTTGGGTAACAATTTTTTAGAGAGTTTTAAGGAATGGATTTACACTATTTTTAAATAGTTTTCCGGAGAAAATACAAATAGATATTTAGGTACTGGGAGATGAATAGACTGCCGGTAACGTCTGTATTTTAAATTCCTTTTCATGTCAGATAATAATCACTATACTTTTACCACATGTAATTAGCTCAAACGAGAAGGATGTGAGATGTGTGTACTACACATCCATGACTAAAAACTGGTTGGATATGACTACTTTCAGCAAATTAAACAGGTGGGCTAGTAGGAACAATCAGGGCAGATTAGTTGATATAAATAGTCTAGTTTCAACTTTGTTGTGTTATAATTCTTTTATCATTAAGTTTTTGTAAATATAATTAATATAATTTATCGTATATGATGCATGGAAAGAAGTAATGTAATGGAAGATAACTTTGACATCAACTAGCAGTAGTTGCCTCCATTTGTTATGTGACCT
This sequence comes from Homo sapiens, assembly GCF_000001405.40. NCBI lineage: Eukaryota > Metazoa > Chordata > Mammalia > Primates > Hominidae > Homo > Homo sapiens. The sequence goes on from NC_000022.11 coordinate 17,448,479, forward strand.
TTGGTTTTTCCTGATGAATTCCCATTTTTGCATTTATCTCATAGTATTGCTGAGGATTAATGAAATTGTTTACATAAAGCCCTAAGTCACTGCTTTCTACACGGTTGATTTTCCATAAGAGACAGCCCACATTATCAGCAGTGTATTTATACTTTGGGACCTAAATAGTGATCCTCTGGCCCCATCCGTTGCTGTTTTCCTTTGTCCAGCTTAAGTCTACGGTCTTTTGTGTTGATTCCTTATTGCCAAATCAGTCACCTTTCATCTTGAACTCTGTAGCACTTAAATGTAATAGTGGATCCTTCCCTCCATCCTGGATTCCCAGATGCCGTCCTCCTAATACTGTCAGGCCTTCTGTTCTTCTTTCTCCTTTTCAGATTCCTCTTTTTTATTTATTTATTATTTATTTATTTTTTTTGGAGATGGAGTCTCGCTCTGTCGCCCAGGCTGAGGTACCGTGGCACGGTCTGGCTCACTGCAGCCTCTGCCTCCTGGATTCAAGTGATTCTTTTGCCTCAGCCTCCCGAGTAGCTGGGACCACAGGCGGCAACTACCATGCCCGGCTAATTTTTGTATTTTTAGTAGAGATGGGGTTTCACCATGTTGGCCAAGCTGATCCTGAACTACTGACCTCAAGGGATCTGCCTGCCTCTGCCTCCCAAAGTGCTGGAATTACAGGTGTGAACCACCACGTCCCACCTCTTTTATCCCCCATTTAAATGATAATGTTCTTTTTTCGGCCCAGAGTGGTAAAACCTCTGAAACTGTAGCAGAGGACCGTGGCTTGAATACAAACTCTGCCTCCCGTGCTTTATACTTCTTACTGGATGCTGTCACCTGTTTGTCTGTTTCTCGGACACTTAGGGAAAACCCAGACTCACACACCAGCTGTTCCACCTGTCTGTACTGTCTTGGTAATTGGCACCACTATTCACCTAACTAAGACAGGGTCTCAGGAGTTCTCCCATTTTTTTCAGCTCCGCACATCTAATTGGTAACCAGTTCTTTTTTTTTTTTTTTTTTTTTTTTGAGACAGAGTCTTGCTCTGTCGCCCAGGCTGGAGTGCAGTGGCATGATGTTGGCTCACTGCAAGCTCTGCCTCCCAGGTTCACGCCATTCTCCTGCCTCAGCTTCCCGAGTAGCTGGGACTACAGGCGCCCGCCACCACGCCCGGCTAATTTTTTGTATTTTTAGTGGCGACGGGGTTTCACTGTGTTAGTCAGGATGGTCTCGATCTCCTGACCTCGTGATCTGCCCGCCTCGGCCTCCCAAAGTGCTGGGATTACAGGCGTGAGCCACCACGCCCAGCCCAACCAATTCTTATTTCTTAACATTTTTGACCTGTTCTGTACTTCAGTGTCTGGACACTTGCAATGGTCTGATAAGTTTTTCCCCCGGAAATGTCAGTCACTCCAGTCTAGGCCCACAGGGCACTGAGTGATGCTTCCTTTCACACATGTAGCCACAATCCTATCAGGTGTGGTTCCTTGAGGACAAGGATCTTGTCCAGGCTGCAGCATGCCAGCTAAATGAATGAGTAAACTGATGGTATCCCCAAACGCAGCAGTTTGGTAATAAACAGATTATTCTGGGTTTAAGGAATGAGAACAGTAAATAGCAAGTGGGAGTAGTTGAACTTGCCCTTTTAGCCTTCTGAATGTCCTCTCCTTTTCTAACAGGGAATCTGAACAGTCTTAAGTTTTGAATATATATGGAAATAGTTTAGATTCATTTGAGGAAAAGTAATTTGTTGTCATTTAAAATTAGGTTTTAATGGGAAAAAGTAATATATTAACTTTTTGTTGTTGTTTTAGATGGAGTCTCACTCTGTCGCCAGGCTGGAGTGCAGTGGCGCAACATCGGCTCACTGCAACCTCTGCCTCCCGTGTTCAAGCGATTCTCCTGCCTCAGCCTCCTGAGTAGCTGGGGCTATAGGTGCATGCCACCATGCCCGGCTAATTTTTGTATTTTTAGTAGAAACAGGTTTTTGCTATATTGGCCAGGCTGGTTTCAAATTCCTGACCTCGTGATTCTCCTGCCTCGGCCTCCCAAAGTGCTGGGATTACAGGCGTGAGCCCACCTCACTTAAAACATTGAAACAGTATAAAACCTATGCAGTGAAAAGATCTCCTGGTTAACCTATCTTTCCACAAATAATGTGTGCGTATACAACCATTATCTGTGTGGATGTACTTCCTTCTATTTAATAATAGTACATTACTCCATCAGTCTGGTTTCCCCAACCTCTAATCCAGTTTTATCCATTATCATAAATGGCATCTTTCAACTGAAATTTTGCCCACACAAAAACCTTAGTCTTCCTAGCTTTCTGCTTTTCTTTCACCTTGCTCCTTACCACTTACTGTTGATTTTGCTGTCAGCACAGATCTTGTATCTCATCCCTGCTGCTACTCTAGTCCAGACCATCCTCATCTCATACCTGGATTATTACAGTTCTCTACTCACTGGTCCCTCTGCTTTTCGTTGCACCTTCTATTCCATGCACTAGCAGCAGCTAGAGTAATGAACGTGTCAGAGCCTGACCTGCTTATAAGCGTTCCCACTCCGTGTCAAAGAGGACAGACTTGGTGCCATGGTTTACACATCCACCTCTGTGATTTGCCCCCTGCCAGCTTCATCTACCTGAAAGAAAGAAGCTGAGACAAAATTGATTTAAGTAGAGAGTTCAGGTGGGCCAGGCTTGAGGCTGGCAGCCTAGGGGCATAGACTCAAGTTGCCTTGAATCTTCACTTCAATTGGCAGCCATTACAGGTAGATTTTTAAAGGTGAAAAGGGAGACAGGGAGTGGGACTGATACAAAGTGGTTTGTCAGGAATTCTTTTTGGCTTACAAAAATAACTGATTAGGGATTGGTTGTACATTGTGTGGTGAAGGTAGCATTACTAGGTTAATTTATATGAATACCTACTTGTGGCTATGGCAAGCAGTTTCGAGATGAATGCATAGCTCAAGGGGAAGCTAGGACGAGATTGCAATCTCATTTTAGTGCCTCTCTGGGCCTGAAAATTTAGAAGGACTCACATTCCTCAGATAAGAGTTCTTTTCTTTTCTCAGTTCCATGGGGCTTGCTCCATTCCAACCTCACAGGATTCTTCCGTTCCTCCGAGCACCAGAGCCCAGGGCTTTTCAACGGTGGTTTCCTTTGCCTGGAAAGTTCTTTCCAGTGTATGGCTGGCTGCTTCACATCCTGAAGGTCTCAAATTAAATATCATTGCAGCAAAGCATCCTTCACCAGTTACAACTCAAATTACCCAAATTATTTGCATTAAAATCCATTAGGGATATAGCAGTGAGCCAGAGTTCCTACCTTTGGTGTATATGAACTCCATGGCATTCCATAGCTATTTTTTACTTCAAAGAAAAAGAGTAAGATAAATCATACAACTGTCTCAAAATAATGGGAGTTTTAGCTTGACAAAACAAACGTGAAGGACTTGAGGCCTGTTAGTGGACTGACAGGAAGTTCAGTGGGCCTGATGTAAGTCAAGGGAAATAGTAGGAATTAGTACCCTAAGTTGTGGGACGTCAGATCGCTTAGGACCTTCCAAGCTATGATAGAAGTTTGAATGTTATTTTTATTTATTTATTTTTGAGACAGGGTCTGGCTCTTTCGCCCAGCCTGGAGTGCAGTGGCACAATCTCTGCTCACTGCAACCTCCACCTCCTGGGTTCAAGTGATTCTCCTGTCTCAGCCTCTGGAATAGCTGGGATTACACGTGTGAGCCACCACGCCAGACTAATTTTTGTATTTTTCGTAGAGACAGGGTTTCACCATGTTCTTCAGGGCTGGTCTCGAGCTCCTGGCCTCAAGTGATCCACCCGCCTTGGCCTCCCAAAGTGCTGGGATTACAGGCGTGAGCTGCCACTCCAGGCTGAATTTTATTCTGAGTAGTGGCAGTCTTTTTTAAAAGGATCCCTCTGGTATGTGTGGAGAGAATAGACCATCAAGTATAAGAGGGAGAATAGGGGAAAAAATGTGGTAGTGGAGGTAGAGGTAGTGAAAATCAGTCTCTTGAAGGTGGATTTGCTGGACTGGGATATGGCGTGAGAGAGAAGAGTTAAGGTGATACCAAAGCTTTTGAGCTGAGTAGCTGAAAGAATGGAGGTGCAGGTACCATTGACCGAGATGGGGAAGACTAAGGGAGGAATACTTGTGGAGTGAGTGATATCTGTATTCGGGTTTTGGAAATAGTAAATTTTATATTTTTATTAGGCATTGGTCATTGAGTAGGAAGCTGGGTATATACAGTCTAGAGTTCTAAGCAGGGAAGGTAATTTTTGGAGCCTTCAGAGTATAGCTGGTTCTTCAAGCGCTGAAGAAGGGTGAGATCACTAGGGAGGGAGGAAGGAGCTATAAAAGAAAGAGGTCACTCATCACATCTTACACACTTTTTAAAACCTTGGTTTTTTAATGTCCGTGTTCCTCATTAGCAGTAAGCCCTGTGGAAGCAGGAGTCTTTCTCATTGACCACCATGACAAGACCCTATTTATGAAACATAATAGACACACAAATGTTTATCGGATATTTATTGAAATATAGGAATTTTTCCCCTCACACCTCATGACCACATTCTGGTACATTGTATGAATGAATATACCATAATTTTACCTATGGCTGTATATTTAGGTCTTTTCGTGCAGGCTATAAAAATATGTATGGGCCGGTCACAGTGACTTACGCCCGTAGTCCCAGAACTTTGGGAGGCCGAGGCGGGTGGATCACCTGAGGTCGGGAGTTCAAAACCAGCCTGACCAACATGGAGAAACCCCGTCTCTGCTAAAAATACAAAAATTAACTGGACACGGTGGCGTATGCCTGTAATCCCAGCTACTCGGGAAGCTGAGGCAGGAGAACTGCTTGAACCCAGGAGGCGGAGGTTGTGGTGAGTCGAGATTGCGCCATTGCACTCCAGCCTGGGCAACAAGAGCGAAATTCCATCTCAAAAAAAAGAAAAAAGTATGACTGTATTTAGAGTAGTATGTGGATTTGAAAAATTAATAAGTGTTGCCAACTTACCTTAGGGTTTATACCATTTATGAGGGTGTCGGTTTCCTTAAAATTTGGCCAGTACATGATGATCTAATTTACATCTAGAATAGTTTATTACTGTATATAAAAAGGATACATCAACCCTAAATTCTCCTTCCCATTAATGATACCAACATGACTGGCACAAGAATTATATTTTGGTTTTAGAAACTTTTCCTTGATAGGAATTTTATACTTTGATAAGTTTTGTCTGAAATTTCACATTCCTGAAAACTTTAAATGAGTGAAGGTCATGTAAGAGTTGTGTCTGGGCTTCATGGCAGAACTGCTGACGAGCGTACCCTTTCTGCAGAAAGTATAAAAATGGCCTTGCTGAGGAAATTAAATTTATGTTCAAGTGCTATTTCTTTATGGCACCGGGAAACAAGCATTTCAAACAGCTGGAAATGGTCAGAGTGGTCATAAAGAGTTTGTGTTAAGAATGGTTACTTAGGTGCCAGGTGTCAGCCTGTCCAAGTGCTGGCTTTGCCACTTACCAGCACTGTACACTCAGAAGTGCACCTCTGTCTTTTTTTACCTTATTTGTAAAATGGACCAGTGCATGTAAAGAGTTTAGCACAGTGTGTAGCACATAAGAGCTCAATACAAATTAGTTAGTATTAGCCAGGTGTGGTGGCCCATGACTGCAGTCCCAGCTACTCAGGAGGCTGAAGTGGGAGGATTTCTTGAGTCCAGGATTTTGAGGCTGCAATGAGCCATGATCGCACCACTGCACCCCAGCCTGGATGACAGAGTGAGACCCTGTCACAAAAACCTGCAGCTGGCCAGGCGTGGTGGCTCATACCTGTAATCTCAGCAGGTATGAGGGATTTGGGAGGCTGAGGCGGGTGGATCCACGAGGTCAGGAGATCAAGACCATCCTGGCTAACACAGTGAAACCCCATCTCTACCAAAAATACAAAAAATTAGCCAGGTGTGGTGGCGGGCACCTGTAGTCCCAGCTACTCGGAAAGCTGAGGCAGGAGAATGGCATGAACCTGGGAGGCGGAGCTTGCAGTGAGCTGAGATCGCACCACTGCACTCCAGCCTGGGCGACACAGCGAGACTCCGTCTCAAAAAAAAAAAAAAAACCCTGCAGCTGGGCAGGTCTGAGTCAGCAGGGAGAAAACAGGTCTGTTGCCCTTGATGAGCCTGTACAAATACATATTAGTATCTTATGAATGTGACACAAAGAGAAAAAGCCTAGGCCTTGTTATTTACAAACTGCAGATTCCACAAAGTTTTAATTTTAAGCATACCAATCTGACCATTTCCAGCTGTTTGAAATGCTTGTTTCCTGGTGCCATAAAGAAATAGCACTTGAACATAAATTTAATTTCCTCAGCAAGGCCATTTTTATACTTTCTGCAGAAAGGGTACACTCACCAGCAGTTGTGCCATGAGAGTACACCGAACAAAGGAGACAGGGTCATTTATAACCTGACACGTCCACCCTACTGCTGTGTCCGGTTTCCATTGGCTGGAACAGGACCTCACATTCTGTATTTGTCCCGATTGGCTAGCAACTTAGAACTTTTAAAAAGAGGCAAAGGCAGAGGAGAACAAAGGAAGGAGGAAGTAACTTGTGGAATGCTGAGAAAGGTAAAAACACCTTCAAATAAGGAAGAGGAACAGGCTATGACCTAATGCTTGCTTGGACCAGTATAAGCATGCCAGGGCAAATAATTAGGCTAAGTTGTGGGAGCTAAGAACATAAAGTACATTGATTTCTTTATTACGGCTAGCAGATATTTAAGAATGTTAGCACAAGTGTTTGAATAAATTTTGCTTCTAAGAGAAGTTACTATTTATTCCTCCTAATTAGATGGGGAGGAAAGTCTTTGAAGAGGAACCTCTACTTTACTTTTTAAACACAGCTCATCCTAGAACCTTGTCTCTGGCAATCTTCATCTTCCCAGGATTTACACATATTGATCGTTCATCTTTTCTCCTCCCTACTCTCCTGACCCACTTTATAGTTCATGGTCTATCATTATAATGTCTTTCTTGCATATGGCTTGTATTAGGTATCCATTGATGTGTATGGTGTACGCAACTTGGCAGCTTAAAACAGCACACTGTTTTTTGTTTTGTTTTGTTTGTAAGACAGAGTCCCCTCTGTTGCCCATGCAGGAGTGCAGTGGCGCAATCTCGGCTCACTGCAACCTCCATCTCCTGGGTTCAAGCAATTCTCCTGCCTCGCTTTCCCCTCGGGAAACTACAGGCGCACACCAGCACGCCCGGCTAATTTTTGTATTTTTAGTAGAGACGGGGTTTCACCATGTTAGTCAGGCTGGTCTCGAACTTCTGACCTCAGGTGATCCGCCTGGGATTATAGGTGTGAGCCACGGTGCCCAGCCCCAAACAGCACACATTTATGACCTCACACTTTCTGTGGCTCAGCTGCAGTGAAGGTATTAGCTGAGGCTGTGGTCTCATATCAGGGCTCAACTGAGGAGGGATCAGCAGATCCAAAATCATGTGGGTTGTGATACCCACATTTTCTTCTAGTTTTCACCATTGTATTTTAAATATTTAACTATTTAATCCCTGTGATGCATGGTAGAATCAAAACCTCACCCCTACATGTTTAGTCAATTATTATTATTATTATTATTGCAACACACTGAATAGTCTACTGTTGTACCATTGATAAAAATACTATATTCTAAAATGTTATGTATAGTTGAGTTTGCTTTTGGATTTTCCATTCTCTTCCATTTTATTTAATCCCAACATCATAGTTTTAAATCACACTTTTATTATATTTTATAATATGCCGTATTTTCTGGCCATCTTGGTTCCTCTTAGTTTGCAAATTCCTCACAGCCATTCTTCTAAGAGGTGAAAAGGCAATATAGAACATTAAATTTGTTGGAATCAATTTTGTTTTTCTCAAAGTGATCTACTTTTCAGTGCCCTAATAATTTTGTCATTTGTAATTTGAAACAATTTACATTTTTATCTGCAAAAAGCCCTTCAAGTTGGTCACAGTAGTAACTGTTTATTCCACAATTAAAACTGTAATTTTTTTATGGTTTCAGAAAATATGGTAGATATTGTACATCACAAAGTATAATTGAGAAATTCCTGTTTTCCTCAGAAAATTTTCAGAAACATCCCTTTTTTAAAAAAAGAGTAACAACCTTCCTCAAGCACTGGTTTTATATAAGGACAACCAGCTTGTTCTGTCTTGGCCTTGGGGTAAAAGTGCCTTCATTTATTACAGCATCACGATATGGAGATGGACTAAAATAAATTCAGATCTTAGAATAAACAGGTAACAAAAATGTCATTGTGTTGTAGATATATTGTTACTCTTCTACATCTGGGGCCTCATGTGCACTCTTCCATATTAAAAAGAAAGATGAGCAAAAATGTTTTCACACATTTAGAATAAGGGTAGAGTTTCATGTAGTACATGTTTATGTCTCTAATCCTTGTTAATCTCATTTGCTCCCTATCTGGTCAGGTTATTTAATTGGAATTTATATTTACTAGTTTGTTTGTTTGAGACAGAATTTCTCGCTCTTGTTGCCCAGGCTGGAGTGCAGTGGCACTATCTCTGTTCATCACAACCTCCGCCCCCGCGGGTTCAAGCGATTCTCCTGTCTCAACCTCCTGAGTAGCTGGAATTACAGACATACGCCACCACGCCTGGCTAATTTTGTATTTTTACTAGAGACGGGGTTTCTCCACGTTGGTCAGGCTGGTCTGGAACTGCTGACCTCAGGTGATCCACCCGCCTCGGCCTCCCAAAGTACTGGGATTACAGGCGTGAGCCACTGCGCCTGGCCTATATTTACTAGTTTTGTCTTGCTCTCTGTCTAGGCCTTTCTGAACTAATAGGGTCTTGGAATCTAGCTCAATTCTATTTTCTTGTGTGTGATATTTTTGCAATTCATTCATAATACCTTTCGTTAATAAAATTCTATCATTTTGTAAAATTTTTTGAGCTATAGCCTATTTCTTGTCAGGAACTCTTCACTGAGGCATAAGCTCCCCAAGGGCAGGGAGCTTTCTCCATTTTGTCCACTGTATCCCCAACAGCTAGACGGTTGCCTTGCACATGAGTGCTCAGTAAACATTTGTTAAGTATAAACATCCATTTACCATATGACCCAGCGGTTACACTTTTGGGGCATTTATGCCAAAGGAAAAACCTGTAGATGAATACACATAGCGATTTTATTTGCTGTACCTCTCAAGTTGCAAAAACCCAGATGTCCTTCAGTTGGTGAATGCTTAACAAAAGCATGGTACAGCCATTCCATAGACTACTCCTCAGCAATAAAAAGAGATGAAGTATTGATTCATGCAAAAACTGGGAGACATTTCAAGGAAATTGTGCTGAGTGAAAGAAAGCTAATCTTAAAAGCTTATATATGATATTATTTCATTTACATATAACATCATTGAAATAATAACATTATAGAGACAGAGAACAGATTAGTGGTTGCCAAGGATTAGAGATAAGGTGAGAGGAGAGTGGACATAGCTATAAAGAAGTAACACAAGGGAGCCCTGTGGTGATAGCACTGTTCTTCATCTTAATTGTGGGGGTGGCTGCATGACTCAATACATATGATAAAACTGCGTAGAACTGGCCGGGTGCAGTGGCTTACACCTGTAATCCCAGCACTTGGGGAGGCTGAGGCGGGTGGATCACGAGATCAGGAGTTCCAGACCAGCCTGGCCAAGATGGTGAAACCCCATCTCTACTAAAAATACAAAAATTAGCCAGGTGTGGTGGCGGGCGCCTGTAATCCCACCTGCTTGAGAGGCTAAGGCAGAGAATTGCTTGAACCCAAGAGTTGGAGGTTGCAGTGAGCTGAGATTGCACCAATGCACTACAACCTGGGCGACAGAGCAAGTCTCTGTCTCCAAAAAAAAAAAAAAAGCATAGAACCACATAACACACACATGACTGCATGTAAAACTGGTGCAGTTTTAATACGGTGGGTAAAATGGTGCCATTGTGAGTTTTTTTTTTCTTTTTAATATTATAGTTATGTAAGATGTTACCATTGGGGAAATTCTGATGAAGATCACATGGGATTTCCGTATACAGTGTTTATATAACCTATAATTATTTCCAAGTAAAAAGTGTTATTTTTTAAAACAGAATGAATAGTAAAATCTAACAGAAAACACTTAGGTACATATGGATCATGCAAGGAAGAATTAAAGCTACAGGGTTATTATTACCAAATATTCTTGGAAAGCACTGATTTAAAAACAGAGAGTACTTTGCTGACTTTTTTTGTTATGAAGGAGCAGGTTTCTTGAGTTTACTGTTTGTATTACTCTGTGTGTCTAACCTAAGTCTAGGTACTTAGTTTTAAAATACCTTTAAAAGGAGCAAAAAAATCTCACTTCAGGAGCTTTAAAAATTGTGAAGTTAGCACATTTAAATAATAGTGACCTATAGCTTTGTGAAAATGAGTCATTATGAATTACTGTCTACATCAGTTTGAGAAGAAAGCAACTTATACTTGGAAAAAGTAAAAGCGAATCATCCCTTCTTACCCTAAGCACTTCTCTCCCTTCTGATTATTGAGTTACACAAAAGTATTTCAAGGACAGACCAAGGAAGCCTAGATTCCAAAGGATTGATTTTAGTTGTCCGTTGCATATTCCAGTTACAGTAAGAACCTGCAGGGTGATATACTCAGGGCCTAAGGACCCCCAGGGTCATTCTAGGGCTTATATTTTAGAAAAAAGATCCAGAGCAAAGATGCAGTTTCTTTCTTTCTTCCTCTTTTCCTTTGCCCTGCCCGGCCCTGCATCCCAGCCCTGTGTCCCAGCCTAGAGCATAGTGGCATGACCACAGCTCACTGCCTCTGCAACTTCCCGGGTTCAAGCTATCCTCCCATCTCAGCCACCCGAGTAGCTGGGACTACGGTTGAGCGCCACAACGCCCAGCCAATTTTTTGTGTGTGTTTTTTTTTGTTTTTGGTTTTTGTAAAGACAGAGTTTCACCACATTGCCCAGGCTGGTCTTGAACTCCTGAGTTCAAGGGACTCCCCCGGCGTCGGCCTCACAAAGTGTTGGGATTACAGGTGTGAGCCACAGCACCTGCCCAAAGATGCAATTTCATACTACCAAAAATACAGAGAAATAGAAAAAGAGAACAATGAAAGCCACATGCCAAAATTATTATAGTTGCTTCTTTGTAGCCACTTTGCAAACTCCTGAACTTCTTTGTGATGGAAGTCTGTTGTGCATCCTTCACTCTTTGAAAATCTTCAACACAGGAAACCTGGCTTTTCACATGGGTTTTCCAAATATGCAACCTAAAGCAACTGTCTTGAAACAAATTCTTCAGAAGCCTCTTATCCTTTTAACTCCTTAAGCTGAGCATGTAACTTTGTAAGCTGGGTTTATGAAGGGCCACATGTATTTATACCAGTAGCAGCTTAGTATGTGCTGTGCGGGTGTTTCTCAGGGTATTTATTCTACTCCATTGATCTATTTCTTCTCTTCCTCTTCCTTTCTCCAGCTTTCTGAGTAGTTGGGACTACATATTCGTGTAACCATGCCTGGACTTCTTTATTTTTATAACTTCCTCTTCCAGCCCAGAAGGCAGTTTGGTGTCTTTGATAGCCCCTCACCTATGACACCTCTCTGTATACACTTGCAACTTTGAAGTCTTCTCTGAGGTTTCTTCTTTGGAAAAAATTTAGATTTAATTTTCTGAGACAGAGTTTTGCTCTGTCACCCAGAATGGAGGACAATGGCATGATCTTGGTTCACTACAACCTCTGTCTCCTGGGTTCAAGCAATTCTCCCGCCTCAGCCTCCCGACTAGCTGGGATTACAGGTGCGTGCCACCATGCCCGGCTAAGTTTTCTATTTTCAGTAGAGACAGGATTTCGCCATGTTGGCCAGGCTGGTCACTAACTCCTGACCTCAGGTGATCCGCCCGTCTCGGCCTCCCAAAGTGCAGGGATTGCAGGCGTGAGCCACCGCGCCCAGCCTCGATTTGGATTCTTTAGAGGGATTGAAGGTTATTCACATGTGATTCCTGTACTCCCCAGTGACCCAGGTGTCTTGATTCTGGGGCTTCAGTTTCTTGCCCCATCAGTTTTCTCTTCCCCTCTCATTTTAGTTCAGACCTTCAGGTTGACAAGTCTTAGATTGTATGGAGAGTCTCTGCCTCTAGCCAGTGCCTGTCATCCCCGGTATCCTTATGTCCCAGTCGTTGAATCACATTAATAAACACTATCTACACAGCTGCAGCCTATCTTTTCACATCACAGCTTTCTCTCCCACAAAGTGAAACTTCATTTTTGGGGTGTAGGGGAAGGAAATCTCTTATGTTTATATCAAATCTTTATTTTCTTGCCTAGGACTTCATCCTTTCTAGGTCTCTTCTGGGGTTAGCAGCAGTGTTTCATCCCCACAAAAACTAACCAAGTTTGGCTTAGTCTTAGCTGGCCTTTAGTTCCATCCTGGAGACCTGTTTGGGGGTGCTGTGTGTCTCTTTGTAGACCTGTCAATCCTGTGGTTGCTTCCCTAATTCGCAGCATCAGGGAATCACCCATTACCGCGATGGGTTTCCCCGGTCGTGCTGCTCTGCCAGCAGCTGTAGCAGCTCTTATTTGTAGAAATGGGACGTTCTGTTTATTGTAGGTCCTAGTCAATCTGATATGAGGAAAGCTTCTCTTCTCTTTCTCTGTTGGTTCAGAGTTTATTCTTTTTTATCCAAAGCAACTGCTGATACACAACTTACTGATATTAAGTTTGATTCCCACCAGTCTCCTAAAACAATGGTGATTTTTTTTAAGAAAGTTATTTCCTTTATCCTCTTTTAAATATTCTGTTTGTGAGACAGTATTTTTCAAGTCCCATTCTCTTTCAAGTATTCAAAGATGGTGGATGCCTCAGGCAGAAAAATAGATACAACAAACTCCCTATATTTCCCACCCCATCTGTACTTCCTGTTGGGGTTAGGACTCATTTAGAATTTACCATCATTTGCTAGGCACTTTCTCCTGAAACTCCTGGCGAGGAGTTTGATGGCTTTCGTTATCAGTAGACCAATTTATCCAGGTAAAAGCAATTAGCATTCTCCAGTGAGCCCAAGTGTGTGAGCCCTTCTCATGGGCAAGCCTTTGTGCACCAGAATACACAGAAGTCAGTCTTCGTTCCAGATGTTTCCCATGTTTTTCCTCTGCGATGGGATTGGGTGGGAGTGAAGAAACCATGCCTATGACAACAGAAGAAACAACATGAGTCAAGACTGGGAAGTACCCGTTACTTTTTTTTTTTTTTTTTTGAAATGGAGTCTCGCTCTGTCGCCCAGGCTGGAGTGCAATGGCACAACCTTGGCTCACTGCAACCTCCGTCTCCAGGGTTCAAGTGATTCTCCTCCCTCAGACTCCTCAGCAGCTGGGACTACAGGTGCGCACCACCAAACCCGGCTAATTTTTTTATTTTTAGTAGAGACAGGGTTTCACCATGTTGGTCAGGCTGATCTCGAACTCCTGACCTCGTGGTCCACCCGCCTTGGCCTCCCAAAGTGCTGGGACTACAGGCATGAGCCACCATGCTCGGCAGTACCTGTTACTTTTTTAAAGATAAAGATCTTGACCGGGCGCGGTGGCTCACACCTGTAATCCCAGCATTTTGGGAGGCCGAGGCAGGCGGATCACGAGGTCAGGAGATCGAGACCATCCTGGCTAATACGGTGAAACCCTGTCTCTACTAAAAATACAGAAAATTAGCTGGGCATGGTGGCGGGCGCCTGTAGTCCCAGGCAGAGCTTGCAGTGAGCAAAGATCGTGCCACTGCACTCCAGGCTGGGCAACTGAGCGAGACTCCATCTGAAATAATAATAAAAAAAAAAGATAAAGATCTTAAGATAATACTGAGAAGGTGTAGGTTGAGGTCATTTGGGGAGGCTTTGAATGTTAAGTTCAGGATACAGACTTAATCTGATGAATTGCGAGGAGTCTTTGGAGGCTTCTACACGAAAGCAATATTGTCAGAATTGAATTTAAGCAAATTTAATTGGGCAGAGGTTTAGTCTGTATTGGATATGGGGAACCAGTTTGGAAGTCCCGGTGAGAAGTTTAGGTCATCAAAACCTGCCTGTCCTAGGCCAGCTGCAGTGGCTCACGCCTGTAATCCCAGCACTTTGGGAGGCCGAGGCGGGTGGATCACGAGGTCAGGAGTTCAAGACCAGCCTGGCCAAGATGGTGAAACCCCATCTCTACTAAAAATCAAAAATCAGCTGGGTGTGGTGGCGAGCACCTGTAATCCCATCTACTCAGAAGGCCGAGGCAGAGAATTGCTTGAACCTGGGAGGTGGAGGTTGCAGTGAGCCAAGATCGTGTCACTGCCCTCCAGCCTGGGCAACAGATCGAGACTCCGTCTCAAAAAAATTTATTAAATACTCACTGTGGGCAAATACAATTTTGGGGAAACAGCCACAAACCCAAAGCAGACAAAGCTCCTCAAGGGGTTTGCTTAATAATGGTGGAAGACAGAAAATAAATGCATATAATCAATAGCTGGTAGGTTAGTTAGAAAAATAAAGCAGAGTAGAGGGACGAGACAGTGACTGGACCTATAGAAAGTGAGGGAGAGGCTATTCCAGGCAGAACCTAGTGCAGATGCCCCAGCCGGGAGTGCTGAGTGTATCTGAGGAGCAGGTAAGAGGCCAGTATGAGTTAGGGAGGTGATCAAGGATGAGAGTAGTGAGAAGCGATGTTAGCGTGTCAGCAGGAGGCTGACAGGTGAGGTCTTAGAGGTCATATAAACTTTGGATTTAGTTCTAAAGGAGACATTGGTACAAAGGGGTGGAATGCTCTGACTCACGTTTCGAAGGCTCACTAGCTGTTGATATGAGGAGCAGACAGAGAGAAGCAGGGAGTTTGGTGAGGAAGCTTTTAAATGGATGAAGCTCAGACAAATGGGCCATGGAGATGGTGTGAGAAGAGAGGGGTTTCTGAATCTCTTTTGAATATAGTCATCAGGATTTGTTAATTGACTAGATGTGAAAAGAGAGAAAAAGGGAAGAGTCAAGGATGCCTCAATTTTTTGCTGGAGAAATATGCCATTTACTGAGACTGGGGAGTTAGAGGGAATCAGGTTTGAAGAGGTGAGATCCAAAGCTCGGTTTGGTTCTGTTAAGTTTGCGCTGCCTGTTTGACATTCATTGCTGACGTCGGGGACGGGCACTGGGATAAGGGGACTCCGGAGTTGAGGAGAGGTGGGGGGGTGTAATGAGAGCCAGCCTAATCGATGGGATTTTGAGCCATGATGCTGAAAGAGCTATCAAGAGTCAGTGGGTGTAGAGCAGAAAGGGAAGCAAGAGCAGGGAAAAGAAGAGGTCCAAGGGGTGGTTCTCCAGCAGTAGAGTTGGAGGGCTAGGGTGAGGAAAACAGCAAAGATGGAAAAGAAATAGCAGTGCGGTGGTGGGTGGGTGTGTCCTGAAAGCCAGAGAAGAAATTATTTTAAGATAGAATCAACTTAAATGCTGCTTTTAAACTTAGTATGATGGAGGCTGAGAACCATTTGTTAAATTTGGCTTGGTTGCAGTACAATGGTGGGAATGAAAATTTGTTTGCATCACTAATACTGGCATTAAGATTTTGTATAGAAGTTTTTGTTACCATCTCTGAGGCTTCAGTCATTTTAATGAAGTTTCACTAGTGAACTGCTTCATCAGTTGAGACAGGTAATTGCTTAGGCAGGAATTTCTTCTCTTTAGGCCAACTGATGAAATTTCTTACTAGTATCAAGTTTAAAAAGGTGTCCACATAATTAAAAGAAAACTCCTAGTTCTTAAATTGTCAAAGAAGTGGCCATATTCTCCCTGCTGCTTATCTCTGACGAGTAGGGGTTTGACAGAGGGCATCTTTGCTCTGCCACCCCTCACTGTCTTGGCCCAATTCAGTTAATATTGGCAGCTACCAACATTTGTTATGCTTATTACATTTTTAAGGAATAAAAGTCTTTTTTTTCTTTTGAGGCAAGGTCTCTCTCTTCTCTGCTTGGTCGTTCAGACTGGAGTACAGCGGCATGCTCATAGCTCACTGCAGCCACAAACTCCTGGGCTCCAGCAGTCCTCCCTCTGCAGCCTCCTGAATAGCTTGGACTGCAGGCACGCACCACCATACCTAGCTAATTAAAAAAATTTCTTTGTAGAGATGAGATCTCACAAAGTTGCCAGGCTGGTCTTAAACTCCTCGACTCAAGCAGTCCTCCCACTTCAGTCCCCCAAAGCACTAGGATTACATCCATGAGCCATTGTGCCCAGTCCAGAACTTCCTTTTGAAGGAAAGTATTGATGTGCAGTTTTCGAGAGCACGTCAGCCTCTCTATTAAGTTTTTCAATGTACTTCTGATAGTATTTTCTGAAAATTTTTCTAAGTCACAATTTCTAATTCACTTGACAGTTGGGTATTTGACCTATAGGTAGGTGCACATTCATGATCATTAAAACATCAATATTTAAATTTTTTTTTTTTTTTTTGAGACGAAGTCTCGCTTTGTCGCCCAGGCTGGAGTGCAGTGGCGCGATCTCAGCTCACTGCAAGCCCCGCCTCCTGGGTTCACGCCATTCTCCTGCCTCAGCCTCCCGAGCAGCTGGGACTACAGGCGCCCACCACCACGCCCGGCTAAGTTTTTGTATTTTTAGTAAAGACGGGGTTTCACCGTGTTAGCCAGGATGGTCTTGATCTCCTGACCTCGTGATCCGCCCGCCTCGGCCTCCCAAAGTGCCGGGATTACAGGTGTGAGCCACTGCACCTGGCCAAATATTTCTATTTAAACTGTTTTTGTGTTTTATTTTGTTTTTTGTTTTTTTGAGACCTAGTCTCACTCTGTCTCCCAGGCTGGAGTACAGTGGCACAGTCTTGGCTTGCTGCAATCTCCACCTCCTGAGTTCAAGTGATTCTCATGCCTCAGCCTCCCTAGTAGCTGGGATTACAGGCATTCACCACCTGTTTTTTTCCTTTTTTTGAGACAGAGTCTTGCTCTGTCACCCAGGCTGGAATGCAGTAGTGCATTCTTGGCTCACTGCAACTTCCACCTCCTGGGTTCAAACGATTCTCCTGGCTCAACCTCCTGAGTAGCTGGGATTACAGGTGCGTGCCACCATGCCTGGCTAATTTTTGTATTTTTAGTAGAGACGGGGTTTCACCGTCTTGGCCAGGCTGGTCATGAACTCCTGACCTCGTGATCCCCCCGCCTCAGCCTCCCAAAGTGCCAGGATTACAGGCGTGAGCCATCACGCCCAGCCTAATTTTTGTATTCTTAGTAGAGACAGGGTTTTGCCATGTTGGTCAGGCAGGTCTTGAACTCCTGTCCTCAAGCAATCCACCTACCTCGTCCTCCCAAATTGCTGGGATTACAGGCATGAGCCACTGCACCCTGCCTAAAGTGATTTTAATAATGAGAATACAACACGTGTTATTGAATCCTCAGAGCATTTATTGAACATGGTAAAGTAACTACCCCCCGCTCCTTTATTTATTTATTTATTTATATTATTATTTTGAGACAGAGTCTTGCGCCATCACGCAGGCTGGAGCGCAGTGGTATGATCTCGTCGGCTCACTGCAACCTCCGCCTCCAGGGTTTAAATTTTTAGTAGAGACAGGGTTTCGCTATGTTGGCCAGGCTGGTCTTGAACTCCTGGTCTCCCAAAGTGGGAATACAGACATGAGCCAGAGCGCCTGGCCTTCCGCTCCTTTTAAAATGGATTCAATCAAGTGACCTCTGTAAAAATCCATAACCTGTATTGATTGAGGTTGGTTTCAGGCTATTTATTGTCGTTTCCCTCATTTCTTTAAGCAAATTTCTGTTACTCAAAATTAAAACAATTGAATGAGCATCTTAGAAGAAACTTTCTAAGCATTTGGATTCAAGGTAACTCTATTTTGTGAGAGAGAATTACACTGAAAACCCTTTATGTCAGCCCATAGTTTAGTTATCTGTAAAATGATGCCATTAATACCTACTTTGAAGAGTTTTGTGCAGAGTAAATAAGCCAAAGAATGGAAACCTGGTATCTGTCCCCAAGATGGTAACCACTATTGTTACTTAAAACCTTGCCTTTTTTTTTTTTTTGAGAAGGAGTCTTGCTCTGTTGCTCAGGCTGGAGTGCAGTGGCACTATCTCAGCTCACTTCAGCCTGCACCTCCCGGGTTCAAGCAATTCTCCTGCCTCAGCCTCCTGAGTAGATGGGATTACAGGCGCGTGCCACCATGCCTGGCTAATTTTTGTATTTTTAGTAGAGACAGGGTTTCACATGTTGGTCAGGCTGGTCTCGAACTCCTGACCTTGTGATCCTCCCGCCCCGGCCTTCCAAAGTGCAGGAATTACAGGCGTGAGCCACTGCACTTGGCCAAAACCTTTCATTTTTTTCCTTTACATTCAGTGTTTCTCTCTTCCTCGTTCCCGTATGTGCTTTTGCATGGCTATGCTGCAGTAACAAGCAGTCCTAGAAGCTCAGTACTTAGCAGCCACAGAAACATCGGGGGAGTGTTCATAAAGTTTTTCCAGATCAGCTGTTGACTCTGCGCTTTCTGTCTTCCTTCCGCTGTCTAGATTAAAGGAGCAGTTCCTATTTGGGATAAGGGGAAAATAGCTATACTTGAACAGTGTGATAATCTTTTAAGCTTCTGCTCAGAGGTGGCATATGTCACTTCACTCATATTTCATTGACCAGAACATTTTCATAAGCAAGCCATAGGAACAAGTCTGATGTCAGTGATGATGGGCAGCATAATCCTCTTATGAGAAGCCAGTGAACAATCGGAACACGTGTGAGATCTCTCTCAGCTGGGTGACTCGCTTTGAGGAACGTATCTGTAGATGCCATGAAACCCTTAGGACAGGACTTGGGTGAGCATCACAGTGATAACAAAGGGGAGGGACTGAGATCCAGTGCTTACTTCCCGAGCAGATTCCTCAATCTGGCTGATAATCAGATTCACCTGGGGCACTTTTTAAAAGGTCCCGGGTGCGGTGGCTCACACCTGTAATCCCAGCACTTTGGGAGGCCGAGGCTGGCAGATCACAAGGTCAGGAGTTCAAGACCAGCCTGGCCAACATGGTGAAACCCCGTCTCTACTAAAAATACAAAAATTAGTCGGGCATGGTGGCAGGTACCTGTAATCCCAGCTACTTGGGAGGCTGAGGCAGGAGAATCATTTGAACCTGGGAGGCGGAGGTTGCAGTGAGCTGAGATCATGCCATTGCACTCCAGCCTGCACAACAAAAGCAAAACTCAGTCTCAAAAAAAAGAAAGAAAGAGAGAGAGAGTGGAGACTAAACCAGTCCAAGGGAGCTGGCTTCTGCTTTCTCTTCTACACTACCCCATGGGTCATCAGAAAGAGAACTGCTGAGAATTCACACGATCTTTTGAGACCATGAGCTGATGTGAAATGTGTTCTGTTTTTGCATATATGGTCTGTATACTGTCCCAGAAACAGTTTCCTAGAAGACAGTCATTAGTTAGGTCCTTCTTGGTAGAAGGAGAGGGCAGTCGTCTTTTGTAGCCCCTTAAACGGGGCTTGTCTTTTGTTTTTGCTATGGAGGTACTTAAAATACAAAAGGTTTGTGGAAGATAACAGCAGGTGCCTGTGTTAAGAAAAAGGGATTTGTGGAAGAAAGGGGAGTATGCCCTTTGTTGTTGTTTAAGCATCTTACTGAAAATAAGTAATATGTGGGCTCATGTTTTGGGCTCTTTCAAGGTGTCTAAAAGGAAATGGGGATACTAGGGAATAAAAGAAAGTTGTTTCAGTCCCTGCCCCCTCATTTCTGTGTAATCTGTGTCTTGCTCTGTTGTGATTGTGTTCAAGTCACCAAGTCTGGCCCTCACCTTTGTAGGTTTAAGATGTTAACTATATTGCCCAGGTGTGGTGGCTCACGCCTGTAATCCCAGCACTTTGGGAGGCTGAGGCAGGAGGATTGTTTGAGGCCAGGAGTTGAAGACCAGCCTGAGCAACATAGTGAGATCCTGTCTCTACAAAAGATTTTTTTTTAATTAGCAGAGTTTGTTGGTGCATGCCTGTAGTCCCAGCTACTCAGAGGTTGATGTGGATCACTTGAACCTGGGAGGTCTAGGCTGCAATGAGATCATACCACTGCATTTCAGCCTGAGCGACAGAGCAAGAACCCTGTCTCTCCAAAAAACCAGCAACCCCCCGCCCCATGATGACCATAGGTCCCAAGTCTCAGAATTATATTTCATGTATTTAAAATTGGATATGTAACCGTCTTAGTCCATACTGTTTTGCCGTAACAAAATATCACAGACTGAGTAATTTATAAAGAAATGTATTTCTCGTAGTTCTTCAGACTGGGAAATTCAGTATCAGAGTGCCAGCATCTGGTGAGGGCTGTTGTGTGGCACCTTGTCATCCCATGGCGGGAGGCAGGAGGACAAGAGAAGGTGAGAGAAGTGGGCAAGATGGCAAAACTCACTTTCATAAGGAAATCACTTTCTTGATAACTACCCCACTCCCCAGATGGCATTAATCCATTCAGAGCCCTCCTGACCCAATCACCTCTTGTTAGTGATTATACAGAAAATTTTATGTACAATTTCAGTGTGTGTGTGTGTCTGTGAGTGTGGTAGGTTCCTGTGATTGAATCAATTCAATCAGCTCAGCATCTTATGGACCTGTGATAGTGGGAAGCTACACAAGCAGAAAGGCAGCTGTGGCATCTGAAGGCATACCATGTGCCAGGCTCTGTGTTATGTGCTGACCTCACCTCCCTACACTGTTGCATTGGGGATTAGTTTTCTAGTATTTGAATTTTGGGGGACACACTGAGACCAGCAGTACTTTTCATGGTCCTCACGTTTACCTGCCATTCAACACACACCACCCTTCTAATACTAGGAGTTGAGAATTAGAAGGGGAAGAATTAGTTTCGACGGGGTCATTTCTCCCAGGGCTGATAAAGTATTCTTGGCCCGCGACAGCGCGTCATCACTGTCTCTCCCCAAGCAGGGGGGATGATTACTGCCAGTTTTTATCTTGGGACCTCTTTCCCATGATGGACAGCATACAGCGCATCCTCTTTTGATGATAACATTGTTTTTTTTTTTTTTTTCCAGTAAGAATCCAGTTCTCTTTTCTTCATTATAATCCTACCCAGGCTGTTCCTAATTGTCCTACCTTTCCAGATTTCTTCTTGATTGGATTTCAAGCATATCTGGAAATCTTCATTCACACGTTCACCTTAGCATTTCTTCCTTGGCGGTGACCTGCATGTTGCTGGAGTCCTGTGCTGTTGCCCTCTTCTCTTGCATGCCTGCTGGCATTTCAGCTGGCCTTTCAGCTATTGCTGTCCTCATAGCAGCATGCCTCTGCCGTGGCGTCCATCACATTGCATGGAAAAGGTTACTGGTTTTTTGCCTGTCCTCCCTCCTAGATCTTTGCTATTTGAGGGCAGGGTCCTCTTTTTCTTCTTTGTGTCCCCAGCACATAACAGAGCCTGGCACATAGTATGCCTTCAGATGCCACAGCTGCCTTTCTGCTCGTGTGGCTTCCCACTATCACAGGTCCTAAGATGCTGAGCTGATTGAATTGATTCAATCACAGGAACCTACCACACTCAAAGACACACACACTGAAATTATATATAAAATTTTCTGTGGGCCAGGCATGGTGGCTCACGCATGTAATCCCAACACTTTGGGAGGCTGAGGCAGGCAGATCATTTGAGGTCAGGAGTTTGAAACCAGCCTGACCAACATGGTGAAACCCCATCTCTACTAAAAATAAAAAAAATAGCTGGGCATGGTGGTGCACGACTGTAGTCCCAGCTACTCGGGTGGCTGAAGCTGGAGAATTGCTTGAACTTAAGAGGTGGAGGTTGCAGAGACTCCGTCTCAAAAAAAAAAAAAAAAGAAAAAAAAATTCTGTCTATGCACATTTTCATTATTCTTACACAGGAGACCAGGACACAATCATGTAAGAGCAACCAGACCTAGAACATCGAAAGATGAAGTCCCACGTTAAACTTCTAGGACCTTATCTCTGGCATCACTCACCATCCCCCTACCTTTTATCTCCCCTATTTCTGTTTATCCGTTAAAGATACTATAATCTTTTCTTTTCCTGGACAGGATTAAAACTTAACTAAAATTTTCCTTGTCCGTTTTTCTCCACCTGCAGTTAGTTGCAAAACCCTTACTGACTGTGTGTCTGAAACTGTTCTTTCATAATTTCTTTCCATTTCCACTGTCATTTCTAGCACTGGCCCCGTCACCTCTTCCCAGACTAGACCAGGGTTCTTCTCACCCTCCAGTCTCTCTCCCTAACTAACAGTGTGTTCTGCAGACCACATCCAAATTAACCTTCCAAGTTTGATTATTCTTTCTTTTCTTTGTTCAAAAGTCTTTGGTGACTCCCCAGTACTTAACACAATTTCCAACTAATTCAGCAGTGATCTCCTAGTAGCAAGAGAATGATGACTCCAAACCTCAGAGGCCTGGAGCTGTATTCCAAAGCAGCTCTGAACATAAATTCTCTAATGACATCTCCCATTTTATCTGTAAGAGTCATGCAAGTATTTAAGGTAAAAATATCATCCCAAACAACAAGCAACAGCAATACAAAGTCAAAGTAAAACTCTAGGAACCTGTGCCATTTTTACCCTGTGGCTTTTTATATTCCAGCCACACACCGTGGAACCCAGGGAACACTCACATCCTAATTGGAAAATTGGGTCTAAGCGATGAAGTCCAGATGATTCCATCTGGTATCTGAGGCTGTCTGTGGTCAGCTGCGAACCTGCTTTTCCAGATTTTGTCTCTGGCCATGCTTGTCCAGTATACTAGTCACCTAGTATAATTGTTCTAGTCACCTAGGAAATTGTGTTAGGTACTGGAAGACACCAAAGACTTTTGAACAAAGAAAGGATAATCAAAATGGATTAAACAAACCTAGAGCATGTTGCATAGTTTCCAACTTTCGCAGTGCTCAGGAATTGTTAATATGAGTGTGGGGTTTTTTATTGTTGTTGTTGTTTGTTTGTTTGTTTGATTGTTTCTGAGACACTCTGGCTCTGTCGCCCAGGTTAGAATGCAGTGGGTGTGATCTCGGCTCACTGCAACCTCTGCCTCCCGGGTTCAGGCGATTCTCCTGCCTCAGCCTCCCCGGTAGTTGGGATTACAGGCACCCGCCACCACTCCTGGCTAATATTTGCATTTTAGTAGAGACAGGGTTTCACCATGTTGGCCAGGTGGGTCTCGAACTCCTGACCTCAGGTGATCCACCTGCCTCAGCCTCCCAAAGTGCTGGGATTACAGGTGTGAGCCACCACGCCTGGCCATATGGACATTTTTTATGGGAGAAGACTCATGGAACTTCTTCTTAGCCTTTTTTAACTTCTGGAGACAGTTTTAGTAATTCACACATTTTCAGAAAACCCTATTCTAGATTTACACATATATTGGTATAATTAGTATTTTCCAGTTAACCTAATATTTAGAGTTGTAGTCATATTTGAGGGGAGGAGCTATTTTGGTTTCCTTTCTGTGTTACTCAGCATCGAGCCAGTGACACAGCTGTTTGATGCAAGGCTGAGAGGAATGACATGGTTCCAGCAAAGCAGCAACACGGACCTGGCCAGCCTTTGGGGACTCCTGGGATCCATCTCTTGGCCAACTGAAAGTGTTATGTAGCTGGTTTCAGGTCCCTCACCATTATACCCACTTGAGCTGATTTATACTTTACAGTGTAAATTGGCATGGGGCATGCCTTTGGGATTAAATTAATTTATACCAAGTTAGAAAGCATCAGCTGTCAAAGTCAGGGGAGCCTTCTGGAGGCCAGTGTGCTTTTTTTCTTTCTGTATTCTGAGCCCACACTCCAGGCATTCTCTCTTGGATAGCAGCTGGGACAGTCCTTCAAGAGGCCTGCTTTGCATCTCCTTTGTGTCCTTGCGGTTCCGGGTCCTATACAGAAGATCTCTGTCCTTTGACAGAGATACTACGTAGTAGTTGGTCCCCGTGCAAATTAGGAAGATTTGTAACCCTCTTACATAAAATACAACAAACACGATTTTTTTTTCTTTAAACATTTTCCCCCTCCTTAAATACACTCAAAGGAATTACAGTGACCGAATGGCAGTAGTACAGATCTGTGATCTCGATCCTTAATCAGAAGTTGAAGAAAAGAGTTTCTCTTTACTACCTCTTTAGCAAAAGATTAATGAAAATTTATACAGGGATTAGAAACACATCAAACAAGAAAAGGTACCTGTAATGTTATTTAAGAAAAGTTGTGTTAAATGGGTTGGTAGGGTTACAATAAAGGCATTTAGCAATATCCTGCATATGTCACTTGACTGTCTCCAGTCTGGAAATTATCTTCGTGTATTAGGCAGGCAGGACTTGCCGAAGTGCAGAATGGTAAACTGCTTTTCTTAAGAGGTATGTAAAGGCCCTGTTTCTTCTGCTTGTTCCCGCTGCTGTGAGAGGTTGGGGCTAGTCCCCTTGCTCACTTCTGAGTTGTTTTCCCAGCAGCCACTGCACGGCTCGAAGGATTTGTCGTTGAGGGTGGAGAAGGTGGAAGGATGTTGAACAGACTTTTCCCTAATGAGCTGTGATGCCAGCTGCAAAGGCGGCAAATCCTGTTACTCCCTTCAGCTACTCTCTGAAGCTGCAGAGGGGCAGTGGTAACTGGTCTCCCTGCCCTATGCTGATTAGCTGCCTTTTCTGCTGTTTTTCCCCCCTTCCTCTTCTGTCCCAGAGCATCTTGGCAAAGTTCAGATTTCTGTGCTCACAGCTCAATGCTCACAGTGAAAAGGAAATACAAAAGAGGAGGAGAGAAAGTGAGAAGAAAAGAGAGAAAAGGTTGGGGTGGAGGTTTTTAGTAGAGTCCCTTATTGCCTTAGTCTAAGACTTAAGCTCTGGGTTGAAACCTTAAGTGGTAAAGCTTTGTAAGTAGTAACCTGGATTTCCAAATAGTTCTTGCAGATAGTTTTATTGGCACATGAACACAGCAGGCCATATATTAAAAGCATTTGAATTTCTATCGTTTAGAAACCTCCGAATTTTGAAAAGGACACTTCGCAGTTTTTCCACAAACTATCATTGTGAGGAAGATGAAATAATTGTAAGATAAATGTTTTCATGTGGCATTTACTGTGTGCCACTGCTTCATTTAATCATTACAACCCTTGAAAATAGACACTTTTAATGTGAAAAATAATTTATTGTAGTAAACACATTTTAAAGTGGTCAGTTCAGTAATATTAAGTAGATTCACATTGTTGTCAAAGAGATATCCAAAACTGTTTCGTCTTCCAAATGCCAGCCGCATATCTGAAACACCATACCCATTAAAATAATGGGGAAACATTTTAACTGATCAGCCAGCATTTTAACTGTTTGGCCATTTCTTTTGTTCTGCAGGATTAAAAATAGCTCTCCTGTTTCTTTCCTTGGCTGTTTTGATAGAACATTCTTCCTCTGTATTTCATCACAGGATGGTGAGACCAGGGCTTGTATTTACTGTGCCTTGGTTTATCCATTTGGTACTAACTGGGGGGGGTTTATAGTTACTAAAGGGAAAGAGAAAAGGCTTTACTCTCCAGGGGTTCGTCACCTATTCTTGGTTCTCATCTTTACTGATTCTGCATTTTAAGTTCTGCTGAGCTCCAGGGGTAAGTTCAGCAATGTCTTCATCACCTCACAAGTTAGCTTGGACCTGCAAATTTTTGGGTGGGTTTTCTGGGTGGCTTCTGACACAGTAAACATAATATCATAGAATTATATTTAAAAAGCAATTTTACATGTTGAACCCTGTTTTTAATGACTTCATGAGTTAGTTACTATATTCCAGGGATGGTGAAATGGGGAATATGGTAGGTAAGGGAGAAGAGTTGGAATATTTAATAAGTGACGCAGAGTTCCTCTCCCTATGTGTGTCCTTTGAGGGACCATTTAAGCCTATTCGATTCTCCTTGGAAGAGCTAGTCCAGCATCCCTGATATTCTACTTTCTATTGTGTTAGAAGAAAAGGCACTCCTGACATTATTGCTACAATGTAGAAAACTTGTCTTGCCTCCTTGGAGGATAGTATTCTAGCTAGAACCTAGGCAGCGCTGGTGAAAATGGCCATGATAAAGGCGGAAGCCAGAAGAGGATGTCTGTGTGCCGAAGGCGGAGATGGAGAAAAAGGTAATTAAATTTCTTGGAAACCACATAGTAAAAGTGATCCTCTAAGGAGATGCCACATGAACCATACGGCAAACTTTATGCAGTCACCTCCTTGAAAACACCCTCCCAGTTCTTAGCTTATCTTCTCAAATGTGGCCTTTGTTATTTATTTATTTCTGTAGAGATGGGGTCTCGCTATGTTCCTCAGGCTGGTCTTGAACTCCTGGCTTTAAGCAATCCTCCCATCTCAGCCTCCAGTGTTGCCTTTATTATTTAATTTGGTACTTCCATGCTTAAAAAAATCTTAGGAGAAATTAGTTAGTACAGACTGTAGCACCTTTAATCACGATCCGATTGTGCTCTTAGTTTATGATGGCAGGGAAGGGAACAGAACAGGACGTGTAGAAACCTGGGGATGCATGGACGCCACAGTGACAGTGAGCACTGGTGGGAGCAGCGTGGGGGAGCTTGGCTGGGAAGACTTTGCAGATAAAGTTTCTCCCGTAAAGAACTGCAGTACAGTTCAGCAGAGGGACGGGATTTCCACCTAGGGAGAATGGTACATGTGAGGGCTCTTAGAGAAAAGACACAGTGGTTGGGGCGGTCACTGTAATTGTAGAAACCATCAGGCCTTTCTAGAATGGAGAACATTGGCCGGGGGGAGCAGCTTGGTTTTGGGAAGAACACTGTACTCGGTGACCTGGGTTTCCACTCAGCTCTGTCACTGATTTGCTTAGTGCCCTTGGAGAAGCCAGTTAACCTTTCTGGACCTAGTTTATCTTGCTGTTGTTGTTTTTTCTCCCTTAAAAGAGACAGGGTCTTGCTGTGTGGCCCAGGCTGGTCTCAAACTCCTGGGCTCAGTGATCCTCCTACCTCAGCCTCCCAAGTGTCTGGGACTGTAGGCATGCACCACCACACCCGGCTAGTTTCTACATCTTTAAATTGAGAGAATGGAAATACGTGATCTGTAGTTTCATTTCCGGCTCTAGCTGATTCTGACTTACCTATCAAATGAGATTGGCCTGGGAGTTTTGGCTTTGAAGATTTTGCTTCTGTTGTAAGTCACTGGGAGGCTTGCCCAGTGCCCAGCTTAAAACATGAGCCATTCAAGTCTTCCCTCGCCTCGGCTGGCCTTTACTTGTGGCAGATCTTGAATTCCTATTTCTCCGTTCTCTCATTTAGTAAGTCCTTTAGAACCTTCCTCTTGTGCTGTTGCTTGGGCTAACATCTCCCCTCCCACCCTCTACCACTAGAATTCCTTGTATATACACAGCAGCTAGATTAGTCTCACTTTGCCTCTCTATAGAAATAAACTGAGGTAGATCTCCATTGTCTCCCGAAGAAAGGCCAAACTCATTAGCTGGGTATTCAGGATCGCCTGTCAATCTCAGCTCACATTACTCCCCTTCACATAATCTAAAGAATAGTTAAACTGAACCTAATATCCTCCTGCACCTGGTCATGCCCTGCCTCTCTCCATTGTCACTCGGTCACAATTACCATCTCACGAAATCTCCCAGGCTTCCACAGCAGAAGTAACCCTTTTCTTCTCAGCTCCCATAGCGTGTTTTCTGTACCTGCTAGTACTGATTGATTTGTGTTTTTTGTTTGTTTGAGACAGTGTCTCACTCTGTCGCCCAGGCTGGAGTACGCTGGCACGATCTCATTTCACTGCAATCTCTGCCTCCTGGTTTCAAGCGATTCTTGTGTCTCAGCCTTAGTAGCTGGGATCACAGGTGCGTGCCACCATGCCTGGCTAATTTTTGTATTTGTAGTAGAGACAGGGTATGACCATGTTGGCTAGACTGGTCTCAATCTCTTGACCTCAAGTGAGCCACCATGCCTGGCCAGAGCCGTATTATTTCTATATAAGAAGGAAACCCCACCCCGTTTTGTGTCTGCTATCATGTAATTGCTGTTAAGATCACAACTTGCATCTTATGCACATCTCGTACTTTTCAGAACCGTTAATAAGATTGTCAGAAGTTTGGTTTTTCTGGGGATTACTGATCTGGTTATGAGCAAGTCAAACCATAGGGAGCAGACTCTTGGGAAATGGTTTGCATGCAGAAGATTGCATCCTGGTTGAAAGAATGTGGGCAAACTTTTCTAGTAGGAGACTTGATGGCCTAGAAAACATTCTGTCATCTAAGAAAATACCTGCTTATTTTGGGGGTGTTGGGAAGGGAAATAGGATCTCCTAAAGTTCCCCACCACCACTTTTTGTCCAGTGGTCCCTTTCCAAACAATTGCTTGTTGGAATACCGTGTCGAGGCAAGCTGAACCCCAAGGAAAGCAAAGACATTCACAGAGACGTTACCTCATTCTGTTTAGATGATGTAAGATTAGCCTTGGATCTCGCAATCACCTTTCATCAGCCATGTAGGTGTGGCATCCCAAAATAAAAATTGTCATTATCACTTACTAACAAATGCCATTCAAAATACAGTGGTTCTTTAAAGCTGTTGCAGATGGTTTATCTCTTGAGAAGGTTGAGTAAATGACAAATGTTTCATAAACAATTACATGAGCACTCCTTTCCTCTCTTTTGCGATTAAAATAGCAGTACAGCACATTTGTATTTATACTCGATTATATATAATCAAAGAGTTAAGCTCTTTAATTATGCAGCTAGCATTGATTTATCAAAAAGAGTTATGTGTGTTTCTTCTCATGTGCCGGTAAGAGGAATGGGGTTGGGGAGGGAGTAGTGAGAGAAATAAAACCCTGGGAAAAAGAAAACGCGGAATCCGGTTGCTCTTCTCACAGTAGCCAGAAGGAAGGGCAGAGCTGATCTCTGGCAAGTCCTTCCGCTGCTGGGACCATTCAGTTCTTGGGGCTTGTGCTGGCGGTAGGAAGGGGTGTGTATTTTAAGAAATCTCTGTTTGATTTCTCAACTTCCCTCTCTCCCTCCCTCAGGAGTTAGAAGCCGCTCTTCACAGAGATGACGTGGAGTTTATCAGTGACCTGATTGCCTGCCTGCTTCAGGGCTGCTATCAACGAAGAGATATCACGTGAGTAATTCTGATCTTTCTAAGCATTTCTTGCGCCAAGAACTAATTAACCAACCATAGTGATGTTTCCTGTCTCCTGTGACAAACCAGAACCGATCATTAGGCATCACGGGACACTGTAGATGGAGGACGTACACGTAAATTTCCAGGCTGTGTTTGGCTTATTCTGCAGTTGGGTTTTTATTCCATCATAATCTTTGAGTTTATTTCATTCTCACAAATCCATATCACTTACTCTTGGATACCCCAGCTAACATATTTTAGTGTAGAATTTCTTCTTATATTTGCCATTTTCTGATTTTGCAGTATTGGTAAAGTATTGCCTAAGAAATCAAAACTAGTTTTTATTACCTTTCTGTCATTTGAGTATCTTCTGTTGTTTACATAGCCAGCAGCACTGATGTAATAAAAAAAAAAGAGAGATGTGTAGAGACATTGAGCAAAATGTGATGTATGGAGACAAATAAAGGAGAGTCCTGATAGGACCTCTTGTTTTGATCTTTACTTAATACACGTTTCTTTGCTATGTGTCTATATAGGACAGAACTACAGGGCAAACTCACAAAAAGGTGAGATGCAATGGGTTTCCTGGTCTCTTGCCTTCTGATGCCATGTAGGGGGTTTGAGTTGTTATGGTTTGCCTTTCTCAGATAGGTAAAATGGTATCAAATTTTTTTTTTTTTTTTTTTTTGAGACGGAGTCTCACTCTGTCGCCCAGGCTGGAGTGCAGTGGCGCAATCCCGGCTCACTGCAAGCTTCACCTCCCAGGTTCACGCCATTCTCCTGCCTCAGCCTCTCGAGTAGCTGGGACTACAGGCACTCGCCACCACGCCCGGCTAATTTTTTGTATTTTTAGTGGAAATGGGGTTTCACCGTGTTAGCCAGGATGGTCTCGATCTCCCGACCTCGTGATCTGCCCGCCTCGACCTCACAAAGTGCTGGGATTACAGGCGTGAGCCACCGCGCCTGGCCAAGTATCAGATATTTTTGTTCTAACGAATTCAGTCTGTTAGGGCTGGGAAACGATGCTTGTTGTTAATGTGCAATAAAGTTGTAGACAAGGTAAGAAGGAGATGTAAATGCTGTTTTTCTCAGGGTGGAAGTCTGCATTCTCTAGGGGAGAGTTATTGCTCGTGCACTAAGTATAATGACTTTTCCCCCTAGAATACCCAGGTTGTATTTGTAAATAAAAATAAACATAAAATATACCTTAGAATATTTTCTTCCGTTCTCTATTTAGGATGTAGACTTGGGAGTTTGTAATTTTTAAGCACTGTTGTATTCGTACCTTGTGTTTAATTCCACATTTTCATAACCTGGAATTTTTTTTCATTATAGCAATCAGTTTTCTTATAACCACATTTTCTAAATGTCATTGTCAAATAATCCAGTCTGGTAGCTGACAAGTTATGTCTAGCTTTTAGCTGTTATAAACATATATAATGCATAGCTTTGTACAAAATTCACCAGGTTCCTGGAAGTACATCACTCAGTCAAAAGATATGCCCATTTAAGATCTTCATTTTAAGCAAGGCTTAAAGGCTTTTGCCAGGTTTCCCGTCACAGAGGTGGTTGTATTTTAGCCTTAAATGATCAGTGCGTGAGAGTGTCTGCTTGGATGATCCTTGTGAGCCCTCTGTACACAGACTAGTAGGTACTGGCAGCACAAACACTCACCAGATCTCTTAGAGTTCACAGTTGTGACAGGGAGGTCCATGAATCATTACAGTAATGATTATATAGTTGCCAGTTATGTAATTACAACAGTAAGTGCTTAGAAATAAAAATACAACATATTAACAGAGCATACAACCTGGGGTAAGAAAGTGACTTGTGAACTGAGCCTTCACATATGGGCTGTTTTCTCTCATAGGATATTCCTCCGTGGCTGAGTTCATCCTCTAATTTGTCCTTCTGTTTAAAATTGATCTTAACTAATTCTGCTTGTTTGTTCTTCCAGATAGTGGTTACAAAGTTATGTCCTGTTCTTTAAGAACTCCCCTTATCTAATCATTCTAACTAGAATCAAATAAACCTATGAAGAAATGTGGGCAAAATTGACATCCCTACAATGTGGTCTTTCTTTTTTTTTTTTTTTTTTTTGGGACAGGGTCTTGCTGTTTCACCCAGGCTGGAGTGCAGTGGCAGGATCCTGTCTCACTGTAGCCTCAACCTGGGCTCTAGCAGTCTTCCCACCTCAGCCTCCTGAGTAGCTCAGGACAGGACTGTGCCACCATCCCCAGCTGATTTTTAACAATTTTTTGTAGAGACAAGGTCTGTGTTCCCTGGCTGGTCTTGAACTCCTGGTCTCAAGCGATCCTGCTGCCTTGGCCTCTCAAAGTGCTGGGATTACAGGTGTGAGCCACTGTGCCTTGCCCCTACAAGTATTTATTAAATAATAGAATACCGTATCCCTGTATCTGTCTTTAATTTGCAGAGTTTATTGGCCTTGATTTTTTTCTTGAGTTAGTATTCTTTTGACTCTCTAGGATTATTATCTATCTCTTTTTTCAGTGTTAATACTGATGTCTGCTTCAAGCTGTATTATCCATTGTTAAGTAACAAATTACCCTAAAACTTAGCAACTTAAAACCACAAAAAGTGTAATCTTACAGTTTCTGTGGGTCAGGAACCTGGACAAACCACTACTGGTGTGTTTAGCTCGAGTTAGCTTACAGGTCTGTGATCAAGGTACCAGTGACAGCAGTCATCTTGAAACTTACTACTCATGTATAATACACACACACACACACACACACACACACACACACACACACAGAGAAAAGTGCTCATTTCCTAATTCTAAAGCTCAATGAATTTTCACAAACTGAACACACCTGTGTAACAGAGAACCTGGACAAGAAAGAACACTACAATCTACTTTACTTTTTTCCCTGAAGGGAATTGCCTAAAATGATGGTTCCACATGCGGTTACTGTGAATGTACACTCGTTCTTGTCTGAAGTTCTACTTTGATCTCATTCTAAAGAAAGAGAAATTTGGATAAGTAAATGTTTACCTGTTATGCCTCCAAGACTAAACTGTTCTATGCAGCTTAAAAAGTTACTTAATTTCGGCCGGGCGCAGTGGCTCATGCCTATAATCTCAGCACTTTGGGAGGCCGAGACGGGCAGATCACTTGAGGTCGGGAGTTCAAGAGCAGTCTGGCCAATGTGATGAAACCCGGTCTCTACTAAAAATACAAAAATTAGCCAGGCGTGGTGGTGCACGCCTGTAGTCCCAGCTACTCAGGAGGCTGAGATGGGAGAATTGCTTCAACCCGGGAGGCGGAGGTTGCAGTGAGCCAAGATCGCACCATTGCACTCCAGCGTGGGCGAAAGAGTGAGACTCCATCTCTTTTTTTTTTAAAAAAAAAAAAGGCCGGGCACGGTGCCTCACGCCTGTAATCCCAGCACTTTGGGAGGTGGAGGCGGGCAGATCACGAGGTCAGGAAATCAAGACCATCCTGGCTAACACGGTGAAACCCCGTCTCTACTAAAAATACAAAAAATTAGCCGGGCGTGGTGGTGGGCGCCTGTAGTCCCAGCTACTTGGGAGGCTGAGGCATGAGAATGGCGTGAACCCGGGAGGTGGAGGTTGCAGTGAGCCAAGATCGTGTCATTGCACTCCAGCCTGGGTGACAGAGCGAGACTCTGTCTCAAAAAAAAAAAAAAAAAAAAAGTAACTTCATTTAGTTGTGCATAATTCGCCTCATCTATAAAATGGAATTAGTGACAATATTCAGTAAAGTTATTATGAGGATTAAACGAAATGATGAGTGAGAGTAATCATCATGAAACACTATGCCTAGTTCCTCCAAAGGCTCAGCAGAAAACAGATTTTGACTCAACCAAGTGTCTGTATCCTTTTCCGTTGTGGTTTGCATGTTTTAGAACAGGGGCCAGCAAATGTTTTTTGTAAAGGGCCAGATAGTCAATACAGGCATGCATCACATACTGTCATTTTGTTCAGTGGCAGACCTCATGTACGACAGTGGTCACACGAGGTTGTGATAGACACAAAAATTTTTATCCCCTAGAGATATTATTGCCCTTGTAACATGCTTGCACATGCATTACTCATGTGGTTATGGTGATGCTGGTGTAAACAAACCTAGTGCGCTACCAGTCATATAAAGACCTAGCACTTACAGGCCAGGCGTGGTGGCTCACGCCTGTAATCCTAGCACTTTGGGAGGCCGAGGCGGGCGGATCACCAGGTCAGGAGATCAAGACCATCCTGGCTAACACAGTGAAACCCCATCTCTACTAAAGATACAAAAAAGTAGCCGGGCGTGGTGGCGGCACCTGTAGTCCCAGCTACTCGGGAGACTGAGGCAGGAGAATGGCATGAACCTGGGAGGCGGAGCTTGCAGGAAGCCGAGATCACGCCACTGCTCTCCAGCCTGGGTGACAGATCGAGACTCTGTCTCCAAAAAAAAAAAAAAAAAAAAAAAAAAGGGCGTGGCATGGTGACTCACGCCTGCAATCCCAGCACTTTGGGAGGCTGAGGCAGGTGGATCACAAGGTCAGAAGATCGAGACCATCCTGGCTAACATGGTGAAACCCCGTCTCTACTAAAAATACAAAAAATTAGCCGGGCGTGGTGGCAGGTGCCTGTAGTCCCAGCTACTCGGGAGGCTGAGGCAGGAGAATGGCGTGAACCCAGGAGGCAGAGCTTGCAGTGAGCCAAGATCATGCCACCGTACTCCAGCCTGGGCGACAGAGCGAGACAAGACATAGCATATACCGTCATGTACACTACATAATAGTTGATAGTAAACAACTCTTACTGGTTTCTGTATTTACTGTGCCGTACTTTAAATCATTATTTTAGAGTGTATTCCTTCTAGTTTTGTTTAGTTTTTTTGACACGGGGTCTCACTCTGGCACCCAGGCTGGAGTGCAGTGGTGCAGTCTTGGCTCCCTGCAATCTCCACCTCCTGGTCTCAAACGATCTTCCCACTTCAGCCTCCCAAGTAGCTGGGACTCCAGGCGTGCACCACCAGGCCCATCTAATTTCTTTATTTTGGGGTAGAGGTAGGGTTTCATCATGTTGGCCATGATGGTTTTGAACTCCTTTTTTTTTTTTTTTTTTGAGACGGTGTCCTGCCTCAGCCTCCCCAGCAGCTGGGACTACAGGTGCCCACCACCACACCTTGCTACTTTTTTTGTATTTTTAGTAGAGACGGAGTTTCACCGCATTAGCCAGGATGGTCTCGATCTCCTGACCTCGTGATCCTCCCACCTTGGCCTCCCAAAGTGCTGGGATTACAGGCGTGAGCCACCGCGCCCAGCCTAGTTATTTTTAAAAAGTTAACTATAATATACAACAGCCTCAGGCGGTCCTTCAGAAGAGATTCCAGAAGAAGGCATTGTTACAGGAGATGACAGCACCGTGCATGTTACTGCCTTGAAGACGTTCCAGTGGGACAAGATGTCGAGGTGGAAGACAGTAATATTGATGATCCTGACCCTGTGTCGGCCTAGGCCGATGTGTGTGTTTTTGTCTTCCTTTTGAACAAAACAGATCAAATGTAAAAAACAAAAAATTTCAACAATAGAAAACAGCTTATAGAATAAGGATATAAAGAAGGCCGCCACACAGTGGCTCATGCCTGTAATCCCAGCACTCTGGGAGGATGAGGTGAGAGGACGGTTTGAGGCCAGGAGTTCGAGACCAGCCTGGGCAACATAGCAAGACTCCGTCTCTACTAAAAAATAAAAATAAATGAATTAGCTGGGCAATATAGCAAGACCCCTGTCTCTACTAAAAAAATTAAAATAATTATCTGGACATGGTGGTGCATGCATGTAGTCTAAGCTACTAGGGAGGTTGAGGTGGGAGGATCAGGAGTTGGAGGCTGCAGTGAGCTACGGTCCCTACTGCACTCTAGCTGTGGCTACAGAGCAGAAAAAAAAAGAAAAAAATATTTTTGTATAGCTCTAAAAAGTGTTTTAGGCTGTTATTACAAAAGAATCAAAAAGTTAAAAGTTTGTGAATTTTTAAATGTCATAGTAAGCTAAATTTATTATTGAAGGAAAGGTTTTTTTTAAAATAAACATAGTATAGCCTAAGTTTACAGCATTTAGAAAGTTTACAGTGATGTACAGTCATGTGCCAAGCCTTCACATTCATTTACTACTCAGTTACTGATTCACCCAGAGCAACTTTAGTTCTGCAAGCTGCACTCATGACAAGTGCTTTATACAGATACACCATTTTAAAAATCTTTTGTACCATGTCCTTACTATACCTTTTCTATGTTTAGATGTGTCTGGATCCACAAATCCTTAACATTCCATTACAGTGGCTTACAGTATTCAGTACAGTCAGGTGCAGTATAGGTTTGTAGCCTAGGAGCAGTGGGCTATGCCATATAGTCTAGGTGTGTAGTAGGCTCTACCATCTAGGTTTATGTAAATACACTATGATGTTTCCACAGCAACAGAATCACCTAACCATGCCTTTCTTAGAACATATCCTTTATGTTAAGCAATGCGTGGCTATTTTAGGCCCTCACTTGCAACAGAGTCTCACTCTGTTCCCCAGGCTGGAGTGCATTCGACCAATCCTAACCCATTGCAGCCTCAAACTTCTAGATTCAAGCAATCTTCCTGCCTCAGCCTCCTGATCCTGAGGAACTAGTGTTACAGGTGCACACCCACCTTGTATTTTAGGCTCTGTGTTGCAGGTAATCAGCTCTGTCACTATGAAAGCAGCCATAGGCAATACAGAAAAACCAATAGTGACTGTGTCTTATTAGAACTTTCTAATCACTGAGGTTTGACTTTTGTATCATTTTCACCTGCCAGGAAAGACTGTTTTTCTGTTGTTGTTTTTTTTAATTTTTTTTCCCCACCATTAAAAAATATAAAAACCATTATTATAGACTGTTTTTTGTTTGTTTGTTTGTTTTGTTTTGTTTTTAAAGGAGGTCTGGCGCAACGTCTCAAGCCTGTAATCCCAGCACTTTGGGAGGCCAAGGTGGGCGGATCACTTGAGGTCAGGAGTTCGAGACCACGTCTCTACTAAAAATTCAAAAATTAGCCGGGTGTATTGGCACACGCCTGTAGTCCCAGCTACTCTGTAGGCTGAGGCATGAGAATTGCTTGAACCTGGAAGGCAGAGGTTGCAGTGAGCCGAGATCATGCCACAGCACTCCAGCCTCTGCGACAGAGCGAAAGTGTGTCTCAACAAAAAAGGACATCAGGCCAGATTTGGCCCTCGGGCTATAATTTTCCGACTCCTGTATTTAGGAAGCTAGTTAACTATTCCAGTTCCACTGACTCAATCTAATCTTTAAAATTGAAATATAGAAGCCACATTTCCTTTCAACCGTACTCTCCAACCTGAGGTTTTTGCACTTACAGGACAGCATAACACTGTCTACTCATGGAAATGATACTGGCCAGCATGTCCTATGTCCTGGACGCTGCCAACTGCTTCTCAAGAACACTCATTTAATCCTTCCGACAGCCCTCTAATAGAAAGTCCTCTCCCATCCTTCCATCAGGGATGAGGAATTTGAGGCACAGAGAAGTTAAATAAATTGCCCAAGGTTACACAGCTGGTAATTGAGACAGTACAGATCTGTTTCCTAGACCTCCGACTCCTAACTGCAGCCCCGTGCTGTCAATGAGAAGTACAGGAGAAAAGTGTTAAGTAAAACAGTTTTCCTTGAAAACAGGATTTTTAACTCTTTGACATACTAAGGAAGCCTGTGAACCCCATCTAAAAATAATGTTTTGAAATCATAAGATTACACCCGAACCCAATTATACTGAAAAGTAGTGAAGTATTGGCCGGGCGTGGTGGCTCACGCCTGTAATCTCAACACTCTTGGGAGGCCGAGGCAGGCCGCTCACATGAACTCAGGAGTTCGAGACCAGCCTGGGCAACATGGTGAAACCCCGGCTCTACAAAAAGTATTATACAAAAATTAGTGGGGTACAGTGGCGCACACCTGTAGTCCCAGGTACTCGGGAGGCTGAGGCAGGAGAATCAGTGGAGCCCAGGAGGCGGAGGTTGCAGTGGAGATGGTGCCACTGCACTCCAGCCTGGGTAGCAGAGTGAGACCCTGTCTCCAAAAAAGAAAAGAAAGTAAAGTATTGAAGAATGAAATTTTTGATATAGTTAGTGTTGTATTCATCTAACAGCAGAGCTAATTTCCCAAAATTACTGTCTTCAGATCTCAGTGAGCATAAGTGCTATTTGGAAATATCTGCAGTATCTATATGATTTCAGTAGAAATCAGTTATTTCTGTGGACCTCTGCTTTAAAACGTGGGTTTTGTTTGTTCTGTTTTTGTTTTGAAGACGAGATCTCACTCTTCAGCGCAGTCTTGAGTGCTGTGGCGCAGTCATAGCTGACTGCAGCCTCCAACTCCTGGGCTCAAGCCATCTTCTCACCTCAGCCTCCTAAGTAGCTGAGATGACAGGCAGGCACCACCGTGCCCATCTAAAAGGGTTTTTAAATCCTAGATTGATCTGCAGTTCATAGTCAACAACTTAGACGTAAAAGGAACCTCATCATCAAGTACAGTTTATTTTTTTACCTGAGGAAGCGAAGGCAAAACAAAACTGGTATAAGCCTGAGAGACATCGAGAATAAAGTCTCAATTCAAATGATTTTTTCAGGAATTTGTTCATTTTGTTGCCAAAATAAAGTGGTATAAAGTGGTATTTTCCTGGGTGTAAGGCGTGGGGCTGGACTCCGAGGAGGCCCCCGTGATGCTGTGGAACCCTGTGTGCCTGTATGTGACACGCCACTGGGGGCGTGTCAGTCACATGCTAGTGTTCACTGTCACACTCTGGGGACGCCCCTTGCGGCTTGGATGAAGCGTCAGCCACTGGGAAAGCCCACATGGCTGGGAACGCGGGTGGCCTTGAGGAGCTGAGGGCAAGCCTTACTACAGCTGTGCATTCTCCCCAGGAAAAACTAGGCCATTAGAAAGAATGTTAGGCAAATAATGCAAGTCACAGAAGCATACACACCAGTGACTTATTAAGTGTAAGGCAAGGAGAACCAAATAAGGATACATATATATGGAAAACTTACGAAGAAGATCAAGTGAAAGCTTATCGCAATTCAGGAAAGTTATCATACCTGGTGAGCAGGGAGAAGACAGAAGGTATGAATAAGCGCGAGTGGTGATTCTCCAGCCTTACCACACAATCACCTAAGGGTGGTTACAACACAAATCGCTGGGCCTCACCAGCGTTTCATTCCGTAGGCTTGGGCTGGGGCCTGGGAACCTGCATGCTGTGCAAGTTCTGGGTGGTGCTGATGCTGCACGCTGCTGGTCCAGGACTTCGCTGGAAGGTCACTAATCTAAGGCATTGCTCACTTTCTGTTTTTCAGCTCGATGGTGAAATGTGGATTCTTCATTTTTGACAATTCTTTGCCTTTCTCTTTCAATATAAAACTTAAGCAGAGTTTTGATTTGATGCTAACACGTTCTTTGCAACACTACATACTTTTTCTTCTATATTCTCCCTGGAATTGCAAATCTGGTCAGTGGGTTTTATGGTCCTGTATCAATAAAAATACTTTAGGAATTTAACTAGTGGCTCTTTCAGCACTTTTGTTTTCCACTGGGAAGTAACCTGGCAAATTGAGCACTGGGTGGAAAATAGGAACTTCTGATTTGCTCTTCACTGTCAAAGTAAAGCTACGATTGAATCAAACTGTGTTTTGAGCTACGGTTTAAGCAGCGTAAAAATATTTTTCATTGGTTGGGCGCGGTGGCTCATGCCTGTAATCCCAGCACTTTGGGAGGCCGAGGCGGGTGGATCACTAGGTCAGGAGATAGAGACCATCCTGGCTAACGCGGTGAAACCCCGTCTGTACTTAAAAAATATAAAAAATCAGCCGGGTTTGGTAGCGAGCGCCTGTAGTCCCAGCTACTGAGGCAGGAGAGTGGTGTGAACCCGGGAGGCAGAGCTTGCAGTGAGCCGAGATCGCGCCATGCACAAGCCTGGGTGTCTCAAAAAAATTTTTTTCATTAAATACTCATGATGATAATACTTACTGCTAAAATGTTTTTCCTTTTGTCCGTACATCTTTAGTAGAGTGCTCTTTATAGAACGCAGACTGATTTGTGCTTCAGTATGGTCTTCACCCACTGTCCTGTGGCTTACACTCTTAAACGGTAATTCATCAACATTGTATATTCAATTTTTCATGTATTTATTTATTTATTTATTTATTTATTTTGAGAGAAGTCTCGCTCTTGTCCCCCAGGTTTGAGTGCAATGGCCTGATCTCGACTCACTGCAACCTCCACCTCCTGGGTTCAAATGATTCTTCTGCCTCTGCCTCCCAAGTAGCTGGGATTAAGGCACCCACCATCATGCCCGGCTAATTTTTGTATTTTTAGTAGAGACAGCGTTTCACCATGTTGACCAGGCTGGTCTCAAACTCCTGACCTCAGGTGATCTGCCCCCCCTTGGCCTCCCAAAGTGCTGGGATTACAGGC
The DNA here is from genome assembly GCF_000001405.40 of Homo sapiens. NCBI lineage: Eukaryota > Metazoa > Chordata > Mammalia > Primates > Hominidae > Homo > Homo sapiens. The sequence continues at coordinate 17,488,163 of NC_000022.11, forward strand.
GTGAGCCACCGCACCCGGCCTCATTTAATTTTTAATTATGGATCTAGCATTGCGTAATAGATTCCCTAATTTAGATCCCTTATAAACAAACATTTAGTGTTTTGGGTTCTCTTTACAGAAATATCTGTCATCTTTTTGGAAATGACAATACTTCTGTTAAGTACGTTCATCGTGTCTTTTTTAACATAGGCCAGTGTTTTGTAACAAATGAGGGCACCACATAGTCACTATCCTACTGAAGAAAATAGACATTTCTGTCTTCCCAGAAAGTTTCCTTTGTAGTCAGTCTTCCCCATACCTACATTGTACACCTGGCAACCACTGACGACATTTTTATCACTATAGTTGGAGCCTAACCTGTTCTAGAACTGTATGAATGGGATCACACAGTGTGAAATGAACTCACATCAGCTTCTTTCATTCACATAGTGCCTGTATGATATTCACCCATGCCATTGTTTGTATCAGTGGTTTATTCCTTTGAGGGGGGTGGGGGACTAAATTGTATCTAGTGAAAAATATATCACAATTTATTGAATCTGTTCTTGGGATGAGCACTTAGGTTGCTTCCAGTTGGAGCCTATTATGAATGAAGCTGCTGTGAACATTTGCATACAAATGCTTGTGTGCACTTAATTTCATTTCTCTTGGGAATTGCTGGCGGGTCACATGGTAAAAGTATGTTTGACTTAAACTGTGAAATTATTTTCCAAACACTTGCAACATTTACGTTTCCACCAGCAATATCTGAACAGTCCAGTTGCTTCATATCTTTTTAAATTTTTATTTACTTATTTATTTGTTTGAGACAAGAGTTTTGCTCTTTTTGCCCAGGCTGGAGTGCAATGGTGCTATCTCTGCTCACTGCAACCTCCACCTCAAGTGATTCTCCTGCCTCAGCCTCCCAAGTAGCTGGGATTACAGGCATGCGCCAGCTAATTTTTTGTATTTAGTAGAGACGGGGTTTCACCATGTTAATCAAGCTGGTCTTGAACTCCTGACCTCAGGTGATCACCCGCCTCGGCCTCCCAAAGTACTGGGATTACAGGCATGAGCCACCTCGCCCGGCCTAGTTACTTCCTATCTTTGCCAACATCTGCTGTTTTTAATTTTACTAATCCTATTGTGTTGAAAGTGGCAGCTCATTGTGGGTTTAATTTGCATTTCCCCGATGACTAGTAATGTGGAGTGGTTATTCATGTGCTTACCATAAATTTGTATATGTCTTTTTTGGTGAAATATTTGGCCAAGTGTTTTACTTATTTCTTTTAAATTAGGGATGCTTATTTAATTTATTTATTGACTTTTTTGAGACAGGGTTCCCACTCTGTTACCCAGGCTGGAGTGCAGTGCTGTGATCATAGCCCACTGCAGCCTCGACCTCCTGGGCTCAAACAGTCCTCCGGCTTCAGCCTCCTGAGTAGCTGGGACTATAGGTATGCTCCATCACACCCTGCTTATTTAAAGCATATTTGTTGTAGAGACAGGTCTTGATATATTGCCCAGGCTGGTCTTGAACTCATGGCCTCAAGTTGTCCTCCAGCCTCAGCCTCCCAAAGTGCTGGAATTACAGGCGTGAGCAGCCATTCCAGGCCTTATCAACTTTTTAAATGTTTACTAAGGAACTGTTTTATATTATTAATTTTCTTTACTCTTTGCTTTTTTATTTTATTGATTTCTCTTTTTTATTTCCTCTGTTTACTTTGGCTTTAGCTTGCTCTTTTTTTTTTTTTGCTTCTTTGGAGTACTGTTTTTGAGCCTTTTTTCAAAAAACAGGCATTTAAAGCTATAAATTTTCCCTAAAAAACTTGTAAATTTCCTTCTAACCCATAGTTGGCTGCATCCTGCGAATTTTGATGTTTATATTATTGTTTAAAACATGCTCTCCTTTATTTCTTCTGTGACCCAAAAGTGTATTATTTAAATTCGTGATTTAGTATGTTAGTGGTAATACTGTTGAGATCTGTTCCTTACTGTTTTTTTTTTGTGTGTGTGTGTGTGTGTGTTTGGTCTATTAATGAGAAGCCAGTATTAAAATCTCTCTGATTGTGGATCTATTTCTCCCATTAGTTGTGCCCATTTTGTCTCATGGGTTGTGGTGTCCTGTTATTGGATGTGTAGCGGTAGCTTTGTTATATAGTCCTGGGAAGTTGTTCCATTTCTTCTTATGTGACACTCTGTCTCCACATCTGCTTTGTCTCATATTAATCCTCAGCTTTCTCATGCTTACTGTGCCTGGTAGATCATTTTCTATCCTTTTAATCTTTGTATTTTTATTTATTTATTTTTTGAGATGGCGTCTTGCTCTGTCACCCAGGCTGGAGTGCAGTGGTGTGATCTCAGCTCACTGCAACCTCCGCCTCCTGAGTGCAAGCAATTCTCCTGCATCAGCCTCCCGAGTAGCTGGGATTACAGGTGCATGCCACCACGCCCGGCTAATTTTTTTTTTATTTTTATTTTTTATTTTTAGTAGAGACAGGGTTTCACCATATTGGCCAGGCTGGTCTCAAACTCCTGACTTCATGATCTGTCCACCTCAGCCTCCCAAAGTGCTAGGATTACAGGCATGAGCCACCATGCCAGGCCTCCTTGTGTTTTTTTAAAGTGTACAATTCATTGGTTTTTATGTATTAACAAAATTGTGCAACCATCACCACTATCTAATTGCAGAATACTTCTATTACCCTACAGAAGACACTTTGTACCATTAGCAATCATTCCCTGTTTCCTCCCACCCACTTCCCAGCGTCACTATTCTTACTGTCTCCACAGGTTTGAGTGTTGTAGGCCCATCTTATAACTGGAGCCATATGGGAAGTGTCCTTTTGTATCTGGCTTTTTTCACTTAGAGTTATTTTTCAAGTTTTAACCATGTTGTAGCATGAATCAGTACTTCATTCATTTTTATGGTAAAATAATACTTCATTGTGTGGATACACACTTAATCCTTCAGTTCATGGGTATGTACGCAGATTTTAGCTTTTGGCTGTTAGGAATTCTGCCGCTTTGAACATTTGTGCGCAAGTCTTTGTGTGGATGTGTTTTCCTTTTCTCTGGGGTGTACACCTAGGAGTTGGAGTGGCTGGGTTGGTAGTTCAGTGCAACTTGGCGAAACTTCCACAGCAGCTGCACACTTAGCCTTCCCACCGGCCGTGTGTGAGGATTCCGTGTCTCTGCATCCTGGTCAGCACTTGTTACTGTGTGTTTTTTGACGTCCTCCATTATAGTGGACATGAGGTGGTACCTCATTATGGTTTTGACTTGCATTTCCCAAGTGGCTAAGGTTGAGAAACTTCTCTGCTGCCTTCTGCTTTTTGTTCCTTTGTTGGTCCTTTAATGCTTTCTTTTAGGCACATGAATTTGTTTTAAGTGTATCACTTTATTTCCACTATTGGCTTCTTATTCTGTGTGTGTGTGTGTGGGGGGGTGGGTGTTTAGCAGTCGTAGGGCAAACAATATATATCCTTAAATTTTATCCAGAGCTATTCAGAATTTTTATTGTACCTCTTCATGCCTTATACATGATACTTGAGACTTCTCACTTCATCTGTACAGTATTTAGGTTCCATTAAAAAAATAGCCTTTATCATTTTAAAGATACATTTGGGGTTTATTCACTTTCTTGGTTACCCAACATAAACATTCATAAACACATGTAAAAATCTGTATTATGTACATGTTTCTCTAGGCAAAGATGTTTTGCAGATTCTGCCTTAACCATATTTTCCTTTAATTTGAAATAACCATGATTTTAACTTATCTTGGCTGTCATGTTGATTTTAGTATGTGGGATATAGTAGCTATTCTACAGCCCTAGAGAAGAAGAACTGTTATTTTAATTATTTTGGCCTGGTCTTTTTATAAGCTTCGAGAATAAATGCTTTATCAAGTATTCATACAGAATCTTTTACTTGTTGCTTTACTACTAGAACCAGAATATTTATCTCAATTCAGTACTTATGTTAAACGTGGCCTGTGTGTACATGTATTTCATTTGCTTCACAAATTGTTGTAGCAAATGGGAGAATGCAATTTGATTTTTCATCTTATCTCCATTCTGGGAAGCCTGGTGCCAAACCTTTATTGCTCCCCTGTAGAGAGACCATGGCTGCCCTTTCATGTCCCTAACACATGCCTCAAAGAACTTAAGAGTCTTCTTCTTGTGATCTCCCCAAACAGGGTGCAGATATTAACAATGTGTTGTCCTACACAGTGAAGAATTCTGCCAGTTCCAGCCGGCAGAGGCTTGTGCTGGAACACTTGAATCAGGTCGTGCCGTCCTTGGTCTCAGCAGTAGAAGCATGTTCTGTCTGGAGCAAGCTGAGAAATTCTCTGCTGGGCCTCTAAGAAATGGCTAACTTTAAGAGTTTGGAAAGGTTGTTGACTCATTCTTATTTTCACTCTTTCTTGCTCTTTCACTCATAGAGGGAAAAAAAGAGGTAATTAAGAGCCAGTCTCTTACTGCTGTTTTGTAGGATGGAAAATGAATGCGAAAATGGGTCATTTAAGAGTATTTGGAACTTTTCCTAGACAAGAAATAAAATAGACCTTGTTGTTCTGAGAAATTCCGTTTGGTTTGATCTTTGCATTACTATTTTTAAATGAAATGTTTTATTATAGTTCAAGATAATTTCAGAATGATGAGAATTACTAAGTCATTAAGAGGGAATTGCAAGGAGATGAATGGATGAGTAAGTGAATGAATGTTCCAGGTAATCTAAACTTGAGAAGCTTAAAAATATGTACACATTAGTTTTTAGCAGCACAGTGCCACTGTTCTTTTTCCTTTATTTTATTTTACTTTATATTTTATTTTATTTTATTTTTGAGACAGAGTCTGGCTCTGTCGCCCAGGCTGGAGTGCAGTGGTGCAATCTCAGCTCACTGCAACCTCCTCCTCCTGAGTTCAAGTGATTCTCCTGCCTCAGCCTCCCGAGTGGCTGGGATTACAGGCACGTACCACCATGCCTGGCTAATTTCTGTATTTTTAGTAGAGACAGGCTTTCTCTGTGTTGGCCAGGCTGGTCTCAAACTCCTGTCCTCAAGTGATCTGCCCATCTCGGCCTCCCAAAGTGCTGGGATTACCGGCGTGAGCTACTGCGCCCGGCCTCTTTTTCCTTTAAATAGTAAAACCTGAAAGTACATGCAAAATTGTGTGCTCATTTTTCTGGGGGAGAAAGTATGTAGTCTTTATCAAATTATTAAGTGTTTTCTGTCCTATAGAAGATGAAGAACCAGTAAGTCAAAAGAATTAGCCTGATTTTTAGCTTCCTGAAGCCTTTTTATTTCAAATCACCCTTAGCCAGTGCCTTTGCCCTCAAGAGATTTTTCCCCATTCACTCTCTGATGTTTAAAAGGAGATGTAGATTTCTAGGAGAAGGTTGATCTACATACAAGGAAATGGAATTGTCTTGGATTGTAGGCCCTCAGGTGTCTCCTAGTTAAGGTGGCATGGAGATAGATGCCTTAAGAAAGCTTTTAGCAAAAGTGATGTAATTTAAACTGAGTAGGACAATAGGCCTGTTGGGAAGGAATCTGAAACATGGAATTGTTTGAGACAAGTAAGGGCTTCCAGACAGACTGTTGTCTAAAGGAGCAGCACTGCGGATGCACACGCAGTGTTTGTGGGCTGGTATGCCTGTACTTTCTCAACCTCACATTGGAATAAGAAAGGTCTCGCTCCCTGGCCCAGCATCTTCTGCACATCCTCCAGTGAAGCTGCTATTCTGGTGAAATGATACAGATTTCACTGATTCCATGTTTTATTTTATTGCAGGAAAAAACAGACTTTAGTGTTTGTGGAACTTGGTGTACATTAGAAATTCTCGAAAGCATGCGGTAGATAAAGAGATTTATTGCCAAAGGATGATTGTCTTCTACACACTTCTGGCTACTAAAAAAGCAGTTTTTAAAAAAACACTTTTTCATTTTCTTTCTTTCTTTCTTTCTTTTTGGAGACGGCGTTTCTTCTTGCCCAGGCTGGAGCGCAATGGCGCGATCTTGGCTCACCACAACCTCTGCCTCCCGGGTTCAAGCGATTCTCCTGCTTCAGCCTTCCAGAGTAGCTGGGATTACAGGCATATGCCACCACAACCGGCTAATTTTGTATTTACTTTAGTAGAGACGGGGTTTCTCCATGTCGGCCTCCCAAAGTGCTGGGATTACAGGCGTGAGCCACCATGCCTGGCCAAACTTTTTCATTTTCAAATTCACCGTTACGACACTGTCTGCATTTTAATGTGAGTTTGAACTACTCTTTGCCCGGCTCCTCACTCTGGAAGGGTTGGTAGCAACTTCACAGACAATGGAGAGGCAGCCAGTCCAAACCCTGCAAGGTTCAAGCACTCAGTAATGGCCGGTGCTCGTGTGCTGAATGTGAATGCTGTAGTCCAGTGAGATTTGTGAGAGCCCTGATTGTTAGAACTGTTACGCTGCATTTTGATAAAGCTGCCATACTCATGTTTTCCCCAGTGAGATAGTAAGAGTAGGGGAAAGATGTTTCTTCTCTCTTTGAAAAAGCAAACTGTTTAAGTGTTTTTTTGTTTTTTTTGAGACAGCATCTCACTCTGTTGCCCAGGCTACAGTGCAGGGGCACAATCTCGGCTCACGGCAAACTCTGCCTCCCAGGTTCAAGCAATTCTCCTGCCTCAGCCTCCTGAGTAGCTGGGACTACAGGCACACGCCACCACGCCCGGCTAATTTTTGTATTTATAGTAGAGATGGGATTTCACCATATTGGCCAGGCTGGTCTCAAACTCCTGACCTCGTGATCCGCCCACCTCGGCCTCCCACAGTGCTGGGATTACAGGCGTGAGCCACCGCGCCCGGCAAACTGTTTAATTTCTTATTTGCCTAAGCCTTCTTAATTTTTTCCACAAATATTTCCTTTCACTTTGCTGCAAATATAACTACCATAGATTATAAGTCAACATAGTAGTTGCCTAATTTTAAAATGATACCAATAACTTCTTTAGGCCTCTTTGCTTATTAATAAGAAAAAACTTTTCACATCAAGCATGAGGTAAATTAGATCTTGATTCTTAATAGTTGAGATGTAAAATAACCATCTAACAAACAGCACATTATTACATGGAAGGCATATTTAGGTACTAATCAAAATACGTGGCTGGGCACAGTGGCTCACATCTGTAATCCCAGCACTCTGGGAGGCTAAGGCAAGCGGATCACCTGAGGTCAGGAGTTCAAGACTAGCCTGGCCAACGTGGTGAAACCCTGTCTTTACTAAAAATACAAAAATTAGCCGGTCATGGTGGTGGGCATCTGTAATCCTAGCTACTCAGGAGACTGAGGCAGGAGAATCACTTGCACCCAGGAGGCAGAGGTTGCAGTGAGCCAAGATCACGCCATTGTACTCCAGCCTGGGCTACAAGAGCAAAACTCCATTAAAAAAAAAAAAAAAACGGGTGTGGTGGCTCACGCCTGTAATCCCAGCACTTCGGGAGGCCGAGGCGGGTGGATCATGAGGTCAGGAAATCGAGACCATCCTGGCTAACACAGTGAAACCCTGTCTCTACTAAAAATACAAAAAATTAGCTGGGCGTGGTGGCAGGCGCCTGTAGTCCCAGCTACTCGGGAGGCTGAGGCAGGAGAATGGCGTGAACCTGGGAGGCGGAGCTTGCAGTGAGCCAAGATCGCACCACTGCACTCCAGCCTGGGTGACAGAGCAAGACTCTGTCTCAAAAAAAAAAAAAAAAAAAAAAAAGGTATTTACACCTGGATGTGGTAAGACGCACTTATAGTCCAGATGCTCTGGAGACCAAGGTGGGAGGATTGCTTGAGCTCAGGAGTTTGAGTCCAGCCTGGACAATATAGTGAGACCCCATATGGGAAAAAATATATTTAACACAATTATAGGGTTTCCAGACTGTACTGAAGAAAAAATTTAAATTGCCATCTAGGTGTCTTAAATGTTCTCTGCAGAAAAACTATCTTCAAATTTTAATATACAGACATGGGAGGATTGCTTGAGCCCTGGAGTTCAAGACCAGCCTGGGCAACATGCTGAGACCCCATCTCTGAAAAATCAAAGAAAGGACGGGCACGGTGGCTCACGCCTGTAATCCCAGCACTTTGTGAGGACGAGGCGGGTGGATCACGAGGTCAGGAGATCGAGACCATCCTGGTTAACACAGTGAAACCCGGTCTCTACTAAAATTACAAAAAGAAATTAGCCGGGCATGGTGGTGGGCGCCTCTAGTCCCAGCTACTCGGGAGGCTGAGGCAGGAGAATGGCATGAACCCGGGAGGTGGAGCTTGCAGTGAGCTGACATCGAGCCACTGCACTCCAGCCTGGGTGACAGAGCGAGACTCTGTCTCAAAAAAAAAAAGAAAGAAAGAAAAATCAAAGAAAAAAAATTTAGAATGCAGTGTTCATGCCTTAAAGTTCATGTATAATAGAATATGAAATTATAGTTGCATATCAGTGTAGCCATTTGTATTCTGGAGGACTTTCTGCCTTTGTATCTTAACCTGAAATATAAATTAGGTTAGGCCAACTATGCGTTTCTTTTTTCCTTTTTTCTCGCCACCTAAGTCATGAACCCAACTTTGTACTGTCTGAACCGCAGGGTGTCTTCAGTTGTACGCGTAGCGGGTGAGACTTTTGCCTCAGCTTCATAACCTACACATTTGATTATGCTTTTACCCATTCCACCAGAATGTGCTATTCGGGCTTTAAAGTCAACCTATTCTGTGAAAAACCCTCTTTATATATTTATCTTCCTTGATAGTTGACAAAACACAATATCCATGTAAGTAGGCTGAAACTTCATGAGGGACTTCCTGTTACTGTTTTTCATTTCTGCTTTCTGTGTAAAATTTGTCAACTGGGCCAAGCGTGTTACCTCACCCCTGTAATCCCAGCACTTTGGGAAGCCAAGGCGGGCGGATCGTGTGAGCCTGGGAGCTTGAGAACAGCCTGGGCAACATAGGGAGACCCCTGTCTCTACAAAAAATACAAAGATTAGCTGGGTGTGGTGGTGCATGCCTGTGGTCCCAGGTACCTGGGAGGTTGAGGTGGGAAAATCTTTTGAGCCCAGGAGAGCTGCAGTGAGCTGAGATCTTGCCACTGTGCTCTAGCCTGGATGACAGAGCGAGACCCTGTCTGTATAAAAACAAAAATCTGTTAGCTGTCAGATCATGAGTTCTCTCTCTCTCTCCTTCTCCCAACCAACCTATATTTTATATTAATGTATTTTTGTGTTTGGGGCCCTGGTCTAGGCCTCAGACATTCCACAGCTACCTAGAGGACATCATCAACTACCGCTGGGAGCTCGAAGAAGGGAAGCCCAACCCTCTGAGGGAAGCCAGTTTCCAGGACCTGCCTCTTCGCACACGGGTGGAGATCCTGCACCGACTCTGTGATTACCGGCTGGATGCAGACGATGTCTTCGATCTTCTAAAGGTATGCTTAACTGGCGAACCTTTCCCTGTAGCTGTGAAAAGCCAGCAATCAGAAATGTAGTCAGAACGTAAAACCCAAAGATACTAAGCCAGAGTTTGGCTTGTGGTACTAGTCTTGGTACTATTCATTGCCAATAACACTGTATGGAAAACCATGACTGCTGTAGCCACGGAGATGCAAGATGTACATCCCTATGGAAGTACGTTATTTTGGTCTAATTTCTAGTCTGGTTTCATCTTCCTTTACGTGCACTGAGTCCTATCTGCAATAGGTACAACCAGAGGACCCTGTTTGTTCTGTCATCAGCCAAACCTGCAACTAAATCCGCCACTGAGTTTTATTTTTCAGGGTGTAAATTTGATTGAAATATTTACTGAAATCTCCAAGAACTTGAAACCGTATATGTTAGTGAAGGTCATCCTCTACACACATCCACGTTACAAAAAATGTGTTGAAGGAAGCTGTGGCCATCTCTCTGTCCCCCTTGGTGTGGTTATCTGTTTAGAAGTATATCCTAGAGGGGGCCGGGTGCTGTGGCTCACGCCTGTAATCCCAGCACTTTGGGAGGCCAAGGCAGGCAGATCACGAAGTCAGGAGATCGAGACCATCCTGGCTAACACGGTGAAATCCCGTCTCCACTAAAAGTAAAAAAAAATTAGCCGGGCGTGGTGGCAGGCGCCTGTAGTCCCAGCTACTCGGGAGGCTGAGGCAGGAGAATGGCATGAACCCGGGAGGCGGAGCTTGCAGTGAGCCGAGATTGCGCCACTGCACTCCAGCCTGGGTGACAGAGCGAGACTCCGTCTTTAAAAAAAAAAAAAAGTATATCCTCAAGGGAGAGTGTGGGTTATTGCTTTCACTCATAGGGAAGTCAGTTTCTAATCCTGTTCCATCATCAGTGATTAAATGTGGTGATGACTTCTCAGTTGAGCTCTGGTTATGGGCACATTATAAAAAAATCATTGTGTAATTTAGCACGGTCTTTGCTGAGGACTCAAGGACTTCAGTAGCAGTGAGAAGGCCAGTACAGGTCAGCCCCCGAGGTAAATTGGGAGCCCTGTCACTGGAACTCAGCTGGAGTGAGAGGTCACAGGAGGTTATGCCGGAACTGCCACAGAGGATCCCATGGGGCAAAGCTTGCCCCGTGCCTGATCCACCCGGTTGTACTTGTCTTTCTTTTCGTGTGTGCTCACATAAAACAACCGCTCCCAGCCAAATCTGTAAACTGTTCATCAGGATTGCTGTTGGATTCTCTCTTTTTTGAAAAGGGAACAATGGTGGGGATAGGGAGCATTGTAATATTTCCATCTCTTGTTCCTCAAAGTAGGTACCACCTTCCCATTATATCCGTGTTTCTTATGCTGATTGAAAATTACATAAGATACTTGGACATTTTTATTTATTTATTTATTTATTTATTGTTTGAGACAGAGTCTCTCTCTGTCGCCCAGGCTGGAGTGCAGTGGCATGATCTTGGCTCACTGCGACCTCCACCTCCCAGGTTCAAGCGATTCTCCTGCCTCAGCCTCCCGAGTAGCTGGGATTACAGGCGCGCGCCACCACGCCCAGCTGATTTTTTGTATTTTTAGTAGAGGTGGGGTTTCACCATGTTGGCCAGGCTGGTCTTGAACTCCTGACCCCATGATTTGCCCGCCTCAGCCTCCCAAAGTGCTGGGATTACAGGCGTGAGCCACCACGCCCAGCGATACTTGGGCATTTTTAGATTTGAGTTATGCTTACGTGTAAATTTGGAATCCTCGTTCTGGTTTTTTCCTGGTGCGTTTTGTTCCCCATTTCCCCAAACCCCTTTTCCGTGCTCTGTGTAGGGCCTGGATGCAGACAGTCTCCGTGTGGAGCCATTGGGTGAAGACAATTCTGGGGCACTATATTGGTATTTCTATGGAACACGAATGTACAAAGAGGACCCGGTGCAAGGAAAATCCAATGGAGAACTCTCTTTGAGCAGGTATGTTCTTCAGTGTTAGGGCATGATAGCTACTGTATTAAAATGTCATTAAGATTAAATGCATCAGAATTCTACAGCACAATTTTTTTTTCCTAATGAAGGAATTCTCTAAGCATGCCTGCAAAGAGATGGTAAGGAGATACTTCATGCAAAAACAAAAAGGAATTAATTCTCTGCTACCAGAGGGGTTAAATATACTTTTTTAATCTGAAGTTCTTGATAGGAGGTTTCTGAGAAATGCCACTCCTCTTGCCACAGGCTATTTTAATATAGCAGGTTTCTTCTCAGCAGCACAATCATTTCACTGCAGTAACAATTTCATCTTGCATCATCAGTCCTTGAGATCTCCTTATTTCGACTAGAATTAATGATGTAGTTTATGCCAGGCGCAGTGGCTCATGCCTGTAATCCCAGCACTCTGGGAGGCCGAGGCGGGCGGATCACGAGGTCAGGAGATCGAGACCATCCTGGCTAATACGGTGAAACCCTGTCTCTACTAAAAATACAAAAAATTAGCCAGGCGTGGTGGCGGGCACCTGTAGTCCCAGCTACTCGGGAGGCTGAGGCAGGAGAATGGTGTGAACCCGGGAGGCTGATCTTGCAGTGAGCCGAGATCGCACCACTGCACTCCAGCCTGGGCGACAGAGCGAGACTCCATCAAAAAAAAAAAAAAAAAAAGAATTTAATGATGTAGTTTATGAACGTTAGTATCCATCAGTTTAAGAACAGAAGGAATTTAAATGATGCCTGAAACATAAGCTTTACTAAGTAAGGAAGAGGCCGCATTTCCATAGCATCCCAAAACAATGCTAACCTCTTATTTAGGCTTTCTTACTGCTAGGAGAATGCTTACTCTTCGGAAGGTGTTAGTTAGATCTTAAGCACATTTTAGTATTGCAAAATGTTAGTTTTCCTCAGATCCACAGTCTAATAATGAAGACTGGAAGTTGCTGTTCCCTTTTCCTTTCACTGCTACATTTAATCCTTTTTGGTAATCTCATGGCCAGAAATACTGTTTTAAAATCATATGTAGCAATGCCAATCCTGTGCCAGAACATTTCTATTTAATATTATTTATTAGGGAAAGTGAAGGACAAAAAAATGTCTCAAGTATTCCTGGAAAAACGGGAAAAAGAAGAGGAAGACCCCCAAAACGGAAGAAACTGCAGGAGGAGATTCTGTTGAGGTAAGAAAATCTTGTTAGTTGTGGTCATAGACCATGGCAGAAGGGACCTTAATTCATTTATTCCTTTTTCTTTATTTTGCCTGTGCCATGGGAAGCACATTATTATAGCAACCTGAAACTGAGTCCTTATGAAATTACCACATGTGCAGTACAGTCAGGAAGCCCTTAGTGTGTGACATCTGGCAAGTCACCTCCCCTCTCTAAGCGAGTCCTCTTACTAGACGATGGATGTGCACTTAATGAGGATTATATTGAACAAGACAGTTTTTTTCATTCTTCAATTTTATATTTAATTTTAGCAAAGAAAGATACTTGGGGGATTTTCTTTTATATGTCATTATCTTCTAGGAAATTTCACCATGTGAATCTTGCTATAGGACTTTTCAAAATCTGACCTATGCTGTGTAAATACACTTTTTACTTAAGGATCAGCTCTATCACTAAGCCTATTGAAGTGAGGCTGTATTCTTAAAAATTCTGATAACTCAGGACAAGTGGCTTCTTCCCTTCCTACTTAATCTAAATGCTTGAGTTAGGCTGAATTTCACCCTGTCACTTTTTAACCACTAAGAAATATTTCTGGGAAATCAGATTAAGAATATAGATCACTCAGGAGATCGAGACCATCCTGGCTAACACGGTGAAACCCCGTCTCTACTAAAAATACAAAAAATTAGCCAGTCGTGGTGGCGGGTGCCTGTAGTCCCAGCTACTCGGGAGGCTGAGGCAGGAGAATGACGTGAACCTGGGAGGCAGAGCTTGCAGTGAGCCGAGATTATGCCACTGCACTCCAGCCTGGGCGACACAGCGATACTCCATCTCAAAAAAAAAAAGAATGTAGATCACTCAGATCCTGATTTTAACTCAATCAGCATCCACTTAACTTTACAGAAGTTCAGCTTCAGATTGCAGCTGCCTATTTCTTGCTTATCCGTTTCTGTGACAAATGTCCTGTAATTACTTAACGTTTTATGTATCAACACCTGTTTCCGGGTTTGTTAGGATTTCACACGTCCTTCGATATTCAGAAAGCTGCATGATACCTGTCTCCGTTTCCCCATAAGTATCAAGAATCACAGTAGCTTAGGGTTGGGACTGTAGAATCATTTTAACAAGCATCCATGGACTTGTGCTACCCTCTACTGGTGACTTTTTTCCTTTAGAGCTGTGTGTGTAAGCCAGTATTTAAATATTTTTTCATTAAATTTAAAATTCAGTTTCTGGTTCACGCTGGCCACGTTTCAGATGCTCAGCAGCCACATGGTTTATTGGATAATGCCAATATAGAACATTTTCATTCTCATAGAAACTTTAATCGAAAACAAGCGAAAAGTCCACAGAGTGTCCTTTCTGTTTCAGGGATACAAGTGAAAATGATACTTCATCCTAATGCGTTATACACTTTGCATTTTGTCATTTAATCTCCAACGTCCCTGTGAGGTAGGCACTATTAATAGCTCCATTTTGGGGGAAAGTTAATTAACTTTCCTGAGGTCACATTGTAAGTGGCACAGCTTGAATAGAGGCATTCCCCCTTCGGAGCCCATGCTCTTAACCCTCTGCCTTAGGTAAGGATCAATTATAATAAATACACCTGTCTTCAGTGCGGCCCTGAATCAGGGAGGAGGACATTGGAATCCCTACAGTTCTTTTTTCTTGGCATTTAATTATTAACAGTTGCATCTCTCTCTTGACTGGAGCAGTGATAAAAAACAAGAACAAACAAACAAAAAAAACAGTGCATCTGTTTGATTTCCAAAAAAAGCTTTAAAAGTTACTGTTTTCTGGCTGGGCACGGTGGCTCACGCCTGTAATCCCAACACTTTGGGAGGCCAAGGCAGGCAGATCATGAGGTCAGGAGTTCAAGACCAGCCTGGCCAACATGGTGAAATCCCGTCTCTACTAAAAAATACAAAAATTAGCTGCACCTGGTGGCGGGTGCCTATAGTCCCAGCTACTCAGGAGGCTGAGGCAGGAGAATCATTTGAACCTGGGAGGCGGAGGTTGCAGTGAGCTGAAATCGCGCCATTGCACTCCAGCCTAAGTGACAGGGCAAGACTCCGTCTCAAAAAAATAAAAATAAAAAATAAAAGTTACTGTTTTCTTATGCATTGATACTGTTGCCATAACATAGGGTAGCTGTATGTCAGTACTTCCCTCCTAGACCAGCATGCCTGCATCTTAGTGTTCATTTATTCAGCGTTCCGCCTCCAAGCCTTGTCCCCTTAACACACACACATACACTCTCTTTGTGTTAAATTAATGGGTTCTACCATCCTGGGGTGGCACAGAACAATTTTGGACCTGTCTTTGTTTTAATTGGCACCTCTTTTTCCTGTGTTTCAGTGAAAAGCAGGAAGAAAATTCCTTGGCATCCGAGCCACAGACAAGACATGGTAATGTTCTTTACTGGCATTTAGAAAGAATTAAATAAATATGATTCATTTATGCTAGGGTGTTGACTCTTTTTCTAGAGTCATACAAAGTAAAGGTTATTGCAATAGCCTTTTACCTACCCCCTGTACTCTTCTTCAGTTCTCCTCCTCACACCTTATCCTGTGCCCAGCTCATCATCTGACTAAGGATTAAGATCAGAACTAGATCTTTTCACTAGTGCCCTGTTTACTGGGGACAGTGTAATAGACACCTTAACGTTGGAGTGAATAACCAGCTTCTCAAAGAGAGGTCTTTTTAATGTCAGTGCTTCATGACACAATGGTTTCCTTATAGGTTTACTACATACTGGTTTCCTACCTAGATTTTAATTTTGTAATCCAAATAACATAAAAATGGGAGGCACATACCAGTTTGCACAGTGTAGTTGAGGCAGGGTAGACTCAGCAAAGACTCAAAATCAAAACCATTTCTGTCAATATATTTAATCATTTCTAGACTGTGAATATCTATCTTGTTAAATTCACAGTAGTTATATTTGTATTGCCTTTAGACATTACATTTTTTTTTAGTTGTTAACAATGACTTTAACAGGAAAACCAGAAGTATACATTGTCAACTTTAAAGTCAAAAAGAGGCCATTGTGGCGGCTCATGCCTGTAATCCCAGCACTTTGGGAGGTCGAGGTGGATGGATCACTTGAGGTCGGGAGTTCGAGACCAGCCTGGCCAACATTGTGAAACCCCATCTCTACTAAAAATACAAAAATTACCTGGGCGTGGTGGCAGGCACCTGTAATCCCAACTACTCGGGAGGCTGAGGCAGGAGAATCACTTGAATCCAGGAGGCGGAGGCTGCAGTGAGCTGAGATGGTGCCCCTGAACTCCGGCCTGGACAACAGAGCAGGACTCTGCCTCTAAATAAATAAATAAATAAATAAATAAATAAAATTTAAAAGTAGGCCAGGTGCAGTGGCTCACACCTGTAATCCCAGCACTTTGGGAGTTCGAAGCAGGCAGATCACTTGAGCTCAGGAATTAGAGCCCAGCCTGGACAACATGGCAAAACCCTGTCTCTACGAAAAATACAAAAGTTTAGCTGGATGTGCTGGTACACACCTGTAGTCCCAGCTACTTGGGGGGTGCTGAGATGGGAAGATGGCTTGAGCCCAGGAGGTGTAGGTTACAGTGAGCTGAGATGGCACCACTGCACTCCAGCCTGGACAATAGAGCCAGACGTTGTCTCAAAAAAAATAAAATTAAGTAATAGGTCTCTTTTTTGAGTTCCTTATTTTATTTTTTTTATTTTTATTTATTTATTTATTTGAGACGGAGTCTCACTCTGTCGCCCAGGCTGGAGTGCAGTGGCGTGATCTCGGCTCACTGCAAGCTCCGCCTCCCGGGTTCACGCCATTCTCCTGCCTCAGCCTCCCGAGTAGCTAGGATCACAGGCGCCCGCCACCGCGCCCGGCTAATTTTTTTTTTTCTATTTTTAGTAGAGACGGGGTTTCACCGTGTTAGCCAGGATGGTCTCGATCTCCTGACCTCGTGATCCGCCCGCCTCGGCCTCCCAAAGTGCTGGGATTACAGGCTTGAGCCACCGCGCCCGGCCGAGTTCCTTATTTTAGTCATGACCCACAGTAGAAACAAAATTGAGAATAAATAAGGAAAGGTCCTCATGGGATCTCCTGTAGTGAATCCGTTCCTTTATTTTCTAGGGTCCCAAGGGCCAGGCCAAGGTACTTGGTGGCTCCTGTGCCAGACAGAAGAGGAATGGAGACAGGTCACCGAGAGTTTTCGCGAGAGGACCTCCCTTCGAGAACGGCAGCTCTACAAGCTCCTCAGTGAGGACTTCCTGCCTGAGATCTGCAACATGATCGCCCAGAAGGTGCGCCACACTCTCTGCTCTGTCCTCCTCAGTGTTAGGCCTGATGCTGCATTATTTAAGGATTATTCATGAGACCTTCCCCATACACCCCACTGTCCTGGAAATAGTGCAGTCTTCCATCCTGTCTGAACTCCAGTGTTAGAATGGGACCTCATGCCACCCCCTCTCCTTCACTGTGGGTCCTATCATGTTCTCCTTCCCCCAGAAAGTCCTCAGTGTCTACCACCCACCAATAGTGACGGTGGCTTTTCACAGCCTGGAACCAACTTTCCTTCTCCCATACACTCCTCAGGAAACATTCCTTGAGTCCCTGTGTAATGCTTTAAAAAAAAAAAAAATCTTGTGGGTTTGTCTTTGTCCTTGTAGCTCCATTGCCAGCCCTTTGCCTGGCTCTACCTGATTGTGTCCTCTTCACCAAATTCAGGGCAAGCTATAGTCTCATAAACCATATGCCCCATATTATCATGCATGTACACCCTACTTCATGCATTTTCAAACATCCTTCATCCTCTTTTTCCTTTTTTTTTTTTTTTTTTTTTTTGAGTCTCTCTCTGTCTCCCAGGCTGCAGTGCAGCGGTGCAATCTGAGTTCACTGCAACCTCTGCCTTCCAAGTTCAAGCGATTCTCCTGCCTCAGCCTCCTGAGTAGCTGGGATTATAGGCTCACACCACCACCACGCCCAGCTAATTTTTTGTGTTTTTAGTAGAGACAGGGTTTCACCATTTTGACCAGGCTGGTCTAGAACTCCTGACCTCAAGTGATATACCGCCTCAGCCTCCCAAAGTGCTGGGATTACAGGTGTGAGCCACTGCACCCGGCTTTTTTTTTTTTTTTTTTTTTTTTAAGGACAAGCTCTCTCACTTTGTCGCCCAGACTGGAATGCAGTAGTGTGGTCACAGCTCACTGTAGCCTCGATTTGCCAGGCTCATGTGATCCTCTCATCTCAACCTCCCAAGTAGCTGGGGACACAGGCTCGTGCCACCACACCCAGCTAATTATTTTTTATTTTTTGTAGAGACGAGGTCTTGCTCTGCTGCCTAGGCTTGTCCCAAACTCCTAGCCTCAATCTATCCTTCTGTCTTGGCTTCCCAAAGTGCTGGGATTATAGGCATGAGCCACTGTGCCCAGCTTTTATTGCTTTAAGACAGGGTCTTGCTCTATTTCCCAAGCTGGAGTACAGTGGTGCAGTCATAGCTCACTGCAGCCTCAATCTCCCAGGCCGAAGTGATCCTCTCGAGTAGCTGGGCCTGCAGGCACATGCCACCACGCCTGGCTAATCTTTTAATTTTATCTGTGCGTAGGGTTTCCCTATGTTGCCTGGGCTGGTCCTGAACTCCTGGGCTGAAGCACTCTTCCTGTCTTGGCCTCCCAAAGTGCTGGGATTACAGGTGTGAGCCACCACACCTGGCCCCCTCTCTACTTCCTTACCCATTTAAATACTACTCTCTCAAAAGCCTTACTTAAATGTCACTACGTCCATGAACTGTCCTTGTTTCCCCCAGCCTTTTGTCGCTTAACATGTTTCTTTATGCTTATTTTATATCTTTGTGAGTTCAGGCTTCTTCATCTCAAGGACCATGTCTTATCTTTTTAACAGCCACGACACTTAATGTCATTTCTTTTCATGTTTTTTTGTTTGTTTGTTTGTTTGTTTTGAGACAGAGACTCGCTCTGTCACTCAGGGTGGAGTGCAGTGGCACAATCTTGGCCCCCCGCAGCCTCCACCTCCTGGGTTCAAGCGATTCTCATGCCTCAGCCTCCCAAGTAGCTGGGACTATAGGCGTGCGCCACCATGCCTGGCTAATGTTTTTATATTTTTAGTAGAGATGGGGTTTCGCTGTGTTGGCCAGGCTGGTCTTGACTCCTGGCCACAAGTGATCCACCCACCTTGGCCTCCCAAGTGTTATGATTACAGGCGTGAGCTACCACGTTTAGCCTGCCTTGCCTTTTCTATGGTGGTTGGTTGATAATTATTCAGTTTGCTTATTTCATATCGATAATAATATTTCTGATTATTGATACATGTTAATAGAGGACCAGAAATATTTGACCACTTGCCAGTGAAATATGAAGAGAAAGTATTTGTAAATCATCACTGCAGTACCTACAGGGAGGCAAACATGTCAAATGTATTATTTAATTTATTGTAGATCTGGTGCTGTGTCTAACCCTTAAGCAGGTTGATGCTTTAGGGAAAGTCCTAGAAATTACCTTTCTCTAATAACGGGAACTTACAAACAGTGCTTCAAGACTTCCGCCGTCCTGGATGATCCAGAAAACCTCCGTTTCACCATCGGTGTACTTAAGTTCATGTACGATAATTGCATTCTGTTTTTGTGATCAGCAATTCACTGCAACAATTTTTCTAGGAATTAAAATATATAATCTAATTTTCTTAAAGTAACAATGATGTAAAGAGATAGTTTTTATGACTTTGTGTAACCTTGCATATGACTTTATTGATATCATCAGTCATGGCACATTAAATTATCTGGAAATATACCCAGTCACCTTAAGCCTTCTTTTATCATTTCTGCTTTTTTACTGCTATATTCAGCCTAACATTTTGGGGGATAGAAGAATTAAGGGGAAAAAAAACTTAAAGCATAAAACTGATGATTTTGATTAAAAATTTCAAGCATTGATTCTTTTCAAAAGGAGAAAAATTCAAATAAGGTAACCCTTAAATAGGGTAATCTTTAAATACAATTTTCAAGAACCATGGAGTTGCAGACCAGAAAGAAATAATGGATTTGATATTTTCAAAGAAATAGATAGTGCTTTTAAGTTCAAAAACCTCAATGAAGTCCTATTAACCAGAAGAATAGTATAGTAAGAAAAATCTAAATTGGGAAGTAGAAAATCTTAGCAGACTAATAATTAGGGAGTTCTCACAGAAGGATCGATTTATTCACAGGTAAAGTTTTCTAAACCTTCAAGGAAAAGATAACTTCCAAACATTTCCAAAATGAAAGAAATAACTGGAAGCTACTCTGTTCGTTCTGATATAGATATCTTTGAACGCCATACCTGATAAAATTAAACATACTCTCCTCATTCCATAGTATATACAATAATGCCCCAAGTAACCATGTTTTGGTCAATGACAAACCATTTATACCACTGTGGTCCCATAAGATTATAATTGAGCTGAAAATTTCCTATCGTCATAGCCTTTATGACACTGTAGCACAATTCCATTTCTTTTTATAAATTGAGTGCAGCCTGAATGCATTGTGTTTACAAGGTCTACAGCAGTGTACTGTAATGTCCTAACCTTCACATTCACACCACTCAGTCACGGACTCAGCAGAGCAACTGCCAGTCCTGCAAGCTCCATTCATGATAAGTGCCCTATCTCGGTGTGTCAGTTCTTAAATCTTTTATACTGTATTTTTACTGCACCTTTTCTATTTATGTATGTTTAGATACACAAATACTTTACCATTGTGTGTCTGGGATTGTAAGTAGTAGGCTACACCACCTAGGAGCAATAGGCTATATATCCTGTAGTCTGGGTGTGTAGTCGGCCCTACCATCTAGGGTTGTATATAGTAGACTACACCATCTAGGAGTAATAGGCTATACCCCATAACCTAGGTGTGTAGCACACTACATCGTCTAGGGTTGTAGTAGGCTATACCATCTAGGACCCTCAGGCTGTACCCCATAGCCTAGCTGTGTAGTAGGCTATGCCATCTAGTCCCTGAATTCTATATTGTTGAAAACATAACAAAATCACCTAAGAATGTGGTTTCTCAAAATATATCCTCATTGTTAAGTATAACACATGACTGCGTGTCAGATTGTTAATAGCGAGAAGTAAAAGCTGTCTTGTTACCAAAAGAGTAATGTTTGAGACTATCTTACTGGTAATACTGTTTTGCAGTCTTATCCAGTGTAACACAATAAAGAATAGTAAGATGCAACATTTAAAAATGTTGACCTGGGGCCAGGGACGTGGTGGCTCATGCCTGTAATCCCAGCACTTTGGGAGGCCGAGGCGGGTGGATCACCTGAGGTCTAGAGTTCAAGACCAGCCTGGCCAACATGGCAAAACCCCATCTCTACTAAAAATGCACAAATTAGTCAGGCATGGTGATGGGTGCCTGTAATTCCAGCCACTCAGGAAGCTGAGGCAGAAGCATTGCTTGAACTCAGGAGGCAGAGGTTGCAGTGAGATGAGATCGCACCACTGCACTCCAGCCTGGGCGACAGATGGAGAAAAAAAAAGAAAAGAAAATGCAGTGTGTAATGGAGGCACAAGAAACGGGGCAGTGGAAGAGGGGTTAATGTGGTATGTGGAAGAGTCAGGAGCTTTTCTTTCAAACCTGCTTAAATTATGACACTCCCCTGTCCTGTCCCTTGGATAAGTTTCTTGATACCATTCCATTTCACCTTGTTTCTTTTCTTTTTTTTTTTTTTAAACAGAGACAGGGACCTTACTCTGTTACCCAGGCTGGAGTGCAGTAGCGTGATCATAGCTCATTGTAACCTTGAATTCCTGGGCTCAAACGATTCTCCTCCCTCAGCCTCCTGAGTACCTGGACTATAGGCACACACCACCACGCCCAGTTAATTTTTTAATTTTTTGTAGAAGTGGGGTCCATTTCAGTTTTCTTATTAGTAAAATGAAATGCTATCACTTGACAGAAGTTTTTGTTTAATTACAAAGAACCCATGTCAATGTACAGAGCATAGTATTTGGCAATCAAAAGACACTACTCGGTCCTCTCCCATTGTTTATGGTAGTGGATAATTGATGAGAAACCTTGATAGAAAACTAAACCCACATTTTATAGTAACATAAAGGCAATAATGGATGACGTTAATCCTTCTCTGTCCGCCATCAGAAGATTTGATACATCTTTGTTGAGGTATTATATGATCGTCCTCTAAACTTTGAAATAATTAACAGAAGGTAAGTCCTGCTGTGATGGCCATATAAAAGTTTACTTAAACCTTTTTTTTGTTTGTTTAAATAAAAGGCGATGTAGATACTGGTAGAGCTTGTTGCTCATGTTACAGAATATACAGCTTTATAAACTTTAATTTCTCAACAAATAAATTGACTAAGGGTATAGATGGTTTACAGATGCGGCGATGGGAAAGTGCGTAGGGAAACATTCACGTTCTGTATCAAGAATAGCATTTTTCTCATTCGTAGCTTTTATCTGATTTGGCAGGGTTGAAGTGAAGCTGGCATTGTCATTTTTGCAACTATCATGGTAAACTGGCATAATCCCTTTGGAAGGCAGTTCCCTGATAAGTTTTTACTGTACTTAAAGTTGAAGAGATCTTGTTAGAGTCTTGAGGCTTATAAAATAATCGCTATCTCAGTGCTTTGGGAGTCCAAGGTGGTACGATTGTTTGAGGCCAGTAGTTTGAGGCTGCAGTGAGTTATGATTGCACCACTGCACTCCATCCTCGGCGACAGAACAAGAACCTATGAAAAAAAAAAAGAGCTTATAGGTATATTTCAGGAAACTGCTGGGCTAGGTTTTTCGGGACAAGTACTTAAAGAAGGTCATGACAGCGTTTGATAATTGGGCTTGCATTTGCATTAGGCACTAGTCATTCTCTTTTTCTTTCTTTCTTTTTTTGAGATGGAGTCTCGCTCTGTCGCCCAGGCTGGAGTGCAGTGGCATGATGTCGGCTCACTGCAAGCTCCGCCTGCCAGGTTCAAGCAATTCTCCTGTCTCAGCCTCCTGAGTAGCTGGGACTACAGGCACGCACCACCATGCCTGGCTAATTTTTTGTGTGTGTGTTTAGTAGAGATGGGGTTTCACCATGTTGGTCAGGATGGTCTTGATCTCCTGACTTCGTGATCCGCTCACCTCGGCCTCCCAAAGTGCTGGGATTACAGGCGTGAGCCACCCCACCCAGCCCGAAACAGAAAAGCTTTCTAAAGTTGCTGACTCACTAAATGTACCCCCGTGGCTTTGCGGTATGTTTAAGTTGTATAAACCACCCCTTCTTGTCATTTTCTATCCTATAATTCCTTACCTAATGGATTAAGTGGTGCCAGAACTGACCCTGGAGAATGCAGATTTTTGATGCGGAAGTCACGGAAGTTATGTTATCTTAAGGGAAGGCCTTTGCTTGTTACCTTTTAGTAGTAGGTTACAGTTGGTGATGCCATGGGGCTCATTCCTCACAAATTGCAAAACTTACATGTGCTAATAAACCTTGGCCTTCAAAAGTAGTAACCTAGATACAAGTAGTTCTCCATGCTCTTTCTTTGAAATTTCCTATAAGGACTGCTTTCCAGCCTGGTGCATTTCCTTGGCACTCACCGCATTCTGCTCGCTGAGCCCTTTTCCCACCCCTGCTCTCTCCCTGGCTTCCCCTCCTGGGCAACTGCTCTCACTTCTCACTGCTGCCACTGTGCTGCCTTTGCCCGGCGGCCCACCTCCGGCTGCTCCTGATGCCCCCTCCCAGAGCCGCCCCTTCAGCTGAAGGTGATAAAGCATGGCTTTCCCTTTGTAATTTGGGAAGATAATTTTTTTTTTTTTTTTACTGTTTAAACTGTTAAGGGAGTTTTTTGCCAGTGATACATATTATAAAAGACACTTGTTTGTCTCCAAGTTTTTGTTTTTATTTTTTCAAGAGAATAAACTGGCTTCTGTCCCTACACAGCTGAGCAGTGGTTCCTGATTGTCCTAAGGAAGCCTTTGGCCCTAACCTGTGTGCCTCATTGGCCACTTTTTTACTGGCGGCAGCAGCAGCAGCAGCATCAGTAGTTGAGAACACCCTAATCTATCTTTTCCTTTCTCTTCTTCACTTCTAACTATAGGGAAAACGTCCACAGCGCACAAAGGCAGAGTTGCATCCTAGGTGGATGTCTGACCACCTGTCCATCAAACCCGTCAAGCAAGAGGTGAGTGTGGGTGAGAGTAGCGAGGAGGAGCTTTCCTGATGAAAGAGACGGATCCTTTTCATGTACTTCCATTCCTGCCTTTTTATTTTCCTTCATTTTTTTTCCTAAACCCCAAATGTTTATTTAGCAATCTTATGCTTAAGATACATTTCTAGAAAGAGAAAGAATTAGAAGACGTGAGGCCACACTCTGGTTCTGACAATCTCCTGGGATGGTAGGCATGTCCACATTTAATAAGAATACGTACTGCAATAGGTGCATGTATAGGAGCAGTTCACAAATGCAAAGATGGGAGGATGTAGAGCTGGGCAACGGAAGGAGAATTTGAGTAGGCAGAGCCATATTTGACCTGAATCCTGAGATGGCTGGGATTGATGGAAGGGGAGCAAAGAGGGTGGGAGAGGTGGGGCAGAAGGCATCCCACACTACAGGAGTAGTAGAAACAAAAGCACAGAGACAGGAAATTATATAAATTTATATAAAATGATATAAATATATATGGTCAAAAAACAGTATATATTAGAGCCAAGCACAGGTAGCTCATGCCTGTAATCCGAGCACTTTAAGAGGCCAAGGCAGGTGGATTTCTTGTACTCACGAGTTCAAGACCAGCCTGGCCAACATGGCAAAACCCCATCTCTACTAAAAATACAAAAATTAGCTGGGTGTGGTGGCGGGCACCTGTAATCCCAGCTACTCGGGAGGCTGAAGCAGGAGAATTGCTTGAACCCAGAAGGCGGAGGTTGCAGTGAGCTACGATCGCACCACTGCACTCCAGCCTGGGCAACTTCAGAGTTTCACTCTGTCTCAGAAAAAAAAAAAAAAAAAGAAAGAAAGAAAAGAAAACCTGAGAGTTTGTGGCAAGTTTGTTGTTTTGTTTCTAATTGGAGATGTAGCATGGACCTGAAAAGGGTCCAGGAATGAGAGAGCGTGGATCTGGCTGATCTGTGGGGAGATGAAATTCTTAGGTGTCAAGACCTCGCCATGGAGGGTAGATAATCACATTTCTTCTAAGACACAAAGCAAAACAACATAAATGGGAGGGCAGGGAAATGTTTAGGTCACATGAAAGAGAGAGGGCATCATGTGGGAGTTTGAGATATAATGTTAGGTGAAGAAAGAATATTTGGTGCAACCACTAATTAAAAGAGTTGTCCAAGGAGCATTCTGGAGCTGACTGTGTTTCGGCATTTTCATTCTGTAGTGTAGCTCAGGAGCCTGAAGCAGGAGATTTACTTGAGCCTAGGAGTTTGAGACCAGCCTGGGCAACATAGCAAGACCCCACCTCTGAAAAAAAATAGTTAAATTACTTTATCACATCACATCACACTGTAGGAAGGGACAACACTTTTTAACCGTTTATCCTTTGGGCACTCTTTCATCGAATATTTAAACAGTTCAGTGATCGTAGAGAGTTTTGAGTTAAGGGACAGTAGTTTTACTCTGGACCATGTCTTTGAATTGTTACGTTACGGAGCCTTCCTTTTGCCTTTCAGTAACATTTTCATGGATCTTAAATTTGAGTGACGACACGATGTTCTATTACAGAGATCTTGTCAGTAACTAAACACATTCTACCTTGAGCCCTGAAAAGGGAAAGCTAATTTATAAATTTGTATTTACTTCAGTATATTTTGATTTCACATCTGTCTCTTTTTAACTCAGAGATGTGTCTTGCCCGATGTTTAATTACCTGGGGGTTGACAATTCTATTCATGATTGACCTCCCTTCTCCAGTATCCTCTTCCTCCTAGCAGTCACTAATTTCAGAGTGGCCTTTGGTCCCTGGTATTCAGCCATGTTCTCAAATGGTTTTCTAGCCTGGCCTTGTTGGGCTCTCTCTGCTGTCTTTATTACCTTGACAGTTCACACCTCCTTGCAAGCTCCCTTTTCTGTTTACTGTTCACTGCTCTGAGTATTCCTAGATGCCATAACTTAACACTTCAGACTGCATAGCAGGCTGAATAGACTGAAACGTCCTTCATTGCTCCAAGCAAAACTTTGGCATCAAACACTAAAATTTCTTCTTTTATTCTTGGCAGTGTTTGAGCTTTCTTTTATTCTACTCTTCAGTTCGAACAAAAAGAAACCACAGTATTACAGAGACTGTAAACTATCTGTTGTGGTCCCCGATATCCTGGAGAAACCCTTAGTGGTGACATGACTTTTTAAGCATGGAGGCAGGGTTTCTGGCCTCTATTGGTCACTCAGCAGTCCAAACTTATTGCCTGATAAAAGACTTTGAGTTGTGACTTCTTGGGGAAAATATCAGTGAGGGGAGACTGTCTCGCTGAACTCAGGGATTCGGGATGCAGTGGTTATTTTTGTCCGGACACTTTGGTCATTGCTGTTGCTAGGGAGCTGTTTGTTGGGTGTTCGTCTCAAATGTGCTGCTAACGGGAGCAAGGGTGCCAGCAAGTCTGATACCTGCCCTCAGAGAGGGGAGCGTGTAAGGGCACAGCATGTTGGGCATTGCTTAAACCAGGGGTTCTGTTGAATCGTCCTTGACTGGATTTTAAAGTGTTGTTTCTCATTAGCTTCTCATTAAAAACCCCCTTGATTCTAGCAGGACTCTTATCTGTAAAGCATTCCTACACCAACATCTCTACCATTTGCAACTGACCCCACCTTTTAAAGAAAAAAATTGCAGCCTAAGACAGTATCACATTTTTGTAACTGTGCAGGTTTATTTTTGCTTGGCCAGTTGTCATTCATTTGGTTGTACTGGTTCTTTAATAGTTAAAACACTACAAAAAGTGAGTCCTGTTTTTTAGTGGTGTTTTCATCAAGACTTGCTTTACCTTGCATCAGCCTAGTGCTGAAAATCAGCAGAGGAATTTTAAAACAGACTTGTGGGCCAGGCGCGGTGGCTCACGCCTGTAATCCCAGCACTTTGGGAGGCCGAGTTGGGCAGATCACAAGGTCAGGAGATCGAGACCATCCTGGCTAACACGATGAAACCCCGTCTCTACTAAAAATACAAAAAATTAGCTGGGCGTGGTGGTGGGCGCCTGTAGTCCCAGCTACTTGGGAGGAGAATGGCGTGAACCCGGGAGGCAGAGTTTGCAGTGAGCCAAGATCGCACCACTGCACTCCAGCCTGGGCGACAGAGCAAGACTCCGTCTCAAAAAAAAAAAAAAAGAAAAGCAGATTTGTTGTTCACAACATAGATTTTTTTTTTCTCATATGTGTGTAATGTCATTTAGGTAAAATTGTAATTGTTGAGAATTCACATCAGATGGGAAACTGCTAAAATGGTAAAATGGTAACCCATGCTGATGAAAGAAAAAAGGCCCAGAGAAATGTGAGGCAGACATATTCAGCTAAGCAGGAGGTGTTTACAAGTGCAGGGCCGTGCTGGAGGAGGGGGCAGATTGTGGAGAAAGTGGTCTGAGACAGGTGGAGCAATAACTAGGGGGACAGATGGCATCCGCAAGGGCAGGAGCCACAGCTGGGCGTGGCCGGTGCAGGCTCCCACCTGCCCACCATGTCTTTATAGAAAATGTGGAGACTACATGTAGAAAACTGTAAAAGACCTGGTAATCCCACAACTCAGGAATCATTACTATTTACGTTTTTACGTATTTGCTTCAGGCTTTTCCTCTATGCATTTATTGCATATTGAGCATTATATTTAAGATACTTTGTGATCAGTATATTGAGACATTCATACATTTCAAGAATTGTTTAAATTCTGATACCCAGATTTAAGCGTGTGAACATGTGATGAGATTTTTAAGCATACAATAAAAGCTGTTTATAATTTGCTGCACTACCAACCTTTTTTTTTTTTTTTTGAGACGGAGTCTCGCTCTGTCACCCAGGCTGGAGTGCAGTGGCACAATCTGGGCTCACTGCAAGCTCCACCTCCCAGGTTCAAGCCATTCTCCTGCCTCAGCCTCCCAAGTAGCTGGGACTACAGGCGCCCGCCACCACGCCCGGCTAATTCTCTGTATTTTTAGTAGAAATGGGGTTTCACCGTGTTAGCCAGGATGGTCTCGATCTCCTGACCTCGTGATCCACCCGCCTTAGCCTCCCAAAGTGCTGGGATTACAGGCGTGAGCCACCACGCCCGGCCAGTACCAGCCTTAAATTAGTTACTTTGGGGGGCGTAAGTCAAATGGTTTAAACTGTGAGCCTGTTGAACATACCTAAGGAATACCTTCCTATATTATATATGTATGTGACTTCTTCGTGTAAAGGTTTTTTCACTTGAATTTCTATGTTACCTGGCTCTGGAAGTCACTACTCAGGAGCTTATGGTCCAAAGAGGAGAGGGACAGATAACCAGGATTGATCAAAATATAGAGATATATATATATGGATATATATCCATACACACACACATATTTACAGTTATGTACATACATATACACATTTATTATATTATATGTGTATACATTTTATATGTATATATACATATATACATGTATGTACATGCACCTGTGTGTACACATGGATGGCACAGCAGAAGGGAACACAAATCTCGAAGTGCAAGCCCTCAAGAAGCAGCATATTACGATAAATCCCTTCTTTAGAAAAGTATTGATATGGTTTGGCTCTGTGTCCCCACCCAGAGCTCATCTCAAATTGCAATCCCCACATGTCAGGAGAGGGGCCTGGTAGGAGGTGATGAATCATGGGATGGACTTCCCCCTTGCTGTTCTTGTGATGGTGTGTGAGTTCTCAGGAGATCTGGCTGGTGTTTTGTTTTGTTTTGTTTTGAGACGGAGTTTTGCCCAGACTGGAGTGCAATGGCACCATCTCGGCTCACTGCAACCTCCGTGTCCTGGGTTCAAGCTATTCCCCTGCCTCAGCCTCACGAGTAGCTGGGATTACATGCACCTGCCACCACGCCTGGCTAATTTTGTATTTTTAGTAGAGATGGGGTTTCTCCATGTTGGTCAGGCTGGTCTTGAACACCCGACCTCAGGTGAAATGCCCGCCTCGTCCTCCCAAAGTGCTGGGATTACAGGTGTGAGCCACTGCGCCCAGCTGATCTGGTTGTTTATTGTTTTTTCGGGGTTTTTTTGAGACGGAGTCTCACTCTGTCGCCCAGGCTGGAGTGCAGTGGCGTGATCTCAGCTCACTGCAACCTCTGCCTCCCGAGTAGCTGGGATTATAGGCGCCTGCCACCACGCCTGGCTAATTTTTGTATTTTTAGTGGAGTCGGGGTTTCACCATCTTGGCCAGGCTGGTCTCGAACTCCTGACCTCGTGATCCACCCTCCTCAGCCTCCCAAAGTGCTGGGATTACAGGCGTGAGCCACCGCGCCTGGCCAAGATCTGGGTGTTTTAAAGTGTGTGGCACATCCCCCATCGCACATGCGCACTTGCGCTTTCTGGCTCTATCTCTCTTGCTTCGCTGTGCTAAGACGTGCTTCCTTTCCCCTCACCTTCCGCCACGATTATAAGTTTCCTGAGGCCTCCCAGTCATCCTTTCTATACAGCCTGTGGAATTGTGAGTCAATTAAGCCTCTTTGCTTCATATATCCCAGTCTCATGTAGTTCTTTATAGCAGTGTGAGAACGGAGGAATACCGGTATCATTTCTACCACTGATACCACAGGTTAAGTTATATATTATGCCATCTTCGAGTAACACTTGAAGCCACACAATAAATGCAAAGGCATTACAATGAATCCCACTTAATACAAATAACTATATAGACCAACACTGCTCTACAAATTTAGCTTGGGTCTTTTTCTAATGGCCGGTTAAATACAGTTTTAATTTCGTAGGTTAATGGTGAAGGTTCATACACTGAAGCCAGTACGTATACCTAGCATTGCTTTTCAGCCTAAACTTATCCACGTACACAACTCAGTTACAAGGCTTGGCCTTAAAATGCTAGGAGAGCTTCTTAAAGTAGTTTTTACAGGTATTAAATTTCGTCTTGCACACCGAAGTCATCGTACATAACAGGGCAAAGTCAGAGTTTTTATCATTGCGTTTATTCTTCATTTACCTTTAAAACACTTCTCTAGCTGAATATTTAAAACAATAGGAAGCAGTGAGCATATTATGGTTACAGGCCTTCACTCAGTCACTGTTGCAGATAAAATGCCAGCAGTGAGTGTTACTCACTGGCCCAGTTAAGGGCTTTGACACTGACCACCTCTTCTGGGGAGATGGTGTTCCTTGCCCTCATATGCTTCTCCATTGTAATGCTGCCATCTTTGCTGATTTGCCTCAGAGCCCACCAGTTCTTTTTGATCATCCCATCAGTCTCTTCTACTTCCTTTCTACCAGGTAGAAGTTTTTCCAGCAAAGAGAGTTTATTAGGAGAGAGAGCCATTCTGAGGAGCGTTTACATAAATTAAGTGATTAGGCGACGCTTTGCATACGGTGTGCAGTAAATTGGCATTCCTTCATTTAGCACACACTTGATGTCCCCGTGCTTGACATTCTGACCTGGACCATGGTTCAGTCTTGAAAGCAGATGTTAGCGTTTGGGAGTCACACAGTGTTTCAGCCAGCTGTGTGTCTGTACACAGGAAAAGGTCTTCTCCCTGTCAAGTAAAAACAGCATGGTCTTTCTGTTCTACCCCAGTGGTAATGTTTCCTGGCTCCAGTTCTGGTCTTGGTATCCTTCACCACGGAATGTTATCTTCTGGCCATCTTTCATGCCTTTGTCAATATGGACTTCTAGAATCTCCTTCTCTGCAACTGTCTTCCTTCCATTGCAGCTGTCACGTCTATCTTTAGGACGGATGGTTTCCCCATGGGCTTGGCACTCCATGCACACAGATTGAATTTGCTGAACCATTCCAGGTCTTATTGATGAATTACTGTTTGCATTCAAGCACCTCAGCAGTTGGCACAGCAGGATCCTGCTCCCTTCTTAACACCTCTGCCTTCACATTTGTCACAAATCATATTCTTTTGCAGAGCCAGTTTTCTTTTTTCACCATTGGATAGATCTCCTAAGGCTACTGAGAGCTGATGTAGGAGTTTTTACCTCTCCTTTCTCTTAGTATCCTTCCTTCTCCCCCAAAAAAACTTAGCAGAGATGTCCATGGGGGAATGAGAACTGCCACCAGCCCCACCCTCTTTAATTGCCTGTCCTCCTTTGTCATAGAATTCCCTATTCTCTGCATCAGAGAGAACTTCTCAAGATTGAGAAATCCATTTAACTTCTCTCCTTCATTTAGATTCTTACCAGGGTATTACTTCAAAGCCATTTTTAAGCCTTTGTCAGTTCTTCGTGGGTAGCATTAGGTTTGACCCCCAAGATGTCATAGTAAGTGGTTTCTTTCACAATTTTCTGTAGCCAGTGAGTGGGCTGAGGCTGGTGGTGGGGAGTGGGGAGGGGCCTGTAGCTCTGTGCAGTCCGTGCAGCCACTGCTCCTCCACCTCACACCAAGCATCTGGAAAGTTCCCTCAGGTGTTTTGTGTTTTTTTTTTTTTTTTTGAGACGGAGTCTCATTCTGTCACCCAGGCTGGAGTGCAGTGGCACAATCTCAGCTTACTGCAACCTCTGCCTCCCGAGTAGCTGGGACTACAGGCGCCCGCCACCATGCCCAGCTAATTTTTTGTATTGTTAGTAGAGACAGGGTTCACCACATTAGCCAGGAAGGTCTTGATCTCCTGACCTCGTGAACCACCCACCTCGGCCTCCCACAGTGCTGGGATTACAGGCATGGGCCACCATGCCCGGCCCCTCGTGTGCTTTATATATTGTTTGTGAGTTTTGTGTTCGTGTTCCATTTGTTTGAGGGGAGCACTGTTAACTGATTGTGAGATATTACATATTAAGAATAATAAGTCATACTCATTACAGAAAAAGAATTATATATTAGTAAGATTTAGGTTATTGGCTTTTGGGTTTTTTCTCTTTCTCCCTCTCCACTGACTTAACACATGAACACTTCCTATGTTGGTTTAGATTATCAAGTCTTTTTTTTTTTTTTTGAGACATAATCTCACTCTGTTGCCAGGCTGGAGTGCAGTGGCACAATCTTGGTTCACTGCAACCTCCGCCTCCCAGGTTCAAGCGATTTTCCTGCCTCAGCCCCCCAAGTAGCTGGGACTACAGGCACACACCACCGTGCCCAGCTAATTTTTGTATTTTTAGTAAAGACAGAGTTTCACCATGTTTACCAGGATGGTCTCAATCTCTTAACCTCATGATCCACCCACCTTGGCCTCCCAAGGTGCTGAGATTACAGGCGTGAGCCACCGTGCCTGGCCAGATTATCAAGTCTTGAGTGACTTAACATTACAATTTCATGAGTAATTGGCTTGCATTTGCTCAGTCCTTATTAAAATGTTAGATTCTATTTAATGTACCCTGTACTGATGAAAGAAGAATATTTCACAGGTTTACACCTATTGTCTTTTGTTGTGGGGGAGAGTGGCCAGAATACACATAGGTAATTCTGTAAATAACTTTCATGTTTGATATATAGATATACCTGTTTTCCTCTCATTTTGGGGTCTGACATACATAAAGCATCACAATTCTCTTTCAATGAAATCTTCCCTTTGACAAGGCTCAGGTTTTTTTTTTATTGTAAGTAGGATTTTTAAATTATTATTATACTTTAAGTTCTAGAGTACATGTGCAGAATGTGCAGGTTTGTTACATAGGTATACATACATGTGCCATGTTGGTTTGCTGCACCCATCAACTCATCATTTACATTAGGTATTTCTCCTAATGCTATCCCTCCCCCAGTCCCCCACCCTCTGACAGACCCCGGTGTGTGATGTTCCCCGCCCTGTGCCCAAGTGTTCTCATTGTTCAGTTCCCACCTATGAGTGAGAACATGCGGTGTTTGGTTTTCTGTCTTGTGATAGTTTGCTGAGAATGATGGTTTCCAGCTTCATTCATGTCCCTGCAAAGGACATGAACTCGTCTTTTTGGGTTTTTTGGGCTGCATAGTATTCCATGGTGTATATGTGCCTCATTTTCTTATTCCAGTCTATCATTGATGTCCATTGATGGACAATTTGGGTTGGTTCCAAGTCTTTGCTATTGTGAATAGCGCCGCAATAAACATACGTGTGCATGTGTCTTTATAGTAGCATGATTTACAATCCTTTGGGTATATACCCAGTAATGGGATCACTGGGTCAAATGGTATTTCTAGTTCTAGATCCTTGAGGAATTGTCACACTGTCTTCCCCAATGGTTGAACCAGTTTACACTCCCACCAACAGCGTAAAAGCGTTCCTATTTCTCCACATCCTCTCCAGCATCTGTTGTTTCCTGACTTTTTAATGATCGCCATTCTAACTGGCGTGAGATGGTATCTCATTGTGGTTTTGATTTGCATTTCTCTGATGACCAGTGATGATGAGCATTTTTTCATGTGTCTTTTGGCTGCATAAATGTCTTCTTTTGAGAAGCATCTGTTCGGCCGGGCGCAGTGGCTCACGCCTGTAATCCCAGCACTTTGGGAGGCCAAGGCAGGAGGATCACGAGGTCAGGAGATCGAGACCATCCTGGCTAACACAGTGATACCCCGTCTCTACTAAAAATACAAAAAATTAGCCAGGCGTGGTGGCGGGCGCCTGTAGTCCCAGCTACTCAGGAGGCTGACGCAGGAGAATGGTGGAGCTTGCAGTGAGCCGAGATGGCGCCACTGCACTCCAGCCTGGGTGACAGAGCGAGACTCCATCTCAAAAAAAAAAAAAAGAGAGAGAGAGAGAAGTGTCTGTTCATATCCTTTGCCCACTTTTTCATGGGGTTGTTTGATTTTTTTTGTTGTTGTTAATTTCTTTAAGTTCTTTGTACATTCTGGATATCAGCCCTTTGTCAGATGAGTAGATTGTAAAAATTTTCTCCCATTCTGTAGGTTGCCTGTTCACTCTGATGGTAGTTTCTTTTGCTGTGCAGAAGCTCTTTAGTTTAATTAGATCCCATTTGTCTGTTTTGGCTTTTGTTGCCATTGCTTTTGGTGTTTTAGTCATGAAGTCCTTGCCCATGCCTATGTCCTGAATGGTAATGCCTAGGTTTTCTTCTAGGGTTTTTATGGTTTTAGGTTTTACATTTAAGTCTTTAATGCATCTTGAATTAATTTTTGTATAAGGTATAAGGAAGGGATCCAGTTTCAGCTTTCTACATATGGCTAGCCAGTTTTCCCAGCACCATTTATTAAATACGGAATCCTTTCCCTGTTACTGGTTTTTGTCAGGTTTGTCAAAGATCATATGGTTGTAGATGTGTGGTGTTATTTCTGAGGCCTCTGTTCTGTTCCATTGGTCTATATCTCTGTTTTGGTACCAGTACCATGCTGTTTTGGTTACTGTAGTGACAAGGCTCAGTATTATCTCCTCTCTTTCCCCTGCCCATGTGAGTCAACTGATACCTTATGGTGTTTTTTTGGCATCAGTATACATCTGAAAAGAGCAAAGGCAAATAGTTTTGTTTTACTTTGCTTTGTTAACTGCAGTTTCATCATATCTCAGCTGGGTAAAGATGTTGCTGGAACAATTAAGAACCTTGGAAGTGGGGTGGAAGTGAGAGCAGGGATTATGGCAAAATTTAGGGAAGGTGCTTGACAGACATTTATTCGGGAAGCAGTGGCCAGAGTTGCAGTCTTCGGGACAGTCGTCCTTGCCAAGTGTCCATAGCATCCCCTTTTCAGAATCAACATCCACCATATTGAAACTGGCCTGCTCTGGCTATAGGATAAAGATTTTATGGTTGTTATTTAATTCTGTTTGTTACACTGAGACACCTTATGGGTACAGTGTTAACGTATGCAGTTTTTATTTTTGTCCCTCCTGTTCATTCCAGATTTTTACCTGTAAACTCTTCTAAAGTCAGGCTCATAGATTTTTGAATGGTGAAAATGACATTGAGAAGTCAACTAACTGGGCCACGCGCCATGGCTCACGCCTGTAATCCCAGCACTTTGGGAGGCTGAGGTGGGCGGATCACCTGAGGTCAGGAGTTCTAGTCCAGCCTGGTCAACATGGTGAAATCCCATCTCTACTAAAAATACAAAAATTAGCTAGGCGTGGTGGTACACACCTGTAATCTCAGCTACTCGAGAGGCTAAGGCAGGAGAATCACTTGAACCCAGGAGGCAGTGTCTGCAGTAAGCCAAAATCGTGCCACTGCACTCCAGCCTTGGTGACAAAGCAAGACTCCATCTCGGGGGGAAAAAAAAAAGCCTGCTATCTAGGCAAGATCGTCTCTAAATTTGGAGTCAAATGAGAATCTAAACCAGTTTGTTTTGTTTTGTTTTGTGTTTTTGAGATAGGGTCTATCTCCCAGGTTGGAGTATTACGCCTGTAATCTCAGCACTTTGGGAGGCTGAGGTCAGAAGTTCGAGACCAGCCTGGCCAACATGGCGAAACCCCATCTCTATTAAAAATACAAAAATTAGCTGGGCGTGGTCGCAGGTACCCTGTAACTCCAGTTACTTGGGAGGCTGAGGCGAGAGAATCACTTGAACTGGGAGGCAGAGGTTGTAGTGAGCCAAGATCATACCATTGCACTCCAGTCTCACAGAGTGAGATTCCATCTCAAAAAAAAAAAAGGAACTGTGTTCTGTTGAGTGACTGTCTTTCATCCTAGTATACTTTTTAAAACTTCCTAGCGCTTTTTAAAACTTACCTTTATCGGCTGGGCACGGTGGCTCACACCTATAATCCCTCCACTTTGGGAGGCTGAGGCAGGTGGATCACGTGGTCAGGAGATCAAGACCATCCTGGCTAACATGGTGAAACCCCATCTCAAGTGAAAATACAAAAAATTAGCCGGGCGTGGTGGCAGGCGCCTGTAGTTCCAGTTACTTGGGAGTCGGAGGCAGGAGAATGGCGTGAACCCGGGAGGCAGAGCTTGCAGTGAGCCAAGATCGCACCACTGCACTCCAGCCTAGGCGACAGAGCGAGACTCTATCTCAAAAAAAAAAAAAAAAAAAAGAAAAAAAAGCTTCCCTTTATCAGATGTTAACTCTAAAGAAACACATCTCTGAACTGCCCCAGTTTCTCTTCTCTCCAGTAAATTATCCATAAGATTGTCTCCTAAATACCACAAATTATATAAATTGTTGGACACAAAAGTTTTACCATTTTGAATCTCCCTTATGTTTTAACATTTATGTATATCCATGTGTATTTTACAGATAACAAAATCAGCTTTTCGTGATATAAAGTCCCTAGCTAATATTATTTGTTGAAAATACTGAATTCAATGAACTGAGAGCAAAGAGCTTATCTTGCATGATTGTGTACTGACCGGATGTGCTCATTGGCTCCTCACAGGAGACTCCTGTGCTGACCAGAATAGAAAAACAAAAGCGCAAAGAGGAGGAAGAAGAGCGTCAGATTCTTCTAGCAGTGCAGAAGAAGGAGCAGGAGCAGATGCTAAAGGAAGAGAGGAAACGCGAGTTGGAGGAGAAGGTCAAGGCAGTGGAAGGTATGTGCAGTGTCCGCGTGGTCTGGAGAGGTGCATGTCTGTCGACCAGCCGTCCTGTAGCCAGAGCCAACTCAAGCTAAGTCCTGCCATGCATCCAAGTTGTTTCCGGCAATTTCTTTTTTTTTTTTTTTTTTTTTTTGAGACGGAGTCTCGCTGTGTCGCCCAGGCTGGAGTGCAGTGGCGTGATCTCAGCTCACTGCAAGCTTCACCTCCCGGGTTCATGCCATTCTCCTGCCTCAGCCTCCCAAGTAGCTGGGACTACAGGTGCCCACCACCACGCCCGGCTAATTTTTTGTATTTTTAGTTGAGACGGGGTTTCACTGTGTTAGCCAGGATGGTCTCGATATCTTGACCTCGTAATCTGCCCGCCTTGGCCTCCCAAAGTGCTGGGATTACAGGCATGAGCCACCATGCCTGGCCCTTTTTTTTTTTTTTTTTTTTTTTTGATACATAGTCTCACTCTGTGGCCCACCTGGAGTGCAGTGGCACAATCTTCACTTACTGCAACCTCTGCCTCAGCCTCCCGAGTAGCTAGGACTATAGGCGTGCCACCACACCCAGCTAATGTTTGTATTTTTAGAGATGGGGTTTTACCATGTTGGGCAGGTTGGTCTCAAACTGCTGACCTCAAATGATCTTGCCGCCTCGGCCTCCCAAAGTGCTGGGATTACAGGCGTGAGCCACTGTGCCTGCCCACATTAAGGATTTTAGAATTAATAAAGAAATGAGGGGTCAGGCACAGTGACTCATGCCTGTAATCCCAGCACTTTGGGAGGCCAAGGGGGGCGGATCACATGAGGTTGGGTTTTCGAGACCAGCCTGACCAACATGGAGAAACCCCATCTCTACTAAAAATACAAAAAATTAGCTGGGCGTGGTGGGGCATGCCTGTAATGCCAGCTACTCAGGAGGCTGAGGCAGGAGAATCGCTTGAACCCAGGAAGTGGAGGTTGCGGTGAGCCAAGATCGTGCCATTGTACTCCAGCCTGGGCAACAAGAGTGAAACTCCATCTCCAAAAAAAAAAAAAAAAAAAAAAAAAAAAAGAAAGGAAGGGAGGGAGGGAAAAGAAAAGAAAGAAAGAAATGATGGCTGGGCACAGTGGCTCACGCCTGTAATCCCAGCACTTTGGGAAGCCAAAGTGGCCGAATCACTTGAGGTCAGGAGTTTGAGACAGCCTGGCCAACATGGCCAAACGTGGTAGCTCACGCCTGTAATCCCAGCTACTCAGGAGGATGAGGTGGGAGAATTGCTTGAACCCCGGAGGTGGAAGTTGCAGTGAGCCGAGATCGTGCTACTGCACTCCAGCCTGGGCGACAGAGCAAGACTCTGTCTCAATAAAAAAAACAACCCTTAGTGCATATAATCTACAGGTTTAGCCTGTGTCATACTATGTAGTATATCTCACTTGTAAGATCTTCCATAATTGGCTATGTCCAGTGCCACATTTAAATTCCTCAGGACATAATAACTGGCTTTTATTTGTTTATATTTTTTAGTGGAATTGTGTTTTTTTATTTAATAGGGTCCTTATTGGGTACACCTGTCATTTTAATTTATATAGGCAGGTCCAAAACTCATTTTTATGGCTCAGTTTCTGTAATGTAAGATTAATAATGCCTGTATTGTAGTCCCATCTACAGAAGTCACAAATAAAATTAAATCCTAGGAATTAACCAAAGAAGTGAAAGAGCTCTATAATGAAAACTATAAAACATGGAGGAAACAAATTGAAAAGAACACCCAAAAACTGGAAAGCTTTCTACGTTCATGGATAACAAGAATCAGTATTCTTAAAATGTCCATAGTACTCAAAGTAATCTACAGATTCAATGCAATGTCTACCAGAATACCAATGACATTCTTCACAAAAATAGAAAAAAAAATCCTTTAATTTATATGGACCCACAAAAGACCCAGAATAGGCAAAGCTATCCTAAGCAAAAATAACAAACCTGGAGGAATTACCTGACTTCAAATTGTATTTCAGACCTGTGGGGACCAAAACAATATGGGGATCTGGCATAAAAACCAACACACAGACAAATGGAACAGAATAGAGAATCCAGAAACAAGTCCACACACGTACAGCGAACTCATTTTCAACACACGTGCTAAGAACATACACTGGGGAAAAGAGTCTCTTCTACAAGTGGTGCTGGGGAAACTGGATATCCATAAGCAGAAGAATGAAACTAGACCCCTATCTCCTGCCACATACAAAAATAAAATCAAAGTGGATTAAATAATTATATCTAAGGCCGGGCGTGACGACTTATGCCTGTAATCCCAGCACTTTGGGAGGCCAAGGCGGGTGAATTACAAGGTCAAGAGTTCAAGGCCAGCCTGGCCAAGGTGTTGAAACCCCGTCTCTACTAAAAATACAAAAATTAGCCGGGCACGGTGGCAGGCACCGGTAATCCCAGCTACTCAGGAGGCTGAGGCAAGAAAATCGCTTGAACCTGGGCAGCAGAGGTTGCAGTGAGCTAAGATTGCATCACTGCACTCCAACCTGTGTGACAGAGTAAGACTCCATCTCAAAAAAAAAAAAAAAAAAAAAAGAATTATATCTAAGACCTCAAATTATGAAACTCTACAAGAAAAAACGTTGGAGAAACCCTCTAGGACATTGATTTCAAGCACAGGCACCCAAAGCAAAAATGGACAAATGGGATCACATCAAGTTAAAAAGCTTCTGCACAGCAAAGGAAACAACCAGCAAAGTGAAGAGACAACCCACAGAATGGGAGAAAACATTTGCAAACTGCCCAGTTGACAAAGGATGAATAACCAGAATGTAGAAGGAGCTGAAATAACTCTTAGGAAAAAGTCTAATAATCGGATATTAAAATGGGCAAAATATTTGAATAGAGATTTCTCAAAAGAAGTCATACAAATGCAGACGAGGCCAGGCATGTTGAGTCATGCTTGTAAGCTCAGCACTTTGGGAGGCCAAGGCTGGCAGATTGTTTTAGCACAGGAGTTCAAGACCAGCCTCGGCAACACGGTAAAACCCCATCTCTACAAAAAATACAAAAATTAACCGAGCATGGTTGTTCATACCTGTAGTGCCAGCTACTTGGGAAGCTGAGATGGGCAGATAGCTTGAGCCTGGGAGGTCCAGGCTCCAGTGAGCTGAGATCATGCCACTGCACTCCATCCTGGGCAATAGAGCGAGACCCTGTCTCAAAAAAATAAAAATAAATTAAAAAACAAGCCAGGTGTGGTGGCTCATGCTTGTAATCCCAGCACTTTGGGAGGCCGAGGCGGGCAGATGACTTGAGATCAGGAGTTCAAGACCAACCTGGCCAACATGGCAAAACCCTGCCTCTACTAAAAATACTAAAATTAGCTAGGCATGGTGGCACACGCCTGTAATCCCAGCTACTCAGGAGGCTGAGGCAGGAGAATTGCTTGAACCTGGGAGACAGAGGTGGCAGTGAGCAGAGATCAAGCCAAGACTTCATTCCAGCCTGGGCAATACAGCAAGATTCTGTCTCAAAAAAAAAAAAAAAAAGCAAACAAGCTTATGAAAAAAGTGCTCAGTATCATTGATCATCAGAGAAATGGAAATCCAAAACTATTATGAGATATCATCTTACACAGTTAAAATGGTTTATACCCAAAGGACAGGCAATAACAAATACTGGTGAGAATGAGAAGAGGAAATCCTCATATACTGTTGGTAGGAACATAAATTAGTCCCCCGCTATGGAGAACAGCTTAGATGTTCCTTAGAAAACTAAAAAGAGAGCTACCATAAAATCTATTAATCCCACTGCTGGGTATACACCCAAAAGAAAGGAAATCAATATATTGAAGAGATAACTACACTCCCATATTTTTTGCAGCTCTGTTCACAATAGCCAAGATTTGGAAGCAACCTAAGTGTCCGTCAGCAAATGAATGGATAAAGAAAATGTGGTACTGATACACAAGGGAGTACTATTCAGCCATAAAAACAGAAAGATGCAGTCGTTTGCAACAACATGGATAGAACTGGAGGTTATTATTTTAAATGAAATAAGACAGGCACAGAAAGACAAACATTGGATATTCTCACTTACTTGTGGGATCTAAAAATCAAAATAATTGAACCCGTGGAGATAGAGGGGAAAAGGATGGTTACCAGAGGCTGGGAACGATAGTGGAGGGTTGGGGAGAGGTAGGATGGTTAATGGGTACAAAAAAAATAGTTATTATGAATGAATATGATCTGGCATTTGATAGCACAGCAGAGAAGTATGGCTTTTTTTTTCTTTTCTTTTCTTTTTTGTTATTTTTGAGACAGAGTCTCACTCTTTTGCCCAGGCTAGAGTGCAGTGGCATGATCTGGTCTCACTGCAACCTCCACTTCTCAGGTTCAAGTGATTACCATGCCTCAGCCTCCCAAGTAGCTGTGATTACAGGTGTACACTACCACACCCGGCTAATTTTTGTATTTTTAGTAGAGATGGGGTTTTGCCGTGTTGGCCAGGCTGGTCTTGAACTCCTGGCCTCAAGTGATCCATCTGCCTCAGCCTCCCAAAGTGCTGGGAATACAAGCGTGAGCACACACCCAGCCAGAAGTACTATTTTCATTCCAGTGGTGAGAAGGTGGAGAGTAGACAAATATTGTGGGATAATAGTGGTGAGTGATCTGAAGTAAAATTAGGCAGGTTTACAGGTAAAGAGTGACATGGCTGGGCGTGGTGGCTCCATCTGTGGTCCCAGCTACTTGGGAGGCTGTGGCAGGAGGACCCCTTGAGCGCAGGAGATCGAGGCTGCAGTGAGCGCTGATTTCCCCTGCTGAACACAGCCTGGGTGATAGAGCAAAACCCTGTCTCAGACAAAAAAGAAAGCCCTCTCTGAAGATTTGACATTTAAATAAAGTGAATGAGGTTGACCCGTGAGTGCCTGAAGCGGAAGGCGCAGTGCAGACAAGAGCAGAGGCACGGAGGCAGGGATATGCAGCAGGAAGTCCAGGGCGAGGCTGCAGCGGAGGGGAGCAAAGCAAGCACAGGAAGGCTGGCTGGAAGTCCCGGCGCGGCTGGAGCGGAGCAGAGCAGAGCAAGCACAGGAAGGCTGGCTGGGCATGAATTGAGTCCTACCAGGTAGCCCAGGGTCGCATTGGGATGGGCTGTGCAGACCTTGTTAGAAGGGTTAAATGGGCTGGGCGCCGTGGCTCACGGTTGTAATCCCAGCACTTTGGAAGGCCGAAGTGGGCGAATCACGAGGTCAGGAGATCAAGACCATCGTGACTAACACGGTGAAACCCCGTCTCTACTAAAAATACAAAAAATTAGCCAGGCGTGGTGGCACATGCCTGTAGTCCCAGCTACTCGGGAGGCTGAGGCGGGAGAATGGCGTGAACCCGGGAGGCGGAGCTTCCAGTGAGCCGAGATCGCCCCACCGCACTCCAGCCTGGGCGACAGAGCAAGATTCCGTCTCAAAAAAAAAAAAAAAGGAAGGATTAAATGAAAACAGGACAGTCTCTGACACACATTTAAAGTCACAAATGATAGTTTTCTTTGTTTGAGACAAAGTCTCGCTCTGCCTCCCATGATAGTTCTTATGGAAGGAATTTTTGTAAGCCATAAGATACTTACAATAACCTTTTCCAGACTTTTTAGTAGCTTCCAACTACAAAAAAAGAGAAATAATCAATTATGTACTAATCAGACACTTTTAAAAATTACAACAGTTTATTCAGAGAAACAAGCTTTGTGTGACATTCTAAGCGGATTTTATTCTGCAGGTCCTTTTAACATAATGAGTAATATTTGTGTTGGGAATGACTGAGAAGAAATTTCATAATGATGTGAAGATCTACCTGTAAATAGTTCCTCTGTCGTATGCTGGTA
This sequence comes from Homo sapiens, assembly GCF_000001405.40. Classification (NCBI taxonomy): domain Eukaryota; kingdom Metazoa; phylum Chordata; class Mammalia; order Primates; family Hominidae; genus Homo; species Homo sapiens. The sequence continues at coordinate 17,530,113 of NC_000022.11, forward strand.
TTTATATTCTAGCATCTCAACAGTGCTGATGGTCACTCATCTTGGAGTTCCCTGAATTTTTTTTTTTTTTCAAAACTCCTGTAATGTTACATTACCCATACTTTTGTTGTTGCTGCTGTTGTTGTTGTTTTGAGACGGAGTGTCGCTCTGTCGCCCAGGCTGGAGTGCAGTGGTGCCGCGCCCGGCACATGACTGCATACTTTCAAGGAGAGGACTCAGAGCTTTTATTTATTTAAAGAAACTTGAAAGGAGGAAAGTGGATTAAGAAAAAAAAAATAAGGCCAGGCGCGGTGGCTCACGCCTGTAATCCCAGCACTTTGGGAGGCTGAGGCAGGCAGATCACGAGGTCAGGAGATTGACACCATCCTGGCCAACATGGTGAAACCCCGTCTCTACTAAAAATACAAAAAAAAAATTAGCCGGGCATGGTGGCGTGCACCTGTAGTCCCAACTACTCGGGAGGCTGAGACAGGAGAATTGCTTGAATTCGGGAGGCAGAGGCTGCAGTGAGCTGAGATCATGCCACTGCATTCCAGCCTGGGCAACAGAGCGAGACTCTGTCCCCCTCAAAAAAGAAAAAAAAAAACAACAGAAGGCAAAAAGTGAAACAGCCAAGTGTCCACCAGTGGATAAAAGGAGAACCTGAATGCAGTATACACTTAGAATGGGGTGTTATTCAGCCTTAAGAGGGAAGGAAATTCTGAAACATGCTACAACATGGATGAACCTTGAAGGTATTACACGAAGTGATATCAGCAGGACACACGTGGACAAATGTTTTGTACTAGAGGCTGAGGTGAGAGGGAAATGGGGAGTCAGTGTTTAACGTTACAGACTGGAGTGATGAAAAGATACTAGAAATGGATACCGGTGATGGCGCCACAACATTACTTACACACTTAATGCTACTGAATTGTATGCTCATTTGGGTGATATGTCTGGGTAACTAGAATGAGATGAAGCCGGCCATGACGAAAGAAGTAACTTGTAGTTAATCAGTTGGGGTCCAGCCTTGAAAACCAAAACTACACTAGCTACTTCAGCAGGGAAAACATCACATGACTCTTTGGTAAAATGGGAGTTAGAAAACAAAAAAAAAGGTTAAAGGGATCCCCGTGGTGACACAGACGGAGGAATCGGGATTGTCAGAGGTGGGGGGCTGCAGCCCCACTGCTAGCACTATGAAGGCAGGCAAACTCCCGCTGCCAAGTGCGGCTTCGCAGATGCAGGACCATCCATCCTAGGATGAGTTGAACGGCATCAGCAAGCAAATGGAAGGAAATCGCTGTCTTCCTCAGCGTGCCTCCCGTGGTCCCTCTGATGCTCCCTTTGGTAGAATATAAAACCAGCAGAGAAGGGAGTTGTATGTGCAGGATCCCAGCCCCATTATCACAAAGCAGAACATGAAAATTGGATTTGCAACCATCAGAAAAGGCTTCATAACAGATGCAGGTGGCAGAAAACATGAAAGGTCCTGTATGTGTTCACTGTAAGTTCTAGAAGGAAAGAATCAGTATAGTAAGGCCAAGAGAATGTTCAGAAACAATGATTGAGTAGTTTTTTGGTTTGATGAAAAACCCTGATCCTCAGATACAGAAAGCAAGAAGAGATATAAACTGGATATAAATTATATGTGGGCATATGGAACTGAATTATAGAACATTCTGTTCCCTAAAACAACCAATGTGGAAAAGGTGGATTACCCTGAGAGGATGTTCTTAATAGTGATAGCAGATAGGAGCAACAGCAGACCTCAGGGGACGATGGGATTGATGGCCAGGTGCAGTGGCTCATGCCTGTAATCCCAGCAGTTTGGGAAGCCAAGGCAGGAGAATTACTTGAGTCCTGGAGTTCAAGACCAGCCTGGGCAACATAATGAGGCCCCATCTCTACAGAAAATCTTAAAAATTAGCCAGACATGGTGGTGCATGCCTGTAGTCCCAGCTACTCGGGAGGCTGAGGTAGGAGGATCACTTGAGCCCAGGAGGTCAAGGCTGCAGTGAGCCGTGGTTGTGCACAGCACTCCAGCCTGGGCAACAGCAAGACCCTGTCTCAAAAAAAGGAAGGGGTGGGTAGTGGGTTGCATTTTGAATTTTTTTATTAGTTCCTTAGGGCTACCATAACAACCTACATTAACCAGGTGGCATAAAATAGCAGAAATTTATTCTCTCATAGTCCTGGAAGTTAGAAATCCAAAATCTAGTTATTGACAGGGTTTCACTCTCTAAAGACTGTAGGTGAGAGTCTGTGGCCTTTCCAGCTTCTAGTAGTTTCAGGCCTTCCTGGGGTTTTCTGCAAACTTAGAATAATAGAATGAAACTTCCTCAGCCAATATCTTAATAATCTAGGCAGACCTTCTACTTGATGGGGAAACATTAGAAGTGTTCCCTTTAAAGTCAGGATAAACACAAGGATTTCCTCTATTGTTTCCATTTAATATTGTATTGTAAGGATTTAGTGTCTACAACGAAAAATACATAGGTATGTATACATATTTGAGGTGGTGTATGACTTGAAACTCCAAGAAAATCACCCAGGAAACTATTATAGCTAAGAAATTCACCAAGTAGGTATATTCATTATTATTCTTTTTTTTTTTTTTTTTTTTTTTTTTTTTTTTTTTGAGATGGAGTCTCACTCTATTACTCAGGCTGGAGTGCAGTGGTGCGATCTCGGCTCACTGCAACTTCCGCCTCCCGGGTTCAAATAATTCTCCTGCCTCAGCCTCCAAAGTAGCTGGGATTACAGGCATGTGCCACCACGCCTGGCAATTTTTTTTGTTATTTTTAGTAGAGATGGAGTCTCACCATGTTGGTCAGGCTGTTCTTGAACTCCTGACCTCAGGTGATCCACTGCGCCTAGCCGCTCATTATTATTCTATAAATGTCAACATGAACAATTTTATTAAAAGATAGCATGACCCGGCCAGGCGCGGTGGCTCACACCTGTAATCCCAGCACTTTGGGAGGCCGAGGCGGGCAGATCACGAGGTCAGAAGATCAAGACCATCCTGGCCAACTTGGTGAAACCCCGTCTCTACTAAAAATAGAAAAATTAGCTGGACATGTTGGTGCACTTCTGTAATCCCAGCTAGCTACTTGAGAGGCTGAGGCATGAGAATCGCTTGTACCCAGGAGGCAGAGGTTGCAGTGTGTTAACATAGCGCCACCGCAGCACTCCAGCCTGAGCAACAGAGTGAGACTCTATCTCCAAAAAAAAAAAAAAAAATTATGATAGCTGGGCACAGTGGCTCACACCTACAATCCCAGCACCGTGGGAGGCCGAGGTGGACGGATCACTTGAGCTAAGGAGTTGAAGATCAGCCTAGCTAACATGATGAAACCCCGTCTCTACTAAAAATACAATAATTACCCAGGCATAGTGGCATATACCTGTAATCCCAGCTACCCGGGAGGCTGAGGCACGAGAATTGCTTGAACCTGAGAGGCAGAGGCTACAGTGACCTGAAATCACACCATTGCACTCCAGCCTGGGTGATAGAGTGAGGCTCTGTCTCCTAAAAAAAAAGAATCTGTGGATCTCAACACACTGTTCCTAAAATTCATATAAAAGAGCAAAGGGCCTTTTTTTGTTTGTTTGTTTGTTTGTTTGTTTGTTTTTGAGATGACGTTTCACCCTTGTTGCCCAGGCTGGAGTGCAATGGTGTGATCTCGGCTCACCGCAACCTCCGCCTCTGGGGTTCAAGCAATTCTCCTGCCTCAGCCTCCCAAGTAGCTGGGATTACAGGCATGCACCACCACGCCTGGCTAATTTTGTATTTTTAGTAGACAGGGTTTCTCCATGTTGGTCAGGCTGGTCTCGAACTCCCGACCTCTGATGATCTGCCTGCCTCCGCCTCCCAAAGTGCTAGGATTACAGATGTGAGCCACCATGCCCGGCCGAGCAAAGGGCATGAAAACTTGCAAAAACAATACGATAGGGTCAATCATTATGCCACATAATGAGATCAAATCTGCAGTGATTGAGAGAGAATGGTATTGGCATAGAGATAGACAATGAGACCAGAAACAGACCTTGAGAGAAAACATGGGTTTTTCAGAAACAGTGCCAGGCGTGGTGGTGTGTGCCTGTAGTCCCAGCCACTCAGGAGTCTGATGTGGGAGGATCCGTTATGCACAGGAGTTCAAGGTTGCAGTGACCTATGATCCCAACAGAGCGAGACCCCTGTCTCTTGGGAGAGAACAGTGGTACCAGGACACTTGTTCATTTATAGGGAAAAAATTTACATCCCTGCTCCTTATATAAGTTCCAGATACACTAAAGGCCAGAACCTTTCTGAAGAAGTTGTAGATGGGATAGAAAAGAATTTTTAAGTACAAAAAGCAAAAACCATAAGGAAAGAGAGAGAACTGACATATTTGATTACTTTATTTATTTATTTATTTATTTTTTGAGACGGAGTCTCACTCTGTCGCCCAGGCTGGAGTGCAGTGGCACAATCTCAGCTCACTGCAAGCCCCGCCTCCCGGGTTCACACCATTCTCTTGCCTCAGCCTCCCGAGTAGCTGGGACTACAGGCACCTGCCACCACGCCTGGCTAATTTTTTTTTCTTTTTTTTTTCTTTTTTTTTGTATTTTTAGTAGAGACAGGGTTTCACTGTGTTAGCCAGGTGGGTCTCCATCTCCTGACCTCGTGATCCACCTGCCTCAGCCTCCCAAAGTGCGGGGAGCTGAGATCATGCCATTGCACTCCAGCCTGGGCAACAAGAGTGAAACTCTGTCTCAAAAAAAAAAATGCCAGGTGCGGTGGCTCATGTCTGTAATCCCAGCACTTTGGGAGGTCGAGGCAGGTGGATCACAAGGTCAGGAGATCAAGACCATCCTGGCTAACACAGTGAAACCCCGTCTCTACTAAAAAATACAAAAAGTTAGCCAGGCGTGGTGGCGGGTGCCTGTAGTCCCAGCTATTCGGGAGGCTGAGGCAGGAGAATGACGTGAACCCAGGAGGCGGAGCTCGCAGTGAGGCGAGATCGCACCACTGCACTCCAGCCTGAGCGACAGAGTGAGACTCCATCTCAAAACAAAACAAAAAAAATTAGCCAGGCGTGGTGACAGACCCCTGTAGTCCCAACTACTCAGGAGGCTGAGGCAGGAGAATCGCTTGAACCTGGGAGGCGGAGGTTGCAGTGAGCTGAGATCGCACCACTACACTTTAGCCTGGGCAACAGAGTGAGACTCCATCTCAAAAAAAAAAAAATTCTGTAACCTCTTTGGAAATGATGGACACCCCTTTGACAGTGCCTGATGAAGTTTACATATATACTTTTTACTCCTATCTGGTCATTCTGCTGCTGGGTTCACATCTTAGAGAATCCTTACACACATGCTTGAGAAGACATGTTTTAAAATAACTTTGTTGATACTATTGTTTACAAACTTCTAAAACTGGAATCAAGGAGAATAATGGATTGTTAAGCTGTGGAATAATCATACCATGAAATACTATATTAACATTAATAAGACAAAATGTTTAAAGTTTGACAGGTTGGGTGATACATGCGTATTCATTAATTTACAGTTTTCTTTATGGTTGAAATTTTTCTTTTTTTTCCAGAAAAAAAAAAAATAGTTGGTTTAGAGAACTTTCTTAGAAGTCGAAAAAAAAAATAATTTTTAAAAATTTAAAATTTTTCTTAAAATTTGGTGATAGCAAACTTCTTTTCATTGATTAAAGGAGATATAGATTAGCATCACAAATGAAAATAATTTAGGAACAAAAACTCAAGTCAAATGCAACCCAACAGGGATCGTGTCTTGCTCACAGCAGTAGTCAGGCAAAGATCCTATCCCTTGTGGAACAGAAGCTAGAATTGGGGAAGAAAGTAGAGGCTCAGGCCAGGCACCATGGCTCACTCCTGTAATCCCAGCACTTTGGGAGGCTGAGGTGGGCAGTTCACCTGAGGTCACGAGTTCGAGACCAGCCTGACCAACATGGAGAAACCCCATCCCTACTAAAAATACAAAATTAGCTGGGCGTGGTGGTGCATGCCTGTAATCCCAGCTACTCGGGAGGCTGAGGCAGGGGAATCGCTTGAACCCAGGGGGCAGAGGTTGTGGTGAGCCGAGGTGGCGCCATTACACTCCAGCCTGGGCAACAAGAGCAAAACTCCGTCTCAAAAATAAAAATAAAAAAGAAAAGAAAATAGAGGCTCTTGCTGGCTTCTCCTCCCTTCCATCTTTGTGCCTTGCTGTCTGGCAGTCTCATTTTTCTCCTTGCCTCTTTTCTTTGGCCCCTACCTCCTTGTTCCCTGCAAGTGGTAAGTGCCCCATCAGGCTGGGAATGGAATGCCAAGTGTGCTTCTCATGGCTGTGGCTGGGAGCCAGGAAGAAAATCATCATCCCTGCCTTCCAGCTCCTTGCCAATCCCAGCTGGCATCTTTCCCCTCTTCCCAGCCAAAATCCCACTGGCGGCAGGGCCTGCTGCCTGATCTGGGGGTGGGGTGGGGAGCAGACCATTGCTTGCATGGATGCCTTCATAAACGCAGAACGGCAAGAGCTGGGACGTGCGTTTAAAATCCTGTGTGTGTATGGACTGAGAGTCTGGTCCTAAAAAAGGATTTGCGGATGTTGCTTTTTTTAAGTAAAAGATCAGAATGGCCTCAAGTAATCCGAGAAGATAGTCCTCATTCAACCTTGTACTTTTTCCTTTTTCTTCGACTGCCATTCTTCTGTTTTCTTCTGCCTTACTCCCTCCCCTCCTGCCCACCCTGTGCCTGCCCTGCCACCTTCATCTCCCACCTTGAGCTCAGTGTGAGTGAGGAAACAGGTTCAATTAGTTTACCCTTGTCTTAAAGCATTCCATCTGTAGAAACATCCTAATTACCAAAAAGAGGGTGGCACAGGGAGCAGAAGTTGCTTCATAATCCTGCTTTGGTGGCCTGGTTCTTCCTTCTCTCACAGTGATGAAGGAACACGCCATGTCAGTGTCTGGAGTGTGCTTAGCTCACTCAGCCTTTGTGTTCATTGTAGATCGAGCGAAGAGGAGAAAGCTCAGGGAAGAAAGGGCATGGCTGCTGGCTCAAGGAAAGGAGCTCCCTCCAGAACTTTCCCATCTGGACCCCAATTCCCCCATGAGAGAGGAAAAAAAGACTAAAGACCTGTGAGTATTTAGTAACAACAACAACAGCAGTAGCAACTGGTAGCATTTATGAAGCATTCAGGCACTTGCCCCATGTCATCCTTAGAACAGCCCTGTTGGGTAACATGGTCACCATGTGTGAGTGAACAGGGCGGGCCCTGCACACACAGACACGCCTAGCTACCCTGGCCTCTGACACTCTTGCTGCCACACTCTGTGATACTTAACACTAAGCTCTTCTTTCTTCATCCCCTCAATTTAATGAAATCAGAATCTGATTATTATGTAAATTAGCTCCTTGGAAATGTGAATAGAAGTTTATTCTTTTTAAAGTAATTACTTCCCGTGACAGTACTAGGTACCATTTGTCTTGACTCCTTACTAAACTCAAGAGGCAGATACACATTCAGTGTTCCTGAGCTCATTTATCATATGATTTTTTGGATTATTCTTTAGATCACAAAAATATTCATAACTAAAATAAACCCTAGTTGAAAATGTGCTATAGGCCGGGCTCACGCCTGTAATCCCAGCACTTTGGGAGGCTGAGGTGGGCAGATCACCTGAGGTCAGGAGTTCGAGACCAGCCTGGCCAATATGGTGAAACCCCCGTCTCTAATAAAAATTTTAAAAAAAATTAGGTGAGGTGGCACATGCCTGTAGTCCCAGCTACTCGGGAGGCTGAGGCAGGAGAATCACTTGAACTCAGGAGGTGGGGGTTGCAGTGAGCTGAGATCGTGCCACTGCACTCCAGCCTGGGTGACAGAGTGAGACTCCGTCCAAAAAAAAAAAAAAAAGATTGTGCTATAAAGCCTGGGCAACATGGTGAAACCTCACCTCTACCCAAAATACAAAAACTCGCCAGGCATGGTAGCACACACCCGTAGTCCCAACTATTCAGGAGGCTAAGGTGACAGGATTGCTGGAGCCCAGGAAATGGAGGCTGCAGTGAGCTGTGATCACACCACTTCACTCCAGCCTAGGCAACAGAGCAAGATCCTGTCTCAAAATAAGTAAATAAAGAATGTGCAATTAAATAACTAACATTCTAGAACCATAAAGTTCTGGATCATCCAGGCCAACCCCACATTTTATAGATGAGGAAAGTGACATTCCCAGTTTTGCTAAGGTCCACTGTCCCTCATTGTATTTCCAGGGAGTGTTATCAGTGTCACAGGCTCATCTAAACCACACTATTAGGACTATTCCAAATCTTAGTTCAGTCAGGTGTGTCTGCGATAGACCTGAGAGAGCTCAGGAGAGAAGGTGGTCAGAGTTACTATTAATTTCTTATTTTGTGATTTACAGCTTTGAGTTGGATGATGATTTCACTGCTATGTATAAAGGTTAGTTCCCATTCTCCACTGTTCTGTTTGTGATAGAAGTTTTCCTCTGTGAGTGTGTTAAGATCTCTTCTCTGGCTTTCAGTTCTAGACGTGGTAAAGGCTCACAAGGATTCCTGGCCCTTCTTGGAACCTGTGGATGAATCTTATGCCCCTAACTATTATCAGATTATTAAGGTAGAAGTTGTCTTTGCAGTAATGCCTACTATAGTGTGTATATCTTTCTTGGGTTTTGTTGTTTGTTTGTTGTTAAATATATATATATTTTGATACGTTTTTCTTTTCAACTGTCAAAAGTTCATGTGATGTTTCTCGTTTTATCTGTTATTCATTACAGATCAGCATTGCTGAATTCTCATTATCTCTCTGTCTCTCTCTCTCTATGGAATGTTTGCTCTCAGCATATTTTAACTATAAAGAGTTATGTGTCTCGTTTAGGCCCCCATGGATATTTCCAGCATGGAGAAGAAACTGAATGGAGGTTTATACTGTACCAAGGAGGAATTTGTAAATGACATGAAGACCATGTTCAGGAATTGTCGAAAGTATAATGGGGAAAGTAGTGGTAAGCAGGGAAGGAGTTTGTGCTAGATACATATCTGTAATCAAGAATAAAATGCCTTCTCTTTTACAAATACACATCCTAGTGCCTTTTCTGTAGGACAGTGAACAGAATGTGTATGAAAAGTCATGGGATTGACCATTCCAGCCACTTATACAGTGTCTGCCAGGGATTCTCTCCTGCCCCACAGGACAATAGAGTGCAGCTGGCAGCTAACTGGCTCATCCTGGAGACCAGTCTGGGTCTGGATTATACTGTGTGTGCCTCTTTAACCACCGAGGGGACTGACCCTACATAGAGCTGACTCTTCAACCATCTGGGGAAGCTGGCGTAGTAGATCTGCAATATCAAAGTAGAAATGGCTCTTTCTGAACATCACACTCCGGGGCCTGTTGTGAGGTGGGGGAAGAGGGGAGGGATAGCATTAGGAGATACATATACCTAATGTAAATGACGAGTTAATGGGTGCAGCACACCAGCATGGCACATGTATACATATGTAACAAACCTGCACGTTGTGCACATGTACCCTAGAACTTAAAGTATAATAAAAATATATATCTATATATATAAAAAAAAGGAAATGGCTCTTTCTACTTTGGGTCATTTATGCATTAACTAAAAATGCCCTGCTTAAAAACAGCAGATTCAGCCATTTTTTATTTAGTATTTCTGCAGTTTAGCCTTAAAGAATTAAATTTTTACTGGCATTTTTTTTCTTTATTTACTAACCTCGAGGCAGGATTTCACTCTGTCACCCAAGCAGGAGTGCAGTAGGGCAAACATGGCTCACTGCAACCTCAAATTCTTGGGCTCAAGGGATCCTCCTCCCTCAGTCCCAAGTAGCTGGGACTATCGGCATGTGCGACCATACCTGGCTAATGTTTTCTTTTTGGTAGGGACGGGTGTCTCACTTTCTTGCCCAGTCCAGTCTTGGAACTCCTGGGCTCAAGTGATCCTCCTGCCTTGGCCTCCCAAAGTGCTGGGATCACAGGCATAAGTTACTGTGCTCAGCCTGGTTTGACTTAATAGTCCTAGAGGCCCTGTCCCAACCATACAACCTTGGGCATCTTACAGATAGAAACCACGTCTTCTTCATCTTGCATCCATAGCTCTACAATATAATGTGCCCTAAAGGTGAATTAAACTCATAGATTACCCAGGTTGCATCTTCTATTTATTAGAATTGTCTTTTGTGACCTATAGTTCTGTTTCTATAGTTTCTATAAACTATAGTTTCTATAAACAATTTCTGTAAACTATACCTAGAAGTCAATCCTCCTGTCTTCCTATAGAGTATACCAAGATGTCTGATAATTTAGAGAGGTGTTTCCATCGGGCAATGATGAAACATTTTCCTGGAGAAGATGGAGACACAGATGAAGAATTTTGGATTCGAGAGGATGAAAAGCGGGAGAAAAGACGGAGTCGGGCTGGGCGAAGTGGTGGGAGCCATGTTTGGACCCGCTCCAGGGACCCAGAAGGGTCCAGCAGGAAACAGCAGCCCATGGAGAATGGAGGAAAGTCGTTGCCCCCCACACGCCGAGCGCCCTCTTCTGGGGACGATCAGAGCAGCAGCTCCACACAGCCCCCGCGGGAGGTGGGCACTTCCAATGGCCGAGGTTTTTCTCATCCCCTGCATTGTGGTGGGACACCCAGCCAGGCACCCTTTTTAAACCAGATGGTAAGGAATAGAGTGGAGACTGTTGCGGTTTCTCCTAGTTTGTGAGTTCATAGTAATGTAGAGGCCATTCAGTTAGTACTTCCTGCAAAATACTTACGTGTATGTATGGAATCTTTTTCCCTGTGAGTCCTTTGTTCATGTGATTTTATTTTGTTTACTTTTTAGTAGAGACACAGTGTTGCTATGTTGCCTAGGCTGGTCTCAAACTCTTGGCCTCAAACAGTCCTTCTGCCTCAGCCTCCCAAAGTGCTGGGATTATAGGCATGAGCCACTGTGTCTAGCCATTCCTTTATTCTAAATCCTCCTTTTTCTCAATCACTTGAATTAGGTATTCTCAATGTGGGCAAAAATTGGGATTAAAAAATATGTAATCTGGCTGGGCGCAGTGGCCCACTCTTGCAATCCCAGCACTTTGGGAGGCTGAGGTGGGCGATCACGAGGTCAGGAGTTCAAGACCAGCCTAGCTAACATGGTGAAACCCTGTCTCTACTAAAAATACAAAAATTAGTCAGGTGTGGTGGCGCTACTCAGCTACTCAGGAGGCTGAGGCAAAAGAATTGCTTGAACCCAGGAGGCAGAGTTTGCAGTGAGCTGAGATCGTGCCACTGCACCTTAGCCTGGGCAACACTGTGAGACTCCGTCTCAAAAAAAGAAAAAAAAATGTAATCTTTATTGTATAAAGCACAGGTATACATGTAGTACATGAATGTACAGTATATCTGCAACATTATAAGATTTCATGGTAGCAGGCAACTGGGGAGAAACGGCTAAAATGGATCCTTGGGAGGAGGAGTAATAAAAAAGAGATTGAGAAACACTGATTTAATCTTGTATCTCCTGGAGAGGGAAGTTGCTTCAGGCTCATAGGCAAGCCCTGATGCGGGTGAGCACGTGTGTTCACAGTCTCCCTGTCTCCAGCCGAGGTTTAGTCGTCTGTTTTATTTTAGTAGAACGTTCATCTTCAGGAAAACCCTTGTTGTCAACCTAAAGTCTGTGCCTTTCCTTTTTCCTCTTCTTGCTTTGTTCAATGTGCTGCAGAGGCCAGCAGTACCAGGAACATTTGGCCCTCTGCGAGGATCAGATCCTGCCACCTTGTATGGCTCCTCTGGAGTCCCGGAGCCACACCCCGGGGAGCCTGTGCAGCAGCGTCAGCCTTTCACCATGCAGGTAAGCAGCCTACTCTGGAGGTGCAGGTGCAGGGGGTCCCACAGGTACGTTTCAGAGAAAAAGTCTCTTTCCAGGTTAAATGTTGTTCATTGCGTCCTTTCCCAAAGAGTCTGTTCCCATAGAGAAGCATGGCACAAAGTGTGCCTTATTCTGTGAGTCTGTAACTGTGCTGCCTTTTCTCGTTGCCAGCCTCCAGTTGGAATTAACAGCCTCCGAGGACCCAGGCTAGGCACACCAGAGGAGAAGCAAATGTGCGGGGGGCTGACACACCTTTCTAACATGGGCCCACACCCTGGATCCTTGCAGCTTGGGCAGATAAGTGGCCCAAGTCAGGATGGAAGCATGTATGCTCCAGCTCAGTTCCAGCCAGGATTCATTCCTCCCCGGCATGGGGGGGCTCCAGCCCGGCCACCAGACTTTCCTGAAAGCTCAGAAATTCCTCCCAGCCATATGTATCGATCGTACAAGTACCTGAATCGAGTACACTCTGCCGTCTGGAATGGGAACCATGGTGCTACGAACCAAGGACCCTTGGGCCCAGATGAGAAGCCCCACCTGGGGCCAGGACCCTCTCACCAGCCTCGCACTCTCGGTCACGTGATGGATTCCCGAGTCATGAGACCACCTGTCCCCCCCAACCAGTGGACTGAACAATCAGGCTTCCTACCTCATGGAGTTCCTTCCTCAGGGTACATGCGACCGCCCTGCAAGTCTGCCGGACATCGGTTACAGCCACCTCCAGTGCCAGCACCCAGTTCTTTGTTTGGAGCACCTGCCCAGGCTCTTCGGGGGGTGCAGGGAGGGGACTCCATGATGGACAGCCCAGAGATGATTGCGATGCAGCAGCTCTCCTCCCGCGTCTGCCCCCCAGGTGTGCCTTACCACCCCCACCAGCCTGCACACCCCCGTTTACCTGGCCCTTTTCCGCAGGTAGCTCACCCAATGTCAGTCACTGTGTCAGCCCCCAAGCCTGCCCTGGGCAACCCTGGGAGGGCACCGGAGAACAGTGAAGCACAAGAGCCTGAGAATGACCAAGGTAATTTACACTGTCACTTTGGGCTCTTTAAGCTCTTGTTTCATGAGTAATCTTTTTACACAGCATATCAAACCAAGTGTAATCTGGTTCCCAGCCTCTCTTTCTTTGTTTATTTTTTGGTTTTGTTTTGTTCTGTTTTGTTTTTTTGAGACAGAGTCTTGCTCTGTCGCCCAGGCTGGAGTGCAGTGGTGTGATTTCGGCTCACTGCAAGTTCCACCTCCCGGGTTCATGCCATTCTTCGGCCTCAGCCTCCCGAGTGTCTGGGACTACAGGCACCCGCCACCACGCCCGGCTAATTTTTTTGGTATTTTTAGTAGCAACGGGGTTTCACCGTGTTAGCCAGGATGGTCTCAATCTCGTGACCTTGTGACCTGCCCCCGTCGGCCTCCCAAAGTACTGGGATTACAGGCCCACCGCGCCCGGCCTTCCCAGCTTCTCTTTCTTGAACTTCTCAGATTTGGGCCAATCACAGTCCTTCTCTTGGTCCGTCGATCCCATTTCTGGTCATAATTTTGACTCTGCGCAGGTGGGCGCTTGCTGTGCCAGGCACTCCTCCTGAGACTTTTTTTTTTTTTTGAGACAGAGTCCCACTCTTGCCCAGGCTGGAGTGGAGTGGCACAATCTCGGTTGACTGCAACTTCTGCCTCCCAGGTTCAAGCAATTCTCCTGCCTCAGCCTCCTGAGTAGCTGGGATTACAGATGCATGCCACCACACCCGGCTAATTTTTATATTTTTAGTACAGACAAGGTTTCACCGTGTTGGCCAGGATGGTCTTGAACGTCTGACCTCAGGTGATCGCCTGCCTTGGCCTCCCAAAGTGCTAGGATTACAGGCATGAGCCTTCCAGAGACTTTTATACATTAATTCATTTATTCTCAGAACAAGCCTTCGAGATAGCTACTGTTACTATCCTTGTTTTTACAGATGAAAAATCCAAGGCATGGAAATGTTAGATTATTTGCTCTCAGCCAGCTAGTAAGTAGCAGAGCTGAGATTTGGGCCCAGACAGACTAGATCCAGCATCTGTGCTTTACCCACTGCATCATCATAGTTCCTCTAAAAAAGTACTGTCAGCCGGGCAGTAGTTTTGGTGGCTCATGCCTGCAGTCCCAGAATTTTGGGAGGCCAAGGCCAATGGATCAGTTGAGCCCAGGAGTTCGAGACCAGCCTGGGCAAGAGAGTAAGACTGTCTCTACTAAAACATTAAAAAATGGCCAGGCGCGGTGGCTGACGCCTGTAATCCCAGCACTTTGGGAGGCCAAGGCAGGCAGATTACAAGGTCAGGAGATTGAGACCATCCTGGCCAACATGGTGAAACCCCATCTCTACTAAAAATACAAAAAATTAGCCGAGCGTGGTGGCAGGCGCCTGTAGTCCCAGCTACTCCGGAGGCTGAGGCAGGAGAATGGTGTGAACCTGGGAGGGAGAGGTTGCAGTGAGCCGAGATTGTGCCACTGCACTCCGGCCTGGGCGACAGAGCGAGACTCCATCTCAAAAAAAAAAAAAAAAAAAAGTTAAAAAATTAGCCAGGCGTGGTGGCTCATGCCTGTAATTCCAGCACTTTAGGAGGCCAAGGCAGGCAGATCACCTGAGGTCAGGAGTTCAAGACCAGCCTGCCCAACATGGCAAAACCCCATTCTACTTAAAATACAAAAATTAGCCAAGCATAGTGGCAGGTGCCTGTAGTCCCAGCTACTCAGGGAGCTGAGGCGGGAGAATCACTTGAACCCGGGAGGCGGAGGTTGCAGTGAACCAAGATTACACCACTGCACTCCAGCCTGGGCCACAAAGTGAGACTCTGTCTCAAAAAAAAAAAAAAAAAAAAAAAAAAAGGTTCATGCCTATAGTCCCAGCTACTTGGGAGGCTGAGGTGGGAGGATCACCTGAACCCAGGGAGGTCAAGGCTACAATGAGCTATGATTGCACCACTGTACTCCATCCTGGGCAACAGAGCAAAACCATGTCTCAATACCATCTTGAAAGTTATCAAGTGAATTTCTGTTCCTTGGATACATACCTGGATTTATTAAGAATGGCCAATAGTGAGATCTAGCAAATCTTGAAGCAGTTTCTTAGAAATACCATTTAGGCCAGGCGCAGTGGCTCACATCTGTAATACCAGCACTTTGGGAGGCTGACGCGGGTGGATCACCTGAGGTTGGGAGTTTGAGACCAGCCTGGCCAACATGGTGAAATCTTTTCCCTACTAAAAATACAAAAATTAGCCGGACGTGATGGTAGAGGCCTGTAAGTTCAGCTACTTGGGAGGCTGGGTCATGAGAATCACTTGAACCCGGGAGGCGGAGCTTGCAGTGAGCCGAGATCACGCCACTGCACTCCAGCCTGGGCGAAACAGCGAGACTCCGTCTCAAAAAAAAAAAAAAAAAAAAAAAGAAATGCCGTTTAAGAGGAATAAACATTAAACTAGGGGAGAAAATGGAAAAAAAAATACTTTCCAATTAATGCTTATTTCTAGGATAAATATCTAGCATGCATGTAATTTTCTTCAGTACCTGGCAGGAGAATGGACACACTTGGACTTAAGATAATAGATTCCTGGCTGAGCACGGTGGCTCACATCTGTAATTGCAGCACTTTGGGAGGCCACAGTGGGTGGATCATGAGGTTAGGAGTTCAAAACTAGCCTGGCCAACATGGTGAAACTCTGTCTCTACTAAAAATACAAAAATCAGCCGGGAACAGTGGTGGGTGCCTGTAATCCCAGCTCCTCGGGAGGCTGAGGCAGGAGAATCGCTTGAACCCGGGAGGCTGAGGTTGCAGTGAGCCGAGATCACATCACTGCACTCCAGCCTGGGCAACAGAGCAAGACTCCGTCTCAAAAAAAAAAAAAAAAAGATAATAGATTCCACATTAAATTGATGGTAGGGTTAGAACTCATTTAAATTTTTGTGTTTCTCATACCTGTAATCGCAACTACTTGGGAGTCTGAAGTGGAAGGATTGCTTGAACCCTGGAGTTCGAGGTTTCAGTGAGACACAATCACACCACTACACTCCAGCCTGGGCGACAGAGTTGAAACTCCGACTCTTTTAAAAAAAGAAAAAAAATGGTTAGGGGAAAAAAACCTTTTAGTATTTCTTTTGTGGAAAGTCCTACTTTGTTAACACCACCTCTAGCAGAATTTTCTAATATTGATTTCAAGTGAGTTCTGGAATTCAGAGCTTTACAAGAATCCTGTTTAGGCCGGCGCGATGGCTCACGCCTGTAATCCCAGCACTTTGGGAGGCCGAGGCGGGTGGATCACGAGGTCAGGAAATCGAGATCATCCTGGCTAACACGGTGAAACCCCATCTGTACTAAAAATACAAAAAATTAGCCAGCATGGTGTCGGGCGCCTGTAGTCCCAGCTACTCCGGAGGCTGAGGTGGGAGAATGGCGTGAACCCGGGAGGCGGAGCTTGCAGTGAGCCGAGATCGCGCCACTGCACTCCAACCTGGGCGACAGAGCGAGACTCTGTCTCAAAAAAAAAAAAAAAAAAAAAATCCTGTTTAGTTAAGTCTAGTTGCTAAGTTTAATGTTGGCTGAATAATGAAAAGTACGGTTTTTCACTTTCATTGTGTAATTTGTACCATTGACCTTTAGGGCCAGCTTCAAGTAGCCTGAGCTATGTTAATAGCTCTTTAAAAGTTGTTAAGAATCTCTAACCTTGTGCTTCAGATCTGTTACCAGGATGGTAATTTCATCACACCTGGACAACTGTCCTCCTAGAAAGATAATAAAAAGATTATTTTGGCTGGGCGCGGTGGCTCACACCTGTAATCCCAGCACTTTGGGAGGCTGAGGCGGGTGGATCACCTGAGGTCGGGAGTTTGAGACCAGCCTGGCCAACATGGTGAAATCTTGTCTCTACTAAAAATACAAAAATTAGCCGGGCATGGTGGTGCAGGCCTGTAAGTTCAGCCACTTGGGAGTCTGGG
The DNA here is from genome assembly GCF_000001405.40 of Homo sapiens. Classification (NCBI taxonomy): domain Eukaryota; kingdom Metazoa; phylum Chordata; class Mammalia; order Primates; family Hominidae; genus Homo; species Homo sapiens. The sequence goes on from NC_000022.11 coordinate 17,546,943, forward strand.
TCATGAGAGTCACTTGAACCCAGGAGGCGGAGGTTGCAGTGAGCCAAGATCACGCCACTGCACTCCAGCCTGGGCATCAGAGTGAGACTCTGCCTCAAAAAAAAAAAAAAAAAAAAAGATTATTTTATATAGATATATACACACACTTACACACTATTGTATATTGTAGTCTTAGTTAAGACCTTATTTTTAGGTCGAATAGTAAGTTAAAGAATTCTGAGAATGTAAACAAGCATAGGAGTCTAATTAATTTGATTGGGCTTAGTAAATTTCCATAATATGTTAAAAATGCCTCTTTTTTTTTTGAGATGGAGTCTCACTCTGTCGCCCAGGCTGGAGTACAGTGGCACAATCTTGGCTCACTACAATCTCCGCCTCCTGGGTTCACGCCATTCTCCTGCCTCAGCCTCCCGAATAGCTGGGACTGCAGGTGCCGGCCACCACACCCAGCTAATTTTTTATATTTTTTAGTAGAGACGGGGTTTCACCGTGTTAGCCAGGATGGTCTCAATCTCCTGACCTCGTGATCTGCCCGCCTCGGCCTCCCAAAATGCTGGGATTACAGGCGTGAGCCACCGTGCCCGGCCCCTAAAGATGCCTTTTGAGTTTCATGTTGTAGGCGTCTTGTCTTCAAGACATGCAGACAAAATGAATGTATTCATTCAACAAAGTGATTGAGTCTGTGTGCATGAACTGAGAGGACAGTGAGACGGAGAAGTCCCTCCTGTGGAGCTTTTATTCTCGTGGAGCAGAAACCAGGCATTTGGCCTTCCTGAGCGCCCGTCATGCCCTGTTCTTTCTGGTTGCATCCCATTTTAGAGCTTCCCAGCATGGCCAGTGATTCTGATGACAACCATCCCCTCCCAGTGTGTTTCACGTGCATCTGCCTAGAGTCCGTGAGCCACAAGCCGTCTCTCAGCCTCTTACGAATCGGGCAACCCACGGTTAAGGACATTTCCATTCTCCGGCCCACTGTAAGAGTGAATGTAGAGGTGCTAGGTTTTACCTTTGTGTCCGTGAAAGGGGTGAAAGGAAGTGTACAGGGACCCCAATGTCCTGCCCTCTTTCAGGGACTCAAACAATTTCCAGGTGGGGCTTGAATCACCACACATCCACCTTAATCTGACTCAGGCATGTTCTTCACATTAATACTGTCATTTCAGCTACTGAGTTATTTTTTCTCCTCTTTTTTTTTTTTTTTGCAGCAGAGCCGTTGCCTGGCCTTGAAGAGAAACCACCAGGTGTTGGTACTTCAGAGGGGGTCTACCTCACACAACTACCTCACCCCACACCTCCCCTGCAGACTGACTGCACCAGGCAGAGCTCACCACAAGAAAGGGAAACAGTGGGCCCGGAGCTCAAAAGCAGCTCCTCCGAATCTGCGGACAACTGTAAAGCAATGAAGGGCAAGAATCCCTGGCCCTCGGATAGCAGCTACCCCGGCCCAGCCGCCCAAGGGTGCGTGAGAGACCTCTCCACGGTGGCAGACAGGGGCGCTCTATCCGAGAACGGAGTCATTGGGGAAGCATCTCCTTGTGGATCGGAGGGGAAGGGCCTTGGTAGCAGTGGTTCCGAAAAGCTGCTCTGCCCCAGAGGCAGAACGTTGCAGGAAACCATGCCATGCACGGGACAGAACGCAGCGACACCGCCCAGCACAGACCCCGGTTTGACGGGAGGCACTGTGAGCCAGTTTCCCCCGCTGTATATGCCTGGCCTAGAGTACCCGAATTCAGCTGCCCATTACCACATCAGTCCAGGCCTGCAGGGTGTGGGCCCTGTGATGGGAGGGAAGTCCCCAGCATCCCATCCCCAGCATTTTCCCCCAAGGGGCTTTCAGTCTAACCACCCACATTCTGGAGGCTTTCCCCGGTATCGCCCCCCACAAGGAATGAGGTATTCCTACCACCCACCGCCACAGCCTTCCTACCACCACTATCAGCGAACTCCTTACTATGCCTGTCCACAGAGCTTTTCTGACTGGCAGAGACCTCTCCATCCCCAGGGAAGCCCAAGCGGACCCCCAGCCAGTCAGCCTCCCCCACCAAGGTCCCTCTTCTCAGATAAGAATGCCATGGCCAGTCTGCAAGGCTGTGAGACACTGAATGCTGCCTTAACTTCTCCAACCCGTATGGATGCAGTGGCTGCTAAAGTCCCAAATGACGGGCAGAATCCTGGTCCAGAGGAAGAGAAGCTGGATGAATCTATGGAGAGGCCAGAGAGTCCCAAAGAATTTTTAGACCTGGACAACCATAACGCAGCTACCAAGCGGCAGAGCTCGTTGTCAGCCAGCGAGTATCTCTATGGAACTCCTCCGCCTCTGAGTTCAGGAATGGGATTTGGTTCATCTGCATTTCCACCCCACAGTGTGATGCTGCAGACGGGGCCTCCCTATACCCCTCAGCGGCCGGCCAGTCACTTTCAGCCCAGGGCTTACTCTTCCCCTGTGGCTGCCCTCCCACCTCACCACCCAGGGGCCACCCAGCCCAACGGCCTCTCTCAGGAGGGTCCCATCTATCGCTGCCAGGAAGAAGGCCTGGGTCACTTTCAAGCTGTGATGATGGAACAAATTGGCACTAGAAGTGGAATAAGAGGACCTTTCCAGGAAATGTACAGACCATCAGGGTAAGATTGCATTCAGGCTTTTCCCCCTAAAGAGAGAACAGATGTTTATTTTATGTATTTATTTTTGAGACAGAGTCTCACTTTGTCACCCAGGCTGGAGTGCAGTGGTGTGATCATGGCTCACGGCGGCATCGACCTCCCAGGCTCAAGGATCCTCCTGCATCAGCTGTTTAAGTAACTGGGACTACACACATGCCACCACACCCAGCTAACTTTTTGGTTTTTTTTTTTTTTTTTTTTTGGTGGAGGTAGGGTTTCACCGTGTTGCCCAGGCTGGTCCTAGTCTCCTGAGCGCAAGTCATCCTCCTGCCTCAGCCTGTCAAAGTGCTGAGATTACAGGCATGAGCCAGCACACCTGGCCTGGATGTTCATTTTAAACAGAAAAATGGCCTTAGAGATGAAGATAACAGTTCATGGTCTAGGAACAAAAAAAATATGTGAATTATTGATGTTGTACACTCTGTAGGAAGGTATTAAACTTAGAGCCCAACTTTATCTTTGAAATTTTTTCCACTCATGAAAATGAACTGGCATTTAAATGACTGACTTAGATTTTGATATTGTAAACTTTATTTATTTATTTATTTATTTATTTATTTTTGAGATTAAGTCTCACTCTGTGGCCCAGGGTGGAGTGCAGTGGTACGATCTCTGCTCACTGCAATCTCTGCCTCCCAGGTTCAAGCGATTCTCCTGCCTCATCCTCCCAAGTAGCTGGGATTACAGGTGCCCGCCACCACACCTGGCTGAGTTTTGTATGATACTATAAACTTAATAACCACAGTTTGAGAGCTGTAAGCAAGCCTGTGTCAACATTGCTGCCATGTGGAGACACTCTGACCAAGGTAAAAAAAAAAAAAAAAATAGGCCTACCCAGGAGTAGAAGAGGAGATCATGTAGTATTGAAGTTTTACTACATACCTCTCATTTCTTACCCTATCATTGAATGAGAAAACCAGGTTTATCCAGAATGCAAACAAGTCCCCATGAGACTTCTTTCACACATGCTTGTGTAGTGTTGTTCTCCAGATCCAGTTAGGTGATCTGCCATCCAGGAAGTTTTCAAATCGATAGATACAAATGAAAGTTATGAAGCGGCCAGGCGCGGTGGCTCACACCTGTAATCCCAGCACTTCGGGAGGCCGAGGCGGGCAGATCACGAGGTCAGGAGATTGAGACCATCCTGGCTAACACGGTGAAACCCCGTCTCTACTAAAAATACAAAAAATTAGCCGGGCGTGGTGGTGGGCACCTGTAGTCCCAGCTACTCGGGAGGCTGAGGCAGGAGAATGGCGTGAACCTGGGAGGCGGAGCTTGCAGTGAGCCAAGATCATGCCACTGCACTCCAGCCTGGGCAACAGAGCAAGACTCTGTCTCAAAAAAAAAAAGTTATGAAGCATAGTCTTGAAACCAGTACCATTCAGCATAAAAACCAGTGTTCCCCTCCTCAGTGCCATCCTGTCATCTTATTGCTAGACCCTCTCTACTATTTAACATTTTGTCGTGTTTGCTTTATATGTCTCTAAATACCTGTTTTCTTTGCTTTGCTTTTTTTCCTAAGCTGTTGGAAAGTAAATTGTAGACATCATGGCCCTTAACCCCTCAATACTTGAGCATGCATCTCCTAAGAATGGACATGCCTTGGAGCACCATTTCAAAACGATTACCACACTCAAGGCAAATAACAGTATCTAATAGAGTTTTTGTTTCTGTTTCCTCAGTTGTCCCCAGAGTGTCTTTTAGAGTCGTTTCTTTGTGTTCTATTTTTATTGTTTTTTTCTGATAAAGGATCCAATGAAGGCTCATGGATTTGCATTTGGCTGCCGTGTCTGTTTAGTCTCTTAATTTATAGCAGTTGTCATATCTTTGTTTTGTTTTCCAAAGAGTCCAGGCCAGTTATCATGGAGAGTGTTCCAGATTCCAGATTCATCACACAGTCTCCTTGTGTGTAGATGAAACTCTTGTGCCAGGTGCAGTGGTTCATACCTATAATCCCAGCACTTTCGGGGGCTGAGGCAGGAGGATTGCTTAAGCTCAGGAGTTCGAGACCAGCCTCGGCAACATAGTGAGATCCTGTCTCTAGTGAAAATAAAGAACTTAGCCAGGCATGGTAGCACACACTACTCAGGAGGGTGAGGCAGGAGGAGCACTTGAGCCCAGAAGATTGAGGCTGCAGTAAACCATGATCCTGCCACTACATTCTAACAGGGTGACAGAGCAAGACCCTGTCTCTAAAAGAAAAAAAAAAATAGATTAAACACTTTTGTCAGGAGTGCAGTAGGTGGTGCGTGTGCGTGCCACTTACTGCCCCAGGGGGCACAGAATGTCGAGTTGTCCCAGTATGGATGATTCCAGGCCTGATCACCGGGGTGATGAAGGCAGTACCCTCGTGACTACAGTGTCTTGTTTCTTCTGTCGTTAACACGTCTTCATTAATTCTTCATTGCTTCTTTCTCGTGGCTGTAGAATGCAGATGCACCCGGTCCAGTCGCAGGCCTCGTTCCCAAAGACCCCCACAGCAGCAACATCACAGGAGGAGGTGCCGCCTCATAAGCCTCCAACACTTCCCCTGGATCAGGTAAGGATCACTAAAAATTAGAGCTGTTCTTCTTCCTCCAGGTGGTAGGAAGTAAGTATATGACAACCTTGCTGTTCTGAAAAAATGTTTTAAGGTATCCTGTGGATACAGGAACTTTGCCTGTATCGTGCTTCCTTGGCACTTGGAAAAAGAGCAAGAGGCCTCGGAAGTCACCTCTCACATGTCTCTTTTTCTTATTGTGATATGGAATGCATACCTATTTGGTGAGTATTTAAACCTCATTTTTTCCAAGCCATCTGCAAACATTTTTTCTGCCATGATCCCTTGTCTGTTTTATGCTTCCCACCTTTCTCATTGGAGAGAGACTAGTTGGTGGGTTTTAAAGTAGTAATAGCTGCCTCTGAGTGCTGCTTCTCTCCCATGCGTTGTCTCGTGCAGTGCTTCTCTCCCATGCAGTCTTTCCCTTGACCCCCACAAAGTAGTTCTCATTGGCTGCATCATCATCATTTCCCAGTGTGCAAGTCCTACTACTGTTAAGCACTGGGACTGGGATCTGAATTGAGAAGTCCAGGACTCTAGAACCTACCCTCTGGAAGTAAACTGTAACTGATGAAACAGAATCAAGCCATTTTCACACATGAGGAGCTTGGACATTCTTTGGCTTACTTAAGTTTTTTTTTTTTTAACAACCCAATTTTTATTTTTGTTTAAAATGTCTTTGTTTCTTTCAGAGCTAGTCCAAGGAGGAAATGAGCCCCAAGCAATGGAAAGCTGCACACGAAGACTGGAATGTGGAGAACTGGGGAGTGCCCTGTCAGCTCTATTCCCATCACCTGCTCCACCCCTTCACGGCGACCCACTCGTGCCATACTTGAGCTGGAGCCAGTCACGGGCCCTAAAAGGACACTCCTTAGATGACTGACACACAGATTGCAAAGGTCCTCGGCCAGGGATCTCTTGCACAGCTGATGTAGACAGTCAGGCAAAACTAATGAACGTGGAGTTAATGATGACTTTTCCAAATCCTGAGACACTTTTCAGGGAAAATCACTTTAAACTTGGGGGAGGGGGTATACTCAAGAATGGAGTGGTGCTTTTAAACTTTGATGAGCAGCTAAACTCAGGTATATATTTGGGGAAGGGACTACTCTTAGTATTAATGGTTTTGGAGCTGGGTCCAGTTTACAGAATTTTCATGTTGCCTTTTAAAATAATTTTTGTTGGTGGTGAATGTATTGTACATAAAGTGGGAAGGGTGGGTGGGGATGCGGAAGAAATGGGGGTCCTAACTGGTGGGCACACAGCACTGGAGTGATTTTTATCTGTTTACAATCATGTCACACTGAATACTTATGGGAGCCGGAGATGAGGGTAGGAAAGGTTTGATCTTGTAATATGTCACTGTGTTTCCTTAGTGGCCAGCCAGCCTTCAGAATAGCTAAAGGCCTTCCTTCCTTCCAGTCAGCCTGAGAGAGAACACCTGTCCCCTAAGCACCTGGTGTCTCCATTGGAGGCAGACTGCTCTCAGGAGACTACTAGAAGCTTCAGCCCGGAAGACAGGCTGCTCTCTCATGCTGGTGGCCCAAATTGAGAAAGTGGTGTCCCTTCCTGATTTTGCCACCAGCCCTACCGAATAGTTGTAAACCAGTATCAGGAATTGGGATCGCTAGAGTGTTTCACGTATTAGAAGATGAATCGTCCTCATCACAGACCTCCCTGTCAGGACTGTGATCTAGAAGGCATCACACACAGCTTTCTGGCACGAATCACATTTTGTGGAAGTGACTACTCAGGTTTGTATATTTTAGTATCAATAAAGAATTGCACAGGTTTGAATAGGAAAAATGTATTCTATAGATTTACAGTTTGAATTTAGGAATATTTCAGTATATATAGTTTTTATTCGTTTTAAGTGAATCATAGTAAAATCAGTCATGGTGATTTAAAATAGCTATCAAGAACAAGTTCTTGGAATTATCTGTTGTATCTGTGATAGGAAACCATTTTACAGTATTAAATTACTTTATTACAGTTGTAGAGTTGAATTACACTGGATTCTCCCTCGTTAGCATTCTGTATTTGATTTTAGCTGAAAGGTCACCAAAGTTAGGACCCATGTTTTAAACTTTTGAATATTCCACAAAAGAAAAAACTAAGGAAAATACTGAAATTACAGGTCTTTGTAAAGAATAGCATATTTTTAAGCATGCTTTTGGGATAGTAGAAGAGTCTCTATGAAATATTAATCTGCCCTAGTTTCTTATAAATTCAGCTGTGGGAGGGGCCAGTAGAGTGTTTCCCTCCAATTCCAGGATTCCTAGTGAAGCATGGAACTGTCGTGTTTACAGTTTGCTAAACATATGCTGTCCGTGGAAAAGGAAGCTAATCGGAAGCATCCATGATACAGAGAAATGAAAGCCAAGACACCAGTTCCAGGATGATGGAAGTTCATATCCGTACGCAAATGCTGAACCTGGTGCTGCTGCCTAGGGCTCAGGCAGATTTGAGAGTTGAGTAGGGAACACAGGTGCCTCTAAGGTATAATGCACAAAAATACAGATTTTCTCTCAGAGAGGTTTTAATTTTAAATTTGATGTATTTGCAAGTGGATTGAGTTTTGAGCCTGTGTTCTCACTGGATCCTAATTCTTGTTAGAAACCTATCACTGGCATAACCTGGTTTAGAAGAGTGAAGAGGACAGAAGGATTGTGGATGGGTCTGCCCTTTAGCTAGTATCCGCTAACATGGGGCATTACTACTTCAGTTTCTGTGTTTGTGCAGAAGCAGGGAGGAGGTAAAAAGCTAGTTTGGAGCTGGTTAGACCTGGTCTAGGCCCAGAGAATTTGGCCACTGACAGCCTTTCTCTTTTCCTGGTAATGCTGGTTTGAATCAGAGGCCTCTCACTTCTCCTTAACAGGAGCACTGACACTGTGGGCCTCTCCCCATGACTACCCCAGGGGCCTGGGTGGGAGTGGCTGTAAGCAGCAGTTGGGCCATTGCCCCCTTTCCTTCTGCCCTCGTGGTCCTTGAGCAGTTGTGTGCACACTCTTCCAGGTAATCCTGTCTCCTCTCTCTCCCAGTGACCGCCCCAATCAGCTGTTGCTAGAGCGATGCTGTGAACGATACAGGAAAAGTCAGTAAATCCCTTTATCCTTAATCTCCCTTCTTGGTTTTCGACAGAAAATATTAAGGAAGAGCAATAGGAAATAGAACTACTGTATTATAACACTGTGAACAAGAACATCAGCAGCAGCAGAATTGTCAGCCTTCCTGCGTCCTGTGTGGGAATGTGTCCATGCCTTATAGGTACTAGTGCTTCGTCCATTGTCCAGGGAGTGTCCTGAGCTTTCACTGGTCTTTGAAGTGCAGATCTGCTATAAGCTGTCTGGAGCTGCAAGGTTGCAGGAATCCACAGGAGCGTGAGCTGCTGTGAACCCCTAGCCCACCCATCCCCAAGCAGGATCTTCTTCTCACCTTTTCTTCCTCCTCTAGCACTTCTCTTTCCAAGTGTCTTAAGCAGATGCAATGTCTTAAAGCAGATGCAAATGCATTTGCCATCTTCTCCATTAGGAAAATGATGGTTATGTGATATGTTATATTTAGGAAGTAGTGTGTAAGGTATCCTGAAAAGGTTTGCTCTCAAGCTAGAAGGACATTTCACCCTGTGGGTCACTGTCACCTTGTCAGCGTGCCGGCTCTCAGTGGTCCCCAGGAGGATGGGGATAGCTGAGATCGTGGAGAATGGGAAATACCATTGCATCTCTTTGATTTAACACTCATGGCTCACCTTTAGTAGAGTTGTTAATAAGTTAGAAACTTGTGTCCCTAAGGCCCAAGAGAAAAGATGAGCTTCTTGGGAGGATTCTGGGTTTGTTTTCCCCTCAGAATTAAAAAATAGTTTTTAATTCAGCTACTTTTTCCCCTCAGTTAAAAGGTAGCAGGAGCTATTGGCTGAAATTTGTTACAGTGAATGAATGTGGAGAATAAATAAGAACAAACCCTGTAGGATTCTTGTTGACGTAACTTTCCATCCCACCTCTCCGCCTCTCCTTCATCACCAGCCTTCATCAGGTTGGTTTAGTTTACCTGGCCGTACACACGAGCTGCTCATCAACAGTTCGTATCTTCTCACTGAGCCCGGGCCAGATGCTCTCAGAAGGCCTTCTCATGCTCCTCTTCGTTAGGCTTAGTGAAAACCTTAAGACCTGCAGTTTGTGCCCCTCAGTTCAGTCAGACCTCAGCTTTAAATGTCGATTTACTCTGTCTTGTTCCCTGAAAGTGTTTCTTGTGACTAAGCATTTGGTGTCATTATCCCATGCCATTTATCTGCTGTATAGTTACTATATTATTTTTGCTGATTCCTACTGCTGGCAGATGCCATCCCAGGCCCACAAAATCCCAGTGTTGCAGTCACCACAGCTGTCAGAAACAAGTTTGCAATCCATACTTCTTGGTTCAATTTTTTTTTTTAATGGACATTCAAATCTGTAAATACTACACTGCTCTTAAGACCTGATTTGAAATTTCACAGGAAGGCCTAATCCTATAGTCACAAGGTAAGGACAGTTGAGTAGTGTAAGAACCCCAACCTGCTTGCAGAGAACCTTGGTTTTCATAGAAAGGAAAGGCTGAAGGTTTTCTAGCATTGTTGCCCTTCTTTGTCTGTCAGTCAGTTCACCCTCTGTGATTCTCCATGGACCCGCATTGCAGAAAATCAGTCCCATATATTAGTGAGCCATGTACTGCCCAATCCGGGGGCTCCTGGGGTGTGGTGTGTCCACCAGTGACTCTCCGGACACTAGCTTCAGTAAGGATACTTCTTATTTCGGTTGAGAATGCAGAGGCTTTTATTCGTGGACTCACATCACTGCATAGCACAAAGAATGTGATTGCCATTTGCTGCGTGAGAAAAAGCTGGGCTCCCTATTTCTTTTTTGGGTTGGACTCTGCCGTGCAGCCATAGGACACCAAGCCTCACGCACTTTCCCCTTGGGACAGTAGTGTTTGGGTGAATGTTACTGCATCCCGTTTTTTTTCTTTTCTTTTTTTTTTTTTTTTTTTTGAGACGAAATCTTGCTCTTGTCCCCCAGACTGGAGTGCAATGGCACGATCTCGGCTCACTGCAACCTCCACCTCCCAGGTTCAAGGGATTCGTCTGCCTCGGCCTCCCAAGTAGCTGGGACTACAAGCGCGCACCACCACTCCCAGCTAATTTTTGTATTTTTAGTAGAGGCGGGGTTTCACCATGTTGGCCAGGCTGGTCTCAAACTCCTGACCTCAGGTGATCCACCCGCCTTGGCCTCCCAACATGCTGGGATTACAGGCGTGAGCCAACACACCGGACCTTCATTTTTTAAATTAAGCTGGGACACAAGTTTTGCCTCCAGGCTGGATGTTGATCCTGCTCTGTGCTAGACAGATGTGCGGAGGGACTGTTCCGGGCTCGGCTTGACCTTTTCCTACCTAGTTTCTCCCTCTTGTCCTGCACAAGAGGACTAACTGAACTCTAACGTCAGAACGGCTGACGAGCAGTTGATTGTCCTTGCTTGTGTTGTTGACAGGGGTGGGTGGGGTGGGAGCAGGGGTATGGATATTGCATAAGTTATTGAAATGCTGACCCCCGTTCAGGAAACCATGCAGCCCCTTCCCTTCCCTTCCCTTCCCTTCCTTTCCCTTCCCTAGCCAGGGCTCAGGTACCTCACTCTCCTGCCTTGTGCGTAGCTCCTGGGGCCCCGGTCAGTCCCCAGCAGCCTTGGCACACAGTGTCTGGAGCCTCTGCTCCTGCTGCAAAAGCAGAAACCATGTGAACCTTCTGGCCAGTACTGGAAAGGGGAATGCTATTTATTTTTATATTGTGTATATTTTGTCGTGGTCTGCTGATTCCCTGTTTCACTGAGAGCGACACTTACCTCAATAGTTAGTTCAATATTGTGTGTTGGATAATTTTTTAAAAGAACTTTTTAAAAAGCTTTTTGATCCTTGGAGGTCTGTAGATTTATTTCCATATGAACTGGTTATTTTGTATAAAGTACATGCTTAAAATAGCAAGGCTCCTCTGTGTGTGTGGTGTGTCTGTCCATGTGTCATTTCCATATCAGGGCAAACCCAGACTTCCATCAGGACGAAGGCGTGAACTAGGCCACAAGGCCACCAGCTGAAATGCCACCCCTCGTCCATTCTCATGCATCCAGAATCCACGGAGGCGGGGCACGGGTCCTGTGCATGAGACAGAGGAATATGGTTCCAGAGAACTTCAAAACAGTCATGTACTGACTGGCAGTTCTAAACCATGTCAGGGATAAAACGCTCCTCACAGCCGATCCTTGCGAAGCTGGCCCGGCCGTCAGCATCTCACTGGTAAAGGCGTCCGCCTTCAGAAGGTTACTACACCTGAGGTGCACGACTTCTCTCCTTGCAGGCTTTAGGGTGCCTGGGATGGGAAAGGAGTATAACAGTGGGGCAGCGGGGCAGCTCCAGCCTGGAGCCCGCTGTGCACACACATGGCCAGAAGTGGGAGCTCCAGCCTAAGCAAGCGGGCAATCTTATACCTGCCAAGGTCATTTATGTTTTATTTCCAGTTACTGGGAGAACAGTTTGAAAGTAGCTTCATTCAGCCAGGCGCGGTGGTTCACGTCTGTAATCCCAGCACTTTGGGAGGCTGAGGCGGGCGGATCACGAGGTCAGGAGATCGAGACCATCCTGGCTAACACGGTGAAACCCCGTCTCTACTAAAAATACAAAAAATTAGCCGCGCGTGGCGGCACACACCTGTAGCCCCAGCTACTCGGGAGGCTGAGGCGGGAGAATGGCGTGAACCCGGGAGGCGGAGCTTGCAGTGAGCCGAGATCGCACCACTGCATTCCAGCCTGGGTGACAGAGTGAGACTGTGTCCCAAAAAAAGAAAGTAGCTACATTCTTAGAAATCAGCTACAGTCTTAAGACACCAGAACTCCTGTTTTGTCCTTAAATGCAGACTGTCCCAGTTTAATGATCATTCAACTTAGGAGTTTTTGAAAATGAGACACATTCTGCAGAAACTGTACTTGAAGTCCTCGTGCAACAATTCTCTTTCACCTTCTGTACGGTATTCAATAAACTCCATGACATATTCAACACTGTGTGATAAAGGAGGCTCAGCCAGGTGTGCTGGCTCACACCTGTAATCCCAGCACTCTGGGAGGCCAAGGCAAGTAGATCATATGAGCTCAGGAGTTCGAGACCAGCCTGGCCAACATGGCAAAAGCCTGCCTCTACTAAAAACACAAAAATTAGCGGGGCGTGGTGGCGGGTGCCTGTAATCCTGGCTACTTGGGAGGCTGAGGCAGGACAATCGCTGGAAGCTGGGATGCGGAGGTTGCAGTGAGCCAAGATCGCGCCACTGCATTCCAGCCTGAGCGACAGGAAGACTCCGTCTCAAAAATAAAAATAAAAAAGGAGGCTCAACTGTGGGCTAGCATAAGTTTGCTGAGCATGCTTGAGGCAGGCTAAGCTGTGATATTTGGTGGGTTAGGTGGATTCAGTGCATTTCCAGCTGACAATATTTTCAACTCATGATGGGTTTATCCGGAGGTGACCCCACTGGAAGCTGAGGAGCATCTGTAATTGGCTGTGGAAGTAATCCTCATTCCATAAAAATTTCACCACAATTAGTACCCGTTTCCAAACCCATGCTTGGGGCTGTCCCTTTCTAGGCAGTGATCTGTTCACTCTCCTTTTAACCTCCAGTTGTTTGGTGTCTGATTGTCCCCACTGATACTCTGTTGTTACTGGCTAACAAATTTTTGAGCCTTTTATCCTGGTATTATTTTAAAACTGTTCAGTTATTCTCCCATGAAAAGTGTTTCTATGATAAAACATTTTATGCCAACCGTACTTTCTTGTTTAGTAGTTGCATTTCAGTGTAATTTCTGAAACAAAACAAAAATCAACTTTAAAGTGAAAAATCAGGCTGGGCACGGTGGCTCACTTGATGTCAGGAGTTTGAGATCAGCCTGGCCAGCATGGTGAAACCGTCTCTACCAAAAATACAAAAATTAGCCGGGCATGGTGGCACACGCTTGTGATCTCAGCTACTTAGGAAGCTGAAGCAGGAGAATTGCTTAAACCCTGCAGGCAGAGGTTGCAGTGAGCAGAGATCGCACCACTGCACTCCAGCCTGGGCAAGAGTGTGAGATCCTGTCTTAAAAAATCACTAGTAAACCCCAGATCAGACATGATGCTACTCAAATTGTGCATCTCGATGGATTCTCCCAGTGGGTGGGGGGAGCACCACTCTGGCCTGGCTTCCTTCACTGTTCTGTCAGCTTTCCTAGAGCCCAGTCCAGCTGCATCAGTGGCTGGGATGGCGTTAGCAAACCCACTCCCTGTGCATATCAGCAGCACACCCTTAAAATGCATGCAAACTTTGATTCCTAACTTTCAGATTTCCTCCTACCGTGACATGAATTCTCACCAAACAAAGGCCAGAATGTTTTTTGACATATTTAGCTATTGATAGGCTTTAGCTCTCCCTCTCCCTCTCCCTCTCCCTCTCCTCACGGTCTCCCTCTCTTTCCACGGTCTCCCTCTCATGCGGAGCCGAAGCTGGACTGTACTGCTGCCATCTCGGCTCACTGCAACCTCCCTGCCTGATTCTCCTGCCTCAGCCTGCCGAGTGCCTGCGATTGCAGGCACGCGCCGCCACGCCTGACTGGTTTTGGTGGAGACGGGGTTTCGCTGTGTTGGCCGGGCTGGTCTCCAGCTCCTAACCGCGAGTGATCCGCCAGCCTCGGCCTCCCGAAGTGCCGGGATTGCAGACGGAGTCTCGTTCACTCAGTGCTCAATGGTGCCCAGGCTGGAGTGCAGTGGCGTGATCTCGGCTCGCTACAACCTCCACCTCCCAGCCGCTTGCCTTGGCCTCCCAAAGTGCTGAGATTGCAGCCTCTGCCCGGCTGCCACCCCGTCTGGGAAGTGAGGAGCGTCTCTGCCTGGCCGCCCATCGTCTGGGATGTGAGGAGCCCCTCTGCCTGGCTGCCCAGTCTGGAAAGTGAGGAGCGTCTCCGCCCGGCCGCCATCCCATCTAGGAAGTGAGGAGCGTCTCTGCCCGGCCGCCCATCGTCTGAGATGTGGGGAGCGCCTCTGCCCCGCCGCCCCGTCTGGGATGTGAGGAGCGCCTCTGCCCGGCCGCGACCCCGTCTGGGAGGTGAGGAGCGTCTCTGCCCAGCCGGCCCGTCTGAGAAGTGAGGAGACCCTCTGCCTGGCAACCACCCCGTCTGAGAAGTGAGGAGCCCCTCCGCCCGGCAGCCACCCCGTCCGGGAGGGAGGTGGGGGGTCAGCCCCCCGCCCGGCCAGCCACCCCGTCCGGGAGGTGAGGGGCGCCTCTGCCCGGCCGCCCCTACTGGGAAGTGAGGAGCCCCTCTGCCCGGCCACCACCCCGTCTGGGAGGTGTGCCCAACAGCTCATTGAGAACGGGCCATGATGACAGTGGCAGTTTTGTGGAATAGAAAGGCGGGAAAGGTGGGGAAAAGATTGAGAAATCGGATGGTTGCCGTGTCTGTGTAGAAAGAAGTAGACATGGGAGACTTTTCATTTTGTTCTGCACTAAGAAAAATTCTTCTGCCTTGGGATCCTGTTGATCGGTGACCTTACCCCCAACCCTGTGCTCTCTGAAACATGTGCTGTGTCCACTCAGGGTTAAATGGATTAAGGGCGGTGCAAGATGTGCTTTGTTAAACAGACGCTTGAAGGCAGCATGCTCGTTAAGTGTCATCACCACTCCCTAATCTCAAGTACCCAGGGACACAAACACTGCGGAAGGCCGCAGGGTCCTCTGCCTAGGAAAACCAGAGACCTTTGTTCACTTGTTTATCTGCTGACCTTCCCTCCACTATTGTCCCATGACCCTGCCAAATCCCCCTCTGTGAGAAACACCCAAGAATTATCAATAAAAAAATAAATTAAAAAAAAAAAAAGAATAACAAGAAACATCTATTCTCTGTTTTCCATACCCTAAGCTTGGTTCTAAGCACCTTATGTTCATTGACTTATTAAATTCTCACAACATGAAAAAAAAAAAAAAAGATAGGCTTTAATTTTTCTTGAGACAGGGTTTCACTCTGTTGCCCAGGCTAGGTACAGTGGCATGGTCTCAGCTCACTGCAGCCTCAATCTCCCGGGCTCAAGCAGTCCTCTCACCACAGCCTCCCAAGCAGCTGGGACTACAGGGGCACCCCACCACACCCAGCTAATTTTTTGTCTCACGATGTTGCCCAGGCTGGTCTAGAACTGAGCTCAAGTGATCTGTCTGCCTCAGCCTCCCGAAGTGCTAGGAATTACAGGCGTGAGCCACTGTGCCCGGCCTTTATTTTTTATAAGGAACTTAGCCATTTAGAGTGCTTCCAGATTTATCTTCTTCGGGCCAAAACCAGCAACAAATATATGTACCAAAAGTTAGCATCTTCCACTGGTTAACTGTTTCAAAACAGTGCAGTAGGCAGTGTAAATGTGGCTCTATTTTTGGAACTGTTACTGTTTAACGCTTGTTAAGCATCCTGGGTAAATATATCTTACACAGATAATCCTACACAGTGAGCTTCTTAAAATAAGAGCATAAAAGCTACTCGGGCAAGATTTAGGGAGACAGGAAGCTATACATTGTTACTGTAGATTAGTCTCAAAAGTTCTGATCAACTTTCTATTTTGACATTTGGAGACATCCATAGGTGCTTCTCTTGTTAAAGATTAATGTCTCTTGTCTCTAAACCAATTCGTGTTACTGGAAGGAAAGGCAACGCAAGTTTTATAAATCAGCCCCTTTGTGGGCTCCATTTTGCTATACTCTATGTTCTCTGAGAGTGCTACCAACGGAATTGAGAAAATAACCATCCAGACGGGCTATTTGGGGGCTGATCTTTACCCTGGAATCTTCCTGGAAGGTGAACGGCCTATGTCATGCAGTTGTTATGCAAGAGGTATCATGGGACCTTTCCTTCTGGGCGCTCATGGAGCCGCGGCAGAGCCCTGGGTGACCCAGCAGCAGCTGCCTGCTGTGTGGCTGCCTTCACTGTCCTCCCCCACAACTGCTGTTGATTTCTCTGCATTGACCCTGCAGATGTTTCCCTGGCCTCGTGGTGTTCCTTTGGACTTTTAAGGGACCTCTGTGCATCTATTTTAGTCCCCTTTCTGCTAGCAATGCTCACTCCCCTAGTTTCCTTAAGCAGTTTTATAAAAAACCTTCAGTGAAAAATACTAGCCAAGAAGGCGAAGGCATCTGGAAAATCCCCAGATTTGGCTATTGTGTGCTGCAATGCCAGCCCCCTTCTACAGCCATGACATGCATATCAATGCAGGTGCCCTTGAGACTCCTGCAGGTTCGAGAAAGCATGACATGCTCCCAGAATCCTGGATTTGGACTTCATTCTGGACAGCATATGACAAGGACGAGGACCCCTATTCTAGCCAGTTAAAGCTGGACAGAATTTTTAAAAGCAATGAAGCCAGTTCCTTGGATATATCCACGGGCTTTGCTTTGAGAAGGAACTGAGTAGGCAGTGAGAAGAGTCGAGTGAAGCCTGGCCCGTGAGTGCCTCAACAACTGAGATGAACGTCGACTCGCTTGCAGGCAAGTTGTCAGTAAGTATTTATTAAATACCCACCGTGAGCCTTGTACTTTGCCTAGTTACTAAGAAACCAAAAGGGGGAAAAATAGCCTCATCTGCTCAGAGTTCATAATAAACCTGTATTGTGAATACAGAATACAGAAAAACTGGACTCTAGTGAGGTGCTAGAAAGAGTGTACTGCTTAGCTGAGATAGCAGATGAAGGAAAAATATTTTTGGTTCCTCCCTGCCATGCAATCGTACCGGGAGGGTGGAGTGTTGGTGTTCTCAGCCCATTTAATTTGGATGGAGCTGCGGGCTCATCAGTTTGGGGACTGGCTTCATCGCTTGTTCTGTCCAGCAGTCGCGTCTTCTCGGACTCCTTGTTCCAGCTTGAATTCCTCTTTTGCCCTGGCTCCACTCTAAGACGAAGACTGTGTAATTCAGAAAATGCAGCGCAAGTAATTATGTCCAGTGTGATGCTAAACATTTCCCAAAGGCAGCGTAGATCTGCAGAAACTGCAGCTTGGGAGAAGTGATGGTGTTCCTCTCCCCACCACCTCAGCCTGCCCTGATCATTCTCACTCACATGATCTATTGTGATGTTCTCACAATGTAGCCTGGCCATCATCTGGGAACTTGCTGGAAATGCAGATTTTGGCATCCCGCCTAAGACCTTAAACTGAAGAAGGGCCTAGCTCTCTCTTGTAACTAGCAACAGATGCAACCTGCATGGTTCTGATGCAAACTGACCTGGAAGAATGGCCCTGGCATTTACATTTTGGTCCTTAGATGCAGGTAATCTGAGCTGAACATCTTCAAACCTGAGGCATAGCATAGAAAAAAGAATACAAACAGTTTATATAAAGTAAAAAAAATTTTTAGAAAGGACTTAAGTTGGCTGGGGCGCGGTGGCTCACACCTGTAATCCCAGCACTTTGGGAGGCCAAGGCGGGCGGATCACGAGGTCAAGAGATGGAGACCATCCTGGCTAACGTGAAACCCCATCTATACTAAAAATACAAAAAATTAGCCAGGCGTGGTAGCAGGTGTGGTAGTCCCAGCTACTCGGGAGGCTGAGGCAGGAAACTCACTTGAACCTGGGAGATGGACGTTGTAGTGAGCCAAGATTGAGCCAGTGCACTCCAGCCTGGGGGACAGAGCAAGACTCTGTCTCCAAAAAAAAAAAATCAGGCCCAGGCAACATAATGAGGCCCCACCTCTACAAAAAAATAATTGTTTTAATTAGCCAGGTTGATGGTGTGCACCTGTGATCCCAGCTACTCAGGAGGGTGAGGTGGGTGGATCGCTTGAGCCCAGGAGCCCTCCCTCGGGATGCTCTTATTTCTGCCTGCAGCCTCATTTGTCACTCTGTGCAGACTCATTCTGTTTTTGTTTTGTTTTGTTTTGTTTTGTTTTTGAGACAGTCTTGCTCTGTCACCCAGGCTGGAGTACAGTGGCACAATCTCGGTTCACTGTAAACTCCGCCCCCCCGGGTTCACGCCATTCTCCTGCCTCAGCCTCCCGAGTAGCTGGGACTACAGGTGCCTGCCACTATACCCAGCTAATTTTTTGTATTTTTTAGTAGAGACGGGGTTTTGCCATGTTGGCCAGGATGGTCTCGATCTCCTGACCTCGTGATCCACCCACCTCGGGCTCCCAAAGTGCTGGGATTACAGGCGTGAGCCACCACGCCCTGCCAAATTTTCTATTTTTTAATAGAGATAGGGTCTTGCCAAGTTGAAGTGCAGTGGTATGATCATAGCTCACTGCAGCCTCCAACCCCAGGGCTCAAATGATCCTCCTTCCTCGACCTCCCAAGTAGCTAGAACTACAGACACACACCGCAGCGCCTGGCTAATTTTTTGTTTGGGGTTTTTTTGAGTAATTTTTTAAAAAAATTTTTGGACAGGTGTGTTGGCTCACGCCTGTAATACCAGCACTTTGGGAGGCCGAGGCAGGCAGATCACCTGAGGTGGGGAGTTCAAGACCAGCCTGACAAACATGGAGAAACCCCGTCTCTACTAAAAACACAAAATTAGCCGGGCATGATGGGGCATGCCTGTAATCCCAGCTTCTCCGGAGGCTGAGGCAGGAGAATCACTTGAACCCAGGAGGTAGAGGTTTCAGTGAGCCGAGATCGTGCCATTGCACTCCAGCCTGGGCAACAAGAGTGAAGCTCCGTCTCAAAAAATAAAGAGATGGGGTCTTGGATGTTTCCCAGGCTGGTCTCAAACTCCCAGGCTCTAGTGATCCTCCCACCTCAGCCTCCCAAAGCACAAGGATTACAGGCGTGAGCCACCGCACCTGGCCTCTGTGTTTACTTTTTTGAGGACCTGCCATACTGTCTTCCACCATGGCTGCCGTGTTTTACATTCTCACCAGCAAGGGTTCCAATTCTCTACATCCGCACCAATGCCGATCTCTATTTTTTTGAACCATGCTTGTGGGTGTGACACGGCACTGCACCGCTGTTTCTGGTGCCTGCTGTCACCCCCTCATCTGCAACTGCTACTTTAAGCTCATGTCAGCTGCCAAACTTCTCTTCCCTCCCCGTCTCCTTACCTACCCCCTGCTTCTAACACTCTCAGTGGGGGGATAATGTATCTTCCTCCTGCTGATGCGTGTTTCAAATCTGATACCTGCCTCTGGCGTGTTTAATCACCCACCAAGCCCTGTATAATCTTCACAGAAACCATTCACATCTCTTCCCTCCTGTGAGCAGGCTGTCATTTTCTTTTTTTTTTTTCCAACTGGAGCCTCGCTCTTGTTGCCCAAGCTGGAGTGCAATGGCGCAATCTCGGCTCACTACAACCTCCGCCTCACGGGTTCAAGCGGTTCTCCCGCTTAAGCCTTCCAAATAGCTGGGATTACAGGCATGTGCCACCATGCCCAGTTAATTTTGTATTTTTAGTAGAGACGGGGTTTCTCCACGTTGGTCAGGCTGGTCTCGAACTCCCAACCTCAGGTGATCCGCCCACCTCAGCCTCCCAAAGTGCTGGGATTACAGGCCCGAGCCACCGTGCCTGGCCCAGCCTGTCATTTTCTCTTTTGCCTAGCTTACTGTGTAATCTCCCTGACTTGTCCAAACCACTTGGCACTGCCAGAGACCTGAACTGTCCCGTCGGGTCCCTACTCCATAGCATCCTCTATCAGCTTTCCATTGCCCACCAGAAAAGGTGGGAAGAAAATTAGCATGGGCCGGCCGTGATGGCTCACACCTGTAATCTCAGCACTTTGATAGGCTGAGGCAGGCAGATGGCTTGAGGTCAGGAGTTGTACACCTGCCTAGGGCAACATGGCAAAACCGCGTCTCTACAAAGAAATAACAAAAATTAGCCAGGCATAGTGGCATGCCTGTAATCGCAGCTACTTGGGAGGCTGAGGTGAGAGGATGGCTTGAGCTCAGAAGGTCAAGGCTGCAGTGAGCCATGATCACGACACTGCGCTCCAGCCTGGGCGACAGAGCAAGACACTGTCTCAAAAATAATGTATATTTTACAAAGAATTAGCATGTGAATACCTTTTATGTGCCAGGCACTGTACTAAGTGCACTACATCTAGATATGAGTCCCATCTCATAGATGAACAGGCAACACAGACAACTTAAGTAACTTGTTTAAGGTCACACAGCTAGTAAGCAGTAAACTAAGATTCAAACTGTTTCAAAAGCAATCCTATTTTCAAGTCCACTCTACAGCCTCATTTCAGATTAATTACAATCCTGTTACATGGATGTCCCATTCCCCTTTTATGAAAAAAGCACTAAAGTAGCTTCCCTAAAGTGTATTACTTCATAATTTAGGAGCTGGAATCTGAACGTGCATCTGACTTCAAAGTATCCAGTGCTGATTCTTCACCTCTCCCAGATCCTTCGCCTGGCAGCAGGGCCCTGTTTCATCTAGACCCAACGTGGTTTAACAGCCTTTTGCCCCAAATTAGACAATTTGCCAGTGGATCTCCATTTTACCTCTCTATCCTTGCTTTTATAATTCCATCAACATCTTTGCCTTTCCTCCAACCCAAAATCAATTGCCACTTTCTTCCTGAAACCTTTCCATGTCTCCAAAACTCCAAGAAACCTTCCTTAACTCAAGCAGCATTGAGTTCACAACTCACTTGTAGGAATGCTTGTTCCTTGGTGCCGTAAAGAAATAGCACTTGAATATAAATTTAATTTTTTTAGTAAGGCCATTTTTATACTTTCTGCAGAAAGGGTACACTTGCTAGCAGTTTTGTCACGAGAGTATACTGAACAAAGGAGACAGGGTCGTTTATAACCTGATGGGTCTACTTTATTGCTGTCTGGTTTTTTTGGCTGGAATGGGACTTTATATTTTGTATTTGTTTTGATTGGCTAGTAACTTACAACTTTTTAAAAGAGGCAAAGGCAGAGGAGAATAGGCCAGGTGCGATGGCTCACACCTATAATCCCAGCACTTTGGGAGGCTGAGGCGGGCGGATCACGAGGTCAGGAGATCAAGACCATCCTGGCTAACATGGTGAAACCCCGTCTCTACTAAAAAAATACAAAAAAGTTAGCCGGGTGTGGTGGTGGGCACCTGTAGTCCCAGCTACTCGGGAGGCTGAGGCAGGAGAATGGCGTGAACGTGGGAGGCTGAGCTTGCAGTGAGCCGAGATGGCACCACTGCCCTCCAGCCTGGGTGACAGAGCAAGACTCCATCTCAAAAAAAAAAAAAAAGGCAGATGAGAATAAAGGAAGGAGGAAGGAACTTGTGGAATATCGAGAAAGGTAAAAACACCTTTAAATAAGGAAGAGGAACAGGCTATGACCTAATGTTTGTTTGGACCAGTATAAGTATGGCAGGGCAAATATTGAGGCTAAACTGTGGGAGCCGAGAATATAAAGTACATCTTTTTTTTTTTTTTTTTTTTTTTTTTGAGACAGTCTCACTCTGTCACCCAGGCTGGAGTGCAGTGGTGCGATCTCGGCTCACTGCAAGCTCTGCGTCCCGGATTCACGCCATTCTCCTGCCTCAGCCTCCCGAGTAGCTGGGACTACACGCGCCTGCCACCACGCCTGACTAATTTTTTGTATTTTTAGTAGAAACAGGGTTTCACCGTGTTAGCCAGGATGGTCTCAGTCTCCTGACCTTGTGATCCACCTGCTTCGGCCTCCCAAAGTTCTGGGATTACAGGCGTGAGCAACCGTGCCCGGCCTGTATAAAGTACATTGATTTTTTTTATTATGGCTGGTAGATATTTAAGAATGTTAGCACAGGTCTTTGAATAAATTTTGCTTTTAAGAGAAATTACTACTTATTTTTAATTAGATGGGGAGGAAAGTCTTTTAAGAGGAACCTCTTCTTTACTTTTTTTTTTTTTGAGATGGAGTCGCCCAGCCTGTAGCCAGGCTGGAGGGCAGTGGCGCGATCCCAGGTCACTGCAAGCTCCGCCTCCTGGGTTCACGCCATTCTCCTGCCTCCGCATCCCGAGTAGCTGGGACTACAGGCGCCCGCCACCACGCCCAGCTAATTTTTTGTATTTTTAGTAGACACGGGGTTTTACCATGTTAGCCAGGATGGTCTCCATCTCCCGACCTCGTGATCCGCCCGCCTCGGCCTCCCAAAGTGCTGGGATTACAGGCGTGAGCCACCGCGCCCAGCCCTCTTCTTTGCTTTTTACACTTGTAACATTCTTAAGCATTGAGAATGTGCCAAAACTACATTGCAGCCCTCCTGCAGCTGAGCACGTGATAGCCCCCAACAAATACATGCAAAGTGAAAGGAAAATGTGTTCCTGCAGGGAGGATGCCTCCCAGGATCATTGAAATAGCCGGTTATCAGCAGTAAGAAAAGTGCATGAGACTGAGAAGCAGAGATTTGCTTCTGGCACCAAATGTCTTGCAAAAGTGTTTGCGTTGCATTGATTTTCAGTGTTTGTCCTCCTCCCTGGCTTCCAGGTCTCTGAGTGGGCGGTGAATCTCCCCTCACCCCCAAGCTGCCTTGTTAAAATCTTTTCCCAGCCTGGACTTTTTGTCCGAGTCATACTAGCCACCAAGTAAACAGCAACCTACTTGCCACCTGGGGAGGTGCAGCGTGGCTTGACTGGATAGTAGCCTCTTTGGGTTTTGCTTCAAACCCAACCTATTTGAAGGTGCAGTGTGCGGTGAGAGTCTGGAACCCTGCAGTGGTGATGAGGGGGAGGCAGAGGGAGGGAAACTGACCACAGAAGGGAAAACCAGTCCAAGCTGGCTGACACTGAAAGCCACCTCTCCCTGCAGCTCAGCAGCGATCTGAACTATATCCTGGGTTCCAGAAAAGGCAGAGGTTCTTACCGAAAGCAGGTAAGTGTCTTGTCTGTCTGCATCAAGCTCAGAGTTGGTAGGAAAAGACTCTTCTAGCAAATAAACCATTGGGGGAAAGGGGAAGAGCAGCCAGTGGGACAGGGACACTCATCCCATTTGTTGGATAGAGTCAGAAGGGGTGGGCACGAGGAAGTGGCCGCCCCTGACCATGGGGTATCCCAGGCAACATCCAAGCCAGGAAGCAAGTGATTTTCTTGGCAATAAGTCAAGAACTGGCTCCTGGCTACTAGTGTGAGGGGCTCATTCCTGGGAACACTCACCCTTGCTCTGCTAATAAGAGGAAGTAGGCGGGGACGTGGTCATCACCCTGAGGCCCCCAACCCAGCTCCTCACAGTGGGAATAAATGAGCACAGCTCTACAGTGGAGCCAGCAGTCTCGTGACAAGTCTGACAGCAAAGTCAGATGGGGAGTCATTGTGGCTTCTTGATTTGAGGATGCTTACTGGATGCCTCTGCGCCGTGGCCAGGATACTGCCCCAAGACTTTTTGTTGTTGTTGAGACAGTTTTACTCTGTCGCCCAGGCTGGAGTGCTGTGGCATGATGGCGGCTCACCGCAACCTCCGCCTCCTGGGTTCAAGCAATTCTCCTGCCTCAGCCTCCCGAGTAGCTGGGACTACAGGTGCATGCCACTATGCCTGGCTAATTTTTTTTTCTATTAGTAGAGATGGGGCTTCAGCATGTTGGCCAGGCTGGTCTCGAACTCCTAACCTCAGGTGATCTGCCCGCCTTGGCCTCCCAAAGTGCTAGGATTACAGGCGTGAGCCACCGTGCCCAGCCTCAAGACCGTCTTAACTCACAAATAACTGGTAATTTTCATGGGGAAGCAAGTCAGTGTCAATGTAATGCAGTAAGTGCTGCAACTGAATATTCAATGGGTTAACAGGAGAGGGCTCCTAGCCAAGAATGGGGTGACTCCAGAAAGGCATGTGGGAGGAGGTGACGTCTGAGCTGAAGCCCAAAGAACAGTTTGTAAATCACTGGGTTTGGATGCGGAAAGAGTGTCCTGGGTGAAGGGGACAGTATGTGCAAGACTCGGAAGCAAGACTGACGTGTTCCGAAAGCAAAAGTTGAAAGCAGGGGGTGAGGGAGAGGAAAACCAGGGCAGGTTGTGCGGGAGTGGGAGCCTGTCCCGAGAGCCGTGGGAAGGCAGCCCCCGCGCCCTTTCACCCACTTGGCCGTTTGGAAGGTGGATTTGAAGGCAACAAGGCTGAAGGCAAGGAGCTGAGTTAGGAGCCCTCAGGCATCCGGAGGGACAATCTGTGGTGATCTAGCAGTGGCTGCACAGAAGGGGAAGCCAGAGGAGTCAAGCCAAGGGAATGGGACGTTTTTAAACAGGAAGAACGAAAAGCTATGTGATCTGAGGAGCTTGGAAAACTCCAGCACGCTCCTCCCTGCAGCTCAGCAGCTAGTATCATTTCTCTAAATAGTGTGTCTTGTTCACAATATGACCCTCAGTTACAATGTATTAAGAATCACTTCTCCAGCCGGGGCGCAGTGGCTCAGGCCTGTAATTCCAGCACTTTGGGGAGCTGATGTGGGCAGATCACTTGAGGCTGACGAGTTCAAGACCAGCCTGGACAACAGGGTAAAAATGCACAAATTAGCCGGGCGTGATGGAGCACGCCTGTAATCCTAGCTACTTGGGAGGCTGAGGCAGAACTGTTTGAACCCAGAAGGCAGAGGTTGCAGTGAGCCAAGGTCACACCACCGCACTCCAGCCTGGGCAATGCAGTGAGACTGTCTCAAAAAGAAAAAAAAAAAAAAAAGTCTGGGCCCAAGGCAGACGGATCAGTTGAGGTGAGGAGTTTGAGACCACCCTGGCCAACATGGTGAAACCCCGTATTTACTAAAATACAAAAATTAGCCGGGCATGGTGGCTCGTGCCTGTAATCGCAGCTACTGGGAGGCTGAGGCAGGAGAATCGCTTGAACCTAGGAGGCGGAGGTTGCAGTGAACCGAGATCATGCCCCTGCACTCTAGCCTGGGCAACAGAGCAAGACTCCCGTCTCAGAAAAAAAAAACAAAAAACTTTGCCAGGTGTGGTGGTGCGTGCCTGTAATCCCAGCTACTCAGGAAGCTGAGGCAGGAGAATCACTGGAACCTGGGAGGCAGGGGTTGCAGCGAGCCGAGATCACGCCACTGCACTCCAGCCTGGGCAACAGAGTGAGACTCCATCTCAAAAAAAGGAGAATCGGCTGGGCACAGTGGCTCACCCCTGTAATCCCAGCACTTTGGGAGGCCAAGGTGGGCGGATCACCTGAGATCGGGAGTTCAAGACCAGCCTGACCAACATGGAGAAACCACATCTCTACTAAAAATACAGAAATATAGGTGGGCATGCTGGCGCATGCCTGTAATCTCAGCTACTCAGGAGGCTGAGGCAGGAGAATTGCTTGAACTCTGGAGGTGAAGGTTGCAGTGAGCCGAGATCGTGCCATTGCACTCCAGCCTGGGCAACAAGAGCAAAACTCCATCTCAAAAAAAAAAAAAAGAATCACTTTTCCACTGGGTGTGGTGTCTCACGCCTGTAATCCCAGCACTTTGAGTGGTTGAGGTGGGATTACTGTTTGAGCCCAGGCATTCATGACCAGCCTTAGCAACATGGCGAGACCCCATCTCTACAAATAAATTTTTTTTTTTTTTTTTTTTTTGAGACGGAGTCTCGCTTTGTCGCCCAGGCTGGAGTGCAGTGGCGCGATCTCGGCTCACTGCAAGCTCCGCCTCCCGGGTTCACACCATTCTCCTGCCTCAGCCTCCCGAGTAGCTGGGACTACAGGCGCCCGCCACCACGCCCGGCTAATTTTTTGTATTTTTAGTAGAGACGGGGTTTCACCGTGTTAGCCAGGATGGTCTCAATCTCCTGACCTCGTGATCCGCCCGCCTCGGCCTCCCGAAGTGCTGGGATTACAGGCATGAGCCATGGCGCCCAGCCCTCTACAAATAATTTTTTAAAAATTAACCGGGCGTGATGGTGCACACCTGTAGTCTCAACAACCCAGGAGGCTGAGGCGGGAGGATCCCTTGAGTCAAGGAAGTTGAGGCTGCAGTGAGCCAAGATCACGCCACTGCACTCTAGCCTGGGCAACAGAGTGAGACCTTTTACAGTTTTCTGTACCTTCTGGATTTTCTACTATTTTTTCTATTACTTTAAGCACTTTAAGAAAGGGAGCAGATGTTCATTAGTAACAAAAAGTCATGGATCATTCCTGTTAGCTCATTATTTTCTAGCAAAACAGACAGGGTGGGCCACAGGTTAGTTCTGGTGGTGGGATTCAGGCAGGGGTGGCCGGAGTAGCCTCTGAATGCTGCTGAGTGGTGAGATCAGTTGACAGTGCTGCACCTCCTCTCTGACTTCCTCCCCACTTCCC
Organism: Homo sapiens; assembly: GCF_000001405.40. NCBI lineage: Eukaryota > Metazoa > Chordata > Mammalia > Primates > Hominidae > Homo > Homo sapiens. The sequence goes on from NC_000022.11 coordinate 17,573,377, forward strand.
CCCAAAACCTGTCTGCTTCTGACTCTACACCAGAACCATCCTTAGCCACCTCCACGTTTGAAAAATAGAGTCTGGAGTGGTGAGGAGGTAGGACTCAGTATCTGGAAATACTCCTGGAAATGGGGCACCTGGGGGCTGGAGGACTAGCCCAAGGCCAGCCACGGCAGCATGGTGTCTACAGCTGAGGTGTTCTTTCTGTCAAGCCGGTGTGCCTGCTGGCTGACTTCCTTCCCACAGTGCTGAGGAGAGAGTTCCCGAAGCCCCACTGACCCCATCTCTCTCCTTCCCTGCAGGCAGCTTCGGTTCCTAACTTGCATCCTTCATTCCTCACCTCAGAGCTGAGACAGCTCCATGGTTCTCTGCGGTTCAGCCCTGGACAGTCACCAAGGCTCTCTACAAAGTTCTCTCCCAGTAACCCTTGTTCTCTACCCCTTCTCCCTAATCCCTCCCTCTCCACTTCATTGTTTTACTCTGAAGGGTCTCCTAATTGGCCTCTCACTGACTCCCCTCAACCCATTCTTCCAGAATAACTGTCCTCATACTACATTCAATGTGGTATTTTCCCCCTTAAAAGCATTCAGTGTGGCTCACGCCTGTAATCCCGACACTTCGGGAGGTGGAGGTGTGCGGATCAGCTGAGCTCAGGAGTTCAAGACCAGTCTGGGCAACATGGCAAAACCCATCTCTACAAAAATTTTTTTTAAAAAAATAGCCTGACATGGTGTCATACACCTATGGTCCCAACTCCTTGGGAGGCTGAGGTGGGAGGATCGCTTGAGCCTGGGAAGCAGAGGTTGCAGTGAGCTGAGATTGCGCCACGGCGCTCCACCCTGGGCAACAGAGCCAGATCTTGTCCCCTGAAAAAAAGAAGTATTCAGTGTTTTGTTACTGCCTACAGGATCACATTTAAAAATTCACTTTTCATGTTGTGAAAATGCCAATCAAAAAGAAAACAAAAAAATTCCCTTTTAGGAGGGCACATGCTGTCTCTAGCCACCCAGGCTCCCCACGTGTGGCCTAACCTGCCTTTGCAGCCTCCTTCCCACAGTTCTGTTCCCTGAACCCTCTGCTCACACCAAGCCCACATCCAGGGTCTGCACGCCCCACCTTCTGCTTTTAAATGCTTCCTTATTCTTTTTTTTTTTTATTTTTTTTTTTGAGATGGAGTCTTGCTCTGTCGCCCAGGCTAGAGTGCAATGGCGTCGTTTCGGCTCACTGCAATCACCACCTCCCGGGTTCAAGCGATTCTCCTGCGTCAGCCTCCCGAGCAGTTGGGATTACAGGCACGTGCCATCACGTCTCGCCTGACTGATTTTTGTGTTTTTAGTAGAGACGGAGTTTCACTATGTTGGCCAGGCTGGTCTCGAACTCCTGACCTCCTGATCCACCCACCCTCGGCCTCCCAGAATGCTGGTATCACAGGCGTGAGCCACTGTGCCTGGCCAATGTTCCCTTTATTATTATTATTATTATTATTTATATATGTATTTTTTGAGATGGAGTCTCGCTCTGTCGCCCAGGCTAGAGTGCAGTGGTGCGATCTCAACTCACTGCAACCTCCGCCTCCCAGGTTCAAGCGATTCTCCTGCCTCAGCCTTCTGAGTACCTGGGATTACAGACATGCATCACCACGCCCAGCTAATTGTTACATTTTTAGTAGAGACCGGGTTTCACCACATTGGCCAGGCTAGTCTCAAACTCGTGACCTCAGGTGATCCACCTGCCTCGGCCTCCCACAGTGCTGGGATTACAGGTGTGAGCCACTGTGCCCCGTGCTCTCTTATTCTTTAAGTCCCACTTCTCCAAGCCAGCCCTTAGTGACTCTGCACACCTCTGAGCCTTTCAGCACGCACTGTCTAAGCCGCTCAGTTGCCATTAAATGGAATGTGAGGGTTTTAAAAATGTATTTATTAAGCACTCTTTGGTTACCAAGTTACAGAACTCTACTATCTTAAGACAATAAGTCACCTCATTAGAAGCATAGTGGGAGACCCTTTTTGTGGTCAAGGTCAGGAATAAAGTGGATCGCTGTGCAGTAATAAGGCAGAAGTCTCTCCCGCCTTGCATCATCTCTGCGGGTCTGCTTTATTTATCTCTGTTTCCTCAATCATGTGACAAGTTTGCTGATGGGCCCCAAGTTTTATCTGTTACAGGTAAAATGCCCCTAAAAGAGGCTGCATACACTTTAAAAATTCCTATGGAAGGGGTTGAATCATTCAGCTTAAGTCAGGTCTCCATCCTTACACAGTGAACAGTAGCCAGGGGATGGAGTTCCAGGGACGTGGCAGTTCCCAGTGCAACTAACCCGGAATAGCAAGGGGGAAAGGGCAAGTCCTAGAATGGGGTATGCTCACCCACTGCATTCCACCTTTTGACACTAAGAACATGCAAACATGCTATTTCCCGTGTATCAAATTTCTTCTTCTCAATATGATTCAGTTATCACATGTAAATTGTGAATGCACTTGTCTTCCCAGTGCACAGTGACACAATGTCATGGCCAGATGCTGCATCCCAAGGCGGTGACAGGGAGCCTCTGTCTTCCAGCTGGCTGCTTTTCTAGTCCTTTCCCACTTTGTTTCCAAAGAGTTCCAGATGTGTTTTCTCATTGTTCTGCATCCCAGCACTTAGATGATCTTTTCTACCCCAATACCCCCTACACCCTCTAAATTCCTTCAGAAAAGAAGGTAGAGGAGGCCGGGCATGGTGGCTCATGCCTGTAATCCCAGCACTTTGGGAGGCTGAGGCGGGCAGATCAGGAGGTGAGGAGATGGAGACCATCTTGGCCAACATGGTGAAACCCCATCTCTACTAAAAATACAAAAATTAGCCATTCGTGGTGGTGTGAGCCTGTAGTCCCAGCTACTCAGGAGGCTGAGGCAGGAGAATAGCTTGAACCCAGGAGGCGGAGGTTACACAGTGAGCCAAGATCGCACCACTGCACTCCAGCCTGGACGACAGAGTGAGACTCCGTCTCAAAAAAAAAAAGAAAAAAAAAAGAAGTCTATTCCCATCAGTGCCGGAACCAGTAGGAATTCAATTCTGTGGAGGGCAAGGCCTTGCTTTGTTCCCCAGCTGTGTCCCTGCTGCTTAGAACTGCAAATGGCATACAGTAATCACTCAACAAATATCTGTAGCGTGACTAACACTTAGGCTTGTGGGTTGCCTTGGGGGGCAGTTATCGGCCCTGGTGCCAGGTTTGGGGTTTTCATGGTGCTATGACTCCTTTCATACCTTGCCTGGCTAATGGTTTCGCCTTTGTTGCCTGTTACTAATGCATTTACTGCTGCCAGGAATCTTGTCAAGTCATAGGCTTTGATTAGCATAGGCCTGCGAAAGGGAACTTCCGGGGCTGGAACTGCAGCAGCTTGGTACAGCCTCAGGGTAGGGAGGCTCACCCTCCAGCCAAGTGCTCTCCGTGGGTGGAAACATTATCACATCTGTTAGCTATGCTATGGAGTGGCCCTGGGATTAGGGTGTCCCTAATTTCTCTGGCATCTGTTAAATACCCCTATTCCAGTAGCCCAGGCTGGAGTGCAGTGGCGTGATCTTGGCTCACTGCAACCTCCGCCTCCTGGGTTCAAGCGATTCTCCTGCCTCAGCCTCCCAGGTAGCTGGGATTATAGGTGCCCATCACCGCACCTGGCTAATTTTTTTGGGGTGGGGGACAGAGTCTCACTGTGTCACCCAGGCTGGAGTGCAGTGGCACCATCTCGGCTCACTGCAAGCTCCGCCTCCCGGGTTCACGCCATTCTCCTACCTCAGACTCCCAAGTAGCTGGGACGACAGGCGCCCACCACCACACCCGGCCAATTTTTTGTATTTTTAGTAGAGACGGGGTTTCACCATGTTAGCCAGGATGGTCTCGATCTCCTGGCCCTGTGATCCGCCCGCCTCAGCCTCCCAAAGTGCTGGGATTATAGGCGTGAGCCTCCAAGCCCAGCTAATTTTTTGTATTTTTAGTAGAGATGGGGTTTCTCCATGTTGGTCAGGCTGTTCTCAAACTCCTGACGTCAGGTGATCCGCCCGCCTCAGCCTCCCAAAGTGCTGAGATTATAGGTGTGAGCCACCGCACCCGGCCCACAGTTTCTAAAGTAGTAATTTAGTTCTAGAAACAGCAGGGAATATGATTATAAGAGCAGTCACAATGTTCTCAATTATTGGACTCCCTGGCTTCAGACAGAAACAGTTGTGTCCTGTCTATTTTTTTTTTTTTTTTTTTGAGATGGAGGCTCGCTGTGTCACCCAGGCTGGAGTGCAGTGGTGCGATCTCGGCTCCCTGCAAGTTCTGCCTCCCAGGTTCATGCCATTCTCCTGCCTCAGCCTCCTGAGTAGCTGGGACTACATGCGCACACCACCATTCCCCGCTAATTTTTGTGTTTTTAGTAGAGATGGAGTTTCACTATGTTGGCCAGGCTGGTCTCGAACTCCTGACCTTGTGATCCTCCCGCCACCATGCCCAGCCAATTTTTATATTTTTAGTAGAGACGGGGTTTCACCATGTTGCCCAGACTGGTCTCGAACTCCTGACCTCAGGTGATCTGCCGTCCTCAGCCTTCCAAAGTGTTGGGATTACAGGCATGAGCCACTGCGCCCTGCTTCTTTTTTTTTTTTTCTTCTTTGGGGGGCATAGGGTTTCGCTCTGTTGCCCAGGCTGGAGTGTAGTGGTGTGATCTTGACTCACTGCAACCTCCACCTCCTGGCCTCAAATAATCCTCCCATCTCAGCCTCCTGAGTAGCTGGGCCACCATGGCCAGCTAATTTTTTGTATTTTTGTAAAGACGGGGTTTCACTATGTTGCCCAGGCTGGTCTTGAACTCCTGGGCTCAGGCGATCCACCCGCCTCAGCCTCCCAAAGTGTTGGAATTACAGGCGTGAGCCACTGTTCCCGGCCAAACTTAAGTCCTTGAGAACTAGAATGTGTATTTTGTTCACTACTATGTCACCAGACCTGGAGCAGTGCCCAGCACTCAGCAAATGTCTTCCTGAATGGATTAGTGTAGCACCAAGAGAAAGACTAATGTCTCCCCCACCCCTCCTCTCTTTTCTTACCCAAAACAAAATAGCTGGAGACAGCAAAGAATTGCTGGCAACCAGTCTCTCAATTGCTGGAGAGCAGTGAGGAGTGCAGGAGAGCTGGGGACCCTAAAGCAGCTTCAGGGCACCGGAGAGAAGAGGCTCCTCAGAGCCTGGGCCAGCCTGTGCCCAAGCAGAGAGCGTCCGGAGAGCTGCTCCTGACACCACTCCTCTGGGGTTAAAGCAGCCTCACTCTGGCCAGGCATGGTGGCTCACACCTGTAATCCCAGCACTTTGGGAGCCTGAGGCGAGTGGATCACCTGAGGTCGGAAAAAATACAAAAATAAAAATACAAAAATTCGCCCGGTGTGGTGGCACATGCCTGTAATCCTAGCTACTCCAGAGGCTAAGGCAGGAGACTGGTGTGAACCTGGGAGGCAGAGGTTGCAGTGAGCTGAGATCGTGCCATTGCACTCCAGCCTGGGCAACAAGAGCGAAACTCCATCTCAAAAAAATAGCAGGCCCCCTCCTCAGAAGCTGTCATAATTGTTGTAGCTTCCACTTGTCAATTAGGAATATAATGTAGTTTGGTTTCTCAACAAGATCACATGAATTTCAGAAAACACAGTTTAATAGCCAAAAAGTAACTATGGAGCATCTTAAGTGGGTTTTTTGTTTGTTTGTTTGTTTGTTTGTTTGTTTGTTTGTTTGTTTTTGAGACAGTCTTGATCTGTCGCCCAGGCTGGAGTGCAGTGGTGTGATCTCGGCTCCACCACAACCTCTGTCTCCTGGATTCAAGCAATCTCCTACCTCAGCCCCCCAGGTAGCTGGGATTACTAGCCCACCACCACACCCAGCTAATTTTTGCATTTTTAGTAGAGATGGAGTTTCACCACGTTGCCCAGGCTGGTCTCGAACTCCTGAGCTCAGGCAATCCGCCCGCCTCGGCCTCCCAAAGTGTTAGGATTACAGGCATGAGCCACCACGCCCGGCCATCTTAAGTATTTTATTGTAGTCCTTGGACACCAAGAGAGGGATTCCTAGTTCATAGCAACTCCTCTTAAAATCCTTTCCATCCCTTCTGCTTCCTCCAGTGCCACTCCCATGCCTCTGTCCAAAATGCCCCAGACATCCTTTCCTCCAGCCTCAGCAGGCTGCTGTATCCTTCTCTCTCATTCCCCTTCCTTCTTATCTGATCCCCAGAGTCCAAAAGTTCGAGGATTCTGATTTGAATCCCAAAGTCCAAAAGGTTTAGGAAGGGAAAAAAGTGGAGCAAGCGGGCCGCATGAATCCACTAGTGACGTGCGTCCTCGCCCATCTGTGAGGTGAGTGTTTCTCTGACTACTTTGCAGGGGAGGAAGCCGCAGCCCAAGGAGGTCGTCACTTGCCGGGAAGGTGGCTCGGGCCAGGCTGCACTCAAAACCCGTGCTCTGTCCACACTGCTACGGGGCCAGAGCCAAGGAAGCTTCCACTTCTTCCCCCAGACAGCCCCAACAGCGGCTACCCCAAGGAGCCAGCAGCCTTGTGTCCTGGGATCCCCAGCCCCTGCAGAATGACCCACCAGGATCTGAGGTGAGCTCGGCTGGGGCAGCCTGAGGCCCTGGGCCCTGGGCCTGGCGGAGAGTCGCTGTGGTGATAGCACATCCAGGTTTCTGAAGAACAAGCTGAGTCCTAGGGAAGAGCAAGACCCCTGTCCCCCATATAACATATACACTACATCTACTGTGGCAAATACGTACACACAAGCATCTGTGCACATATATGTTATTGTTCAACATAGTTTAATTGTTTGGGTTCATCTTCTCTAACTACAAAATTAAGTTTACAGTTCTCTTTATCGTCCCAAGTTTCTTCCTTTGTGAAAGGCCCACTATCATCTACTCTTACCACTTCCAGGTAAATCCATCTCCAAATATTTTGTTCACAGTCTGCCTCCCGCCTGAAAGATAAGAAAAGTTGAGTGGGTTCCAAGGAGTCTGAGAAAGCTTTGTTTTCTATTTCCCGTCTTCCAAAGCTCCTATACCCAGCAGGGTGGGGGGCCATGTTATCTAAACTGTGGCTTTACTTTTGGCTGGAACTAGGTCACCTCAAGGGCTGACCGACTTGAAGCCTTCACTGTGGGAAGTGCCTGCTCTCTTATTATGAACAATAGCTGGCATTCCCCCCCAGGCACGGTTTCCATAGTCCTCAGCAACCCTGGAGTGAGTTCGACGGGAATGCAGGCCCAGAGAGGAGAGGTCACAGTCAGGATGCAAACTCAGTTCTGCCTGACCTTCAGTCCGTTTGTGTGAGAACTGCACACGTGGCTCCAGGCCTGCGGAGGAGCCAGAGGACGGGCCGGGGAAGCTTGGGGCAGAGCGGTGCCCTGGTGGCGGCCCATGGGGGCAGAGCTGGGCTCCTCCCAGAAGCCCCTGCAGGTCCCAGCTCCAGGGACTTCCCGGGTTGCAGCAAGATGCCTCACCCGGGTGAGTGCGGCTGTCCTGTCTGGACCAGACCTGGGCCAGGGAGGCTGAAGAGGGTCTCTGGACACCTGTGGGGCTGGGGTTCCCCACTGTCTGTGCCCCTGCCCATTCCTGGCTGCATCCGCTCCCTAACCTGCCCCTCCCTCTGCCTCTCTCCTCCCCCTGTCCTCCCCCTGTCCTAGCATCACAGCCAAACTCATCAATGGAGGTGTAGCAGGGCTCGTGGGGGTGACCTGCGTGTTCCCCATCGACTTGGCCAAGACTCGCCTGCAGAACCAGCATGGGAAAGCCATGTACAAAGGAATGTAGGTGCTGGCAGGCGAGCGTGGAGGGCAGAGGCGCCCGGGGGAGGGATGGGGCCCCCTTCCCTCCAGTCTCCAGGCAGCGCGCGTGAGCCTGGGGGCTGGGGATCTGATCAGCTGGGATGTGCCCGCGGGAGCAGGGCATGGAGGCGGCTGGGAGGCCCGCTGCACACTTACTCCTACTCTGGCCTCTGCTTCCAGGATCGACTGCCTGATGAAGACGGCTCGGGCGGAGGGCTTCTTCGGCATGTACCGAGGTGGGCTTCTCAGGTCCCCTGGGAGGCTGGGCAGCAGGTGTGAGCGTATGGGACATGGGGAACTGGTGTTCCTTCCGTTGCTGCGGGGATGGGGCCAGGGCTGCCAGGGGGTCCTTCCTGATGAGCCTCTGTGCTCTTGGGTGGAGACAGAGGCAGCTCTGGGTCCTGGTAAGGCTTCCGGAGACCCACAGAGCACACCCCCCGCCACCGCCTCAGTAAGAGCAGGCGAGCCCTCCCTACCTGCCTGCCTCTCTCTGCCTGGCTAGAAGCGAAGAGAGAGAGGCTGAAAGGGACTGAGGGACGGGGCCTGAGCTCCTGGCAAGGAGTTCTGGGTGGCTCCTCCCCAGCTCGGTCCAGCGTTGCTGCGGTCCCTGCGGGGTCCCCAGCCAGGAGGTACCTTGGACAATGGATCCCAAGCTGGAGTTGAGCCGGAGCTCGTATGCTTGTGCCGCCGAGAAGCAAAACACAAACCCTAGACAGCCCCGAGCTAGCAGCCAATGGGACTGGCTTGTGCGGCACAGAGGAGCGGAACCCCAGTCCCTGCGCCTGGCGCCTGTCACTGGAACTGCTGTTTTATCATCAGCGACCCCACCAGCAGCAACAAAAATAAAATGGCTTCCTGATAACCAAACTGAGGAGTCCGTAAGAAAAAAATACGTAAAAAGGGGAGAATGTGGGGCCGGGCGCGGTGGCTCACGCCTGTAATCCCAGCACTTTGGGAGGCCGAGGCGGGCGGATCACGAGGTCAGGAGATCGAGACCATCCTGGCTAACACGGTGAAACCCCGTCTCTACTAAAAAATACAAAAAAAATTTAGCCGGGCGTGGTGGCGGGCGCCTGTAGTCCCAGCTACTAGGGAGGCCGAGGCAGGAGAATGGCGCGAACCCGGGAGGCGGAGCTTTCAGTGCGCCGAGATCGCGCCACTGCACTCCAGCCTGGGCGACAGAGCGAGACTCCATCTAAAAAAAAAGGAGAATGTGGTAGGGAGTGGGAATGGAAAGTTATTTCAGTGAATTAGGCTCAGGAGCCCCACCTGGCCCCAAAAATGCCCTTCACTCAGGGACTGGCCTGGCTAGGGCTGAAGGGCAGACCTGGGGCACTGTTATTTCTGGGATGGCCTTGACTCCCCATCTTGTCCTTCACTTCCAGGGGCTGCAGTGAACCTCACTCTGGTCACTCCAGAGAAGGCCATCAAGCTGGCGGCCAACGACTTTTTCCGGCGGCTGCTCATGGAAGATGGGTATGGCCAGGTGGGGTGGGGTTGGATCCTTCACTGTGTGTTTTTTGGGAGAGATGGCAGGAAGAAGATTTCAAATGTGCCTCAGTATACCTGCCTGCATGCATATAAATATGTGCACACATGGCTGAGGGCTGGTGTGTGTTTGGGCTGCTGGAGAGTGAAGGGAGAGAATGAGCTGGTATACTTTGGAAGTGTGACAGATAATATAGAGAACATATAGCATATACAGACAAATCCATCAACTAGCCAATAAATTTTTAAAAATCAGCCACCAAGCTGGCTGCAGTGGCTCATGCCTGTAATCCCAGCACTTTAGGAGGTTGAGGAAGGAGGATCGCTTGGGCCCAGGCGGTCGAGGTTGCAGTGAGCCATGTTGGCTCCACTGCACTTCGGCGTGGGTCACAGAGCGAGACCTCGTCTCAGGAAAAACAAATCAGCCCCCAAACACTTTCTAGCTCTCTCTGTGCCTCACATTGCCCAGTGATGTTCCTGAAGGGATCAAGGACAACGCCTGGTCTGGGTAGTTTTCTCTGTCACTGTTTTCAGCTTCCATGCGGTGCTACCTCCCTAGCAGGCTTTGTTTTAAACTTAGTCCCCTGTCCGTACAGAGACCACACCTAAGGGCTAGCTGATGACTTGACCAGCTGGGTGAGTGGCAGCCACGGGTGCCATCCAGGGAAAGTCCCCCTCTCACAAGAGGGCAGCTGCACCAGGGCAGGCCTGTGGCCTGCGGCTGAAGGAGCCTGACGCCTGTTCCCATAGGATGCAGCGGAACCTGAAGATGGAGATGCTTGCCGGGTGTGGGGCTGGGATGTGCCAGGTCGTGGTGACCTGTCCCATGGAAATGCTCAAGATTCAGCTGCAGGATGCTGGACGCCTGGGTGAGGCCTGTCCCCACCTCCTATGGGAACAGTAAAGGGCTGGGATTGGAACCAGGCACATCCCACATCCCAACCTCATTTGCTAGGCTGTGTGACCAGTCAACTTTCCAAGCAGGTAGAAGTTTTTGGCCAGGCATGGTGGCTCATGCCTGTAATCCCAGCACTTTGGGAGGCCGAGGCAGGTGGATCATTTGAGGTCAGGAGTTCGAGACCAGCCTGCCCAACATGGTAAAACCCCATCTCTTCTAAAGATACAAAAATTAGCCGGGCGTGGTGGTGCATGCCTATAATCCCAGCTACTCGGGAGGCTGAGGCAGGAGAATCACTTGAGCCTGGGAGGCAGAGGTTGCTGTGAGCTGAGATTGCACCACTGCACTCCAGCCTGGGCAACAGAGTGAGACTCTGTCTCAAAAAAAAAAAAGTCTTCATTTATGGTTACCCATTTCATCAATGCTGCCAGCTCTAGAACAAATAGCAGAAATGAGAATGTTGATTCAGAGGGTCAGAAAATACTTAAGGCTTCTGTCACATTTTCTTCACAATTAGACTTGATCTCCTAAAGATTTTAAGAAATGCCAGCTGGGTGCCGTGGCTCACGCCTGTAATCCCAGCACTTTGGGAGGCCGAGGCGGGCGGATTATGAGGTCAGAAGATTGAGACCATCCTGGCTAACACGGTGAAACCCCATCTTTACTAAAAATACAAAAAATTAGCTGGGCGTGGTGGCGGGCACCTGTAGTCTCAGCTATCCGGGAGGCTGAGGCAGGAGAATGGCGTGAACCTGGAAGGCAGAGCTTGCAGTGAGTGGAGCTTGCGCCACTGCACTCCAGCCTGGGAGACAGAGCAAGACTCCATCTCAAAAAGAAAAGAAAGAAAGAAAGAAAGAAAGAAGGAAGGAAGGAAGGAAGGAAGGAGAGAGAGAGAGAGAGAGAGAGAGAAAGAAAGAAAGAAAGAAAGAAATGCCGCCCAGCGTGGTGGCTCACGCCTGTAATCCCAGCACTTTGGGAGGCCGAGGCAGGCGGATCACCTGAGGTCAGGGGTTCAAGACCAGCCTGGCCAACACAGTGAAACCCCGTCTCTACTAAAAATACAAAAATTAGCCAGGCGTGGTGGTGTGTGCCTATAATCTCAGCTACTCGGGAGGCTGAGGCAGGAGAATCGCTTGAACACAGGAGGCAGAGGTTGCAGTGAGCTGAGATCACGCCATTTGCACTCCAGCCTGGAGGACAAAAGCGAGAATTCATCTCAAAAAAAAAAAAAAAAAAAAAAAAAAAGAAATGCCAATGACTGGCTCACTGAAACCTCCAGTCAGTATTTTATGCTATAGAAGCTGGCTTTTGGTAGAAAGGCATAAAAAGGGAGAAGAGAATCATTCCCATTCTTTTGTTTTTTTCTTGGAAGAGAAATTTGGCCCTTTCCTAAATCCTGGTCCTCTCAGAATGATGGAGTGGTGTTGGTTCAGCGTGGTACACTCCTGTAATCTCAGCTACTCAGGAGGCTGAGGCAGGAGGATCCAGAGTTTGAGCCCAGCCTGGGCAACATAGCAAGAACTAGTCTCCAGTAAAAAAAAAAGCAGCTGGGCGTAGTGGCTCATGCCTGTAATCCCAGCACTTTGGGAGGCTGAGGCAGGCAGATTACCTGAGGTCAGTAGTTCGAAACCAGCCTGGCAAACATGGCGAAACCCCATCTCTACTAAAAATACAAAATTAGCCGGGCGTGGTGGTACATGCCTGTAATCTCAGCTACTCGGGAGGCTGAGGCAGGAGAATCACTTGAACCCGGGAGGCAGAGGTTGCAGCGAGCGGAGATCGCACCATTGCACTCCAGCCTAGGTGACAGAGCGAGACTCCATCTCGAGAAAAAAAAAACAGAAAGAAAATGTGCGGATAACTAGATTCCTAGTATGAAATATTTTCCTGCTGGATACCAATCAAATCTGGGACATGACATTGGGAATAGCTTCCTTTTGGCAAGGACTTATAATCTAAGCAAAGCTTCTCAGACACTGAGATTTAGGAAAAGAAATACAGAATTTCAGTGTCACAAATCCCATGGTTATTAATGGGGCTCACAACATTTTATTTTATTATTATTTATTTTATTATTATTATTATTATTTTTTTTTTTTTTTTGAGGCAGAGTTTCACTCTGTTGCCCAGGCTGGAGTCCAATGGCACTGTCTTGGCTCACTACAACCTCTGCCTCCCAGGTTCAAGTGATTCTCCTGCCTCAGCCTCCTGAGTAGCTGGGATTACAAGCATGCACTACCACGTCCAGCTAATTTTTTTTTGTATTTTTAGTAGAGACAAGGTTTCTCCATGTTGGTCAGGCTGGTCTTGAACTCCCGACCTCAGGTGATACGCCTGCCTTGGCCTCCCTAAGTACTGGGATTACAGGTGTGAGCCACCGTGCCCGGCCACCTCACAACATTTTAAATGTGGTATAACTCCATTCTAATGAGTAATATTGAACTTATCAAATGATAGGCTCTGAATGATTTAAAGAATCAAATTCTACCAAATAGGGAAGAGTGGGAAGGACCTGCTCACCTTATCTTGGAGGACGAGCAGGAGGAGGTGACCTGGAAGCCTGAGGGAGACCATTCCATCCTATTAGCATTTTAGGACACGGGAATTTCATGTATGTTCTGCCTAATGGTGGAAAGCCACAAATTCTTTTTGTGTCTAGAAATCACCTAGGCTGGGTGCGGTGGCTCACGCCTGTAATCCCAGCACTTTGGGAGGCAGGTGGATCACCTGAGGTCAGGAGTTTGAGACCAGCCTGACCAACATGGTAAGACACCTTCTCTACTAAAAATACAAAAATCAGCCAGGTATGGTGGCACATGCCTGTAATCCCAGCACTTTGGGAGGCCAAGGCAGGTGGATCACCTGAGGTCAGGAGTTTGAGACCAGCCTGACCAACATGGTAAGACACCTTCTCTACTAAAAATACAAAAATCAGCCAGGTATGGTGGCACATGCCTGTAATCCCAGCACTTTGGGAGGCCAAGGCAGGTGGATCACCTGAGGTCAGGAGTTTTGAGACCAGCCTGACCAACATGGTGAAACACCATCTCTACTAAAAATACAAAAATCAGCCAGGTGTGGTGCATGTGCCTATAACCCCAGCTACTAGGGAGGCTGAGGCAGGAGAATCACTTGAACCCAGGAGGCAGAGGTTGCAGTGAGCCGAGATCGCACCACTGCAAAAAAATAAATAAAATAACTAAAAATAAAAATGACCTACATAGGCTGAGAAATGGTTTAGAAATGGAAGCCAGATCAAAACCAGTTTTAATGGGAGGGTAAGGAATGGAGCCCTAAGGAACGTGGCGGAGAAGCAAGCGGGCCAGGCTGTGGCTGTGCTCTTGGGAAGTGTTCTCAGCATTGGGATAGCTCCTGAGATACTGTAGACCTTAGGAAGACGTCCTCAGAGCCAAAAATTAACATTCTAAAATTAGGACATTCTTCTGGATGCCAGCTGAGGTGTCAGCCTGGCCTCTGAACTGTCCCAGGGGCAGGGATTGAGAGCCACACTCAGGAGTGTTTCGTAGCATCTGTTGGGGACCAGGTACTGATGTCTGTCCTTTCCCTTCCAGCCGTCCATCATCAGGGCTCGGCCTCAGCACCCTCCACCTCCAGGTCCTACACAACTGGTTCGGCTTCCACCCACAGGCGCCCCTCTGCCACCCTCATTGCCTGGGAGCTGCTCCGCACTCAGGGCCTGGCTGGGCTCTACAGGGGCCTGGGTGCCACTCTCCTCAGGTGAGCCTTTCTTCCGGTTCCCTAGGACAAGTGCACGGGGGAGGGCACGAGGGCCAGAGAGCTGGTTGTCCCTATCTGCCTCTGTGTCCTTCCCAGAATATCCAAACCCAGGTGAGCAAACGATTTCCATGCTTCCTGTTTTGTCTGGAACTGGCCAGGGTGGCACAGAATGGGTACCTAGAAGACTAAAGTTTTAGGCCGCTTGCATAGTGATGACCAGGCCCACAGGAAGGCTGGGTGTTTTGTGGCCCAAAGGCACCTAAGAAAGCCCTGTCTACAGAGGACCGCAGAGTTCATAGTAATGAGTGGCCAGGCCCCTCATCTTCCCTTAGCCTGCCTGCCCCTGTACAGAACGCATTTCCCGCCTCGGACTTGCCTCTGGCAGTCAAGAGGCTGCAGGTGCTGCAGGGCAGAGGAAGGAGCTGGGACGGCGGAACAGATGGCAACAGCTCTTTTGTCCCCTGCTGTCCCTCACCCACGCTCACGGGGCACAAAAGAAGGGATGAGTCCCCGTGGCTCCTCTCACTGTAAGCCCCACAGCTCACAGCAAAGCTCATTGTCTCACCTTGGGTGGCAGCCCCAGGGCAGCTCGGAGCTCAGTGTTTCTCCTTCCTCTTCTGCAGAGACATTCCTTTCTCCATCATCTACTTCCCACTGTTTGCCAACCTTAACAACCTGGGGTTCAACGAGCTCGCCGGTAAGGCGTCCTTTGCACATTCCTTCGTGTCAGGCTGTGTGGCAGGTTCCATAGCTGCGGTCGCAGTGACGCCTCTAGATGGTAAGGAGTTGGGAGACGTGTCCTTTCTATGGGATAAACAGTAATTTTGCACTTATAGATAAAACAGCCTGACCCTGGAAGCCATACTGGGTTGCAATCTGGCTGCTGGCGGAGGCTCACTAGAGGCCCTCATGGAGAAAGTGGGTCCCAAGAGACCTTCCTTCTGTTTCTCATCCCTGACACATCCCTCGCCTTCAAGATGCTGATTGCTTTAGCTTTTCATCCCCTCAGAAGAGTTGTGAGCCCCAGCTATAAATTATTGCTGATGTGTTAAAATTTGGGGCTGGCTGGGTGTGGTGGCTCACGCTTGCAATCCCAGCACTTTGGGAGCCCAGCACTTTTGGATCACCTGAGGTCAGGAGTTTCAGACCATCCTGGCCAACATGGTGAAACCCCGTCTCTACTAAAAATGCAAAAAAAATTAGCAGAGTGTGGTGGCGGATGCCTGTAGTCCCAGCTACTTGGGAGGCTGAGGTAGGAGAATCATTTGAACCCAGGAGGTGGAGGTTGCAGTGAGCCAAGACCACACCACTGCACTCCAGCCTGGGCGACAGCACAAGACTTCATCTCAAAAAGTAAATAAATACATAAAATTTGCGGCTAATGGTGGGAGCTAAACCTGGCATGAGAAGACAATGCTTCCCTCCGTGTTAGGGCTGCCTCCAGCTCCCTAAACTTGCGGGTAGACTTCCTATACCAACAGTAACCTGGCCAGGTGCGGCGGCTCACGCCTGTAATCCCGAAACTTTGGGAGACCGAGACAGGAGCCCAGGAATTTGAGACCAGCCTGGGCAACAAAGTGAGACCCTGTCTCTAAAAAAAAAAAATGAAAACATTAGCTGGGTGTGGTGGTGCGTGCCTGTAGTCCCAGCTACTCGGGAGGCTGAGGTGGCAAGATCACTTGAGCCCAGATGGTTGAGGCTGCAGTGAGCTGATTGTGCCACTGCACTCCAGCCTGGGCAACAGAGCGAGACCCTGTCTCAACAAAACCAAACAAAGCCACAGTAACATGACTCATTTATTTTATAGCTGAGGCCCAAAGAAGAAGACCTCCACTTACAGATCACACAATGGCAGAACTGGCCTCATGACCGTTTTTTTTTTTCTTTTTTTGTTTTTGAGATGGAGTCTTGCTCTGTTGCCCAGGCTGGAGTGCAGTGGTACAATCTCGGCTCACTGCAAGCTCCACCTCCCTGGTTCAAGCGATTCTCCTGCCCCAGCCTCATGAGTAGCTGGGACTACAGGAACGCGCCACGCCCGGCTCATTTTTGTATTTTTAGTAGAGATGGGGTTTCACTATGTTGGCCAGGCTGGTCTCAAACTCCTGACCTTGTGATCTGCCCACCTCAGCCTCCCAAAGTGCTGGGATTACAGGCGTGAGCCACTGCGCCCGGCCTATGAGTCAGTTTTATATGTGGTGGCTCTACAGGAGGGCCCAGCCCCTTAGTGTTGAGGGGAGGACACCGAAAGTAAGCTGTTCACTACTTACTTTAACTTTTACTTGATTTAGTTCTGAAAACTCGAATCCAAACCCTCAAGAAAGGCCTGGGCGAGGACATGTACAGTGGGATCACCGACTGTGCCAGGTGAGAGCCAGTGTCCCCTCAAATGGTGGCTGGGACAGGTT
Source organism: Homo sapiens (assembly GCF_000001405.40). NCBI lineage: Eukaryota > Metazoa > Chordata > Mammalia > Primates > Hominidae > Homo > Homo sapiens. The sequence continues at coordinate 17,589,707 of NC_000022.11, forward strand.
CCTCTGCGTGGGTGTCTGCCTAGACCAGATTTAGAGACCAACTTGAATTGCTGGGCTCTGGGTTTCTTTGAAGTCTGTCTTTCCCTCACCTCTCAAAGAAAACAGAATGTACTGGGAGCCTTTTTCTTCTTCCTGGCATCCCTACAGCATCTCTCACCAAAGATTCTAGCCACATCAAGCCTGTTTCCAAGGCCTTGACCCAACTGCATAAGTAACCAACCTGCATGCACCTAGCGGGCGAGGCACAGCTCCCACACCGTTGGCCTCTTGCTCTTGTTGTGGAAGGCACTATTCTAAAATGAGAGGTGCACAAATGGAGAGGCTGCCACTGAGGGCTGCTTGCAGAATGCCCCTGCCCATCAGCTCACTGGCTCTTCTTTCTCCCCAGGAAACTCTGGATTCAGGAGGGACCATCTGCCTTCATGAAAGGCGCTGGCTGCCGGGCACTGGTCATAGCACCTCTCTTTGGGATTGCTCAAGGGGTCTATTTTATTGGGATTGGAGAGCGCATCTTAAAGTGTTTTGACTAGACAGAGCTGGAGGTCAAGTCCCTGCGCTTGCCGCCCTCTCTCTAGCTGTTTCACTTAGCCTAGAGGGGGCAAGGGCAGGTGGGGCCACTCTGGCCTGCCTGGTCCTCTGCGTTGTAGTGCTACCTCAATCTCGGGAGAAACAGCCCTATATTCTAACAAGTTGAGCACAGCCTTCTTCCCCTTCGTGTCTACACTCGTTTTCCTTTGTGGGCACAGCTACCAGGGGCTTTTGGAAGCCCCTAACCACCTACTTTTCAACAAAAATGGTACTTTCGTTGTATTAATTGCAGGACCTTAACAGGTAGTCACAATAGAAGGGTTGTTTCTGTATTTTAACATTTCTATTTCACAGTCAAACTCGGCATTCTTCAGTCAGCTTGAGGATTTAGCATTGTTAATCTTGGACTCCATAACTTATGAGTCCTAGCACTGATTTTGAGGAAAAGGAGGATCAGAAGTTCAAGGGACCGTGAAAGCCCTCAGAGTCAGCACCTAGTTTGAGACCAAGCACCCTTTCGAATCCCTGGATGGCTGAGGGGGCTGAGGCCGGCTCTGACTGGGCAGCTCAGCCCCTCCCCCAGAGCCCAGGGTCTTGCACACCCCTCCCTGTAACCAAGGAACACTCTGAAATAAAGGTGAATGGCTAAAATCTCATCTGTTCATCAGTGGGTACAGCAGATAGGCTGCAGTGAATGCTATCACCATCTACTTTTCTACGTCCATTTCAAAACCAAACATTAAAAAGGGCATAGAAGCAGACCCCCGTCACTCTTCAAACTGTTACTTGTGGGGGTGGAGGAACACAGCCATAGGGAAATATCTGCTTGTTAGTGACACTGGGTTTTAAGCCTTGATTCTATCCCTTCATAAGTGAATCGTCTTGAGGAGCTGAGTTTGCTGTGAGAGCCCTCCTCACGCACCTCGATTCCTCCCCCAAAGGCTGCTACAGGAGAGATAATGTCACAGCAGCAGGGCCAAGTCCTAAGAAAATCAGCACCTGCTGCAGGAGCTGGTGTTTACAATAGTCCCATCTACTGTGAAACCTGGGCTAACAAGGAAGAGGATGGTGCTAACATGGTCAGCCCTGGGGGCCTCACTCTCTGTTATGAGAACTGCATTTGAGTATGGGCCCTGGAGACAGACCTCAGTTCAAGTCCCAGCTCCACCATGTACTAGCTGCAAGGCCCTGGGCAGCTCTTAGTCGTCACCTACGGAAAAATAAAACATGGGACAGGGAAGGAAGAACAGGGCCTCTGTGAAAGGATCTGGTTCCAGCACACAGTGACCTGCTCCAAAATAACTCGGTTTTTTGGGTCTGGCGCCGTGGCTTACGCCTGTAATCCCAGCACTTTGGGAGGCCGAGGCAGGCGGATCCGAGGTCAGGAGATCGAGACCATCCTGGCTAACACGGTGAAACCCCGTCTCTACCAAAAAATACAAAAAATTAGCCAGGCGTGGTGGCGGGCGCCTGTAGTCCCGGCTACTCCGGAAGCTGAGGCAGGAGAATGGCACGAACCCGGGAGGCGGAGCTTGCAGTGAGCCGAGATGGCACCACTGCACCCCAGCCTGGGCAACAGAGCGAGACTCCGTCTCAAAAAAAAAAGAAAAAGAAAAAACAAACAACTTGGTTTTTCTCATTCGGGCAACACTAATAAAACTATTTCCTCAATAAAGTTGTGCACGTCACGCTGAAGAGCCATGTGGGGTGTGTGGAAGATTGCAAGGGTGGAAAGAATGCTCCTGGTGATGGGCTGGGAACAACGGGCAACAGCCCAGGGGACCCCCAGAGGGTTAACGGGTCCAGGTGCTGACAGCTGTCACCATCAAGTGCCACGGGGATTGGGAAAATACTTCTTTTCTAGGTGCCTCAGTAAGAATTTGACTCTGTCAAAACCTAAATTTGTAGTGCCTTACACTAGAAATCACATTAAATCCGCATAACTCTTTTAATAAATAAAGCATATTCATGGCTTAGATTTTAAATCACATTTACAGATGAGGGAAAACTTCTAGGCCTAAACAGGTAACAGTAAAGCGACTACTGCTGGAAGGAGTGGTGTGCCACATGCGCCTTAAGCCTCAAGAGTGGGGACTGCAGGGCCAAACACCAAATACATCACCTTTAGGCCAGACGGAGAGTGGAGACCCAGGAAGCCCATGCAACCACCATCTGCCCCCTCCCCTAGTGCTGCAGAACCGGCTGGACACTGTCACACTTTCAGAAGAACTGGAGGTGGGTCCTGATCATATTACATGAAGCTTTCCACCATTGTGAACAATTAGGCAAGGCATGAGTGACAGAGGGGCATCGCTGATAAATACAGAGCAATACTGGGGCAGTGAAGAGGAAGCTACAGAGACATTCGTGTTTCTTCAAATATCAGAAGCTTCCACATCACAGCAGGAGAGCTGACGACGAGCTCCACCTCCTGAAGGCTTAGTCCAAAAACTTCCTGTTGGCATTTGCACCAAACAAGGCTCCCCGGACTTCTGGCATCATCTGTGGAGAGAAAGTGTAATAAATACGCAATGTCAGCTGAAGAAGTTGTAGAGCGCTGCACATCTTTTTTTTTTTTTTTTTTTTGAGACGGAGTCTCGCTCTGTCGCCCAGGCTGGAGTGCAGTGGCGCATCTCCGCTCATTGCAAGCTCACGCCATTCTCCTGCCTCAGCCTCCCAAGTAGATGGGACTACAGGTGCTTGCCACCATGCCTGGCTAATTTTTTTGTATTTTTAGTAGAGACGGGGTTTCACCATGTTAGCCGGGATGGTCTCGATCTCCTGACCTCGTGATCCACCCGCCTCGGCCTCCCACAGTGCTGGGATTACAGGCGTGAGCCACCAAGCCTGGCCAGAGTGCTGCACATCTTAACCACAGGTGGAAAGCCATGAACCTCTATGTGGCTGGGAAGGACTCACAAAGCCACGCACATCAAAGCCACCCTCTCCTTCCCTGAAGCAAGTAACACATTCCTTGGTGAGAAACTTAACTCATCCCAAATCTGGGGTTCAGACTGCTTACAAAAGGGACACATTAAAAAAAAACAAAACAAAAAAAAACCTAAAGTCACTACTATCTCAGACTTAACTCATCATAATCATCTCACCACAATATGCTGGGTCACCTACACTCTTTCTTCAACAAACATTTACTGAGTGCCTACTATGGCCACAGCAGCTGCAAAGAACACTTCCAATGCCAGCTTAGGCTGGAAGCACTTGCTACAGCCACTGATGAATCCTTAGGAGAACTTAACCCTGGACTTCCAAGGCTCGGCTGTCCAACAGGGCAGTCCTAGCTACAGATGGTTATTGTGTGCTGAGAAACTGAATTTTTCGGTTTAATTAAATATCCGTAAGTGAGTAGTGGCTATGATACTGGATGGGACAGTGGCTACTAGGAAACAATGTTCTGAGGTTTAAGTTACCAGAATATGAAAAAATCAAGGTGAAAGTGCTTTAGTTATAAGACAAGTATCTGCATAAACAGTAAACTGCATATCTAGGTCAGGGAATAACTAGGTTGGCAGCCACAGCAATAGACTCCCACTAGAAGTCTAGAAGATGCCCAGCATTTTAGAACAAATGGAATTTTCCTGGCTTGTTTCCTAGAGTTCCTGTGTACAAATCTGGAAACATCTGAAAAGCCAGCAGCTTTATGATAATTCCTTTAAATAAGTATTTGTGTCTGAGCACGGTGGCTCACACCTGTAATCCCAGCACTTTGGGAGGCCAAGGCGGGTGGATCACCTGAGGTCAGGAATTTGATAACAGCCTGGCCAACATGGTGAAACCCCGTCTCTACTAAAAATACAAAATTAGCCGGGTGTGGTGGCAGGTGCCTGTAATCCCAGCTACTCGGGAGGCTGAAGCAGGAGAATCGCTTGAACCTGGGAGGTGGAAGTTGCAGTGAGCCAAGACTGCACTCCAGCCTGCGCAAAAAAGAGTGAAACTCCATCTCAAAAAAGCAAAACAAAACAAAAAAACACAAGTATTTGCTTTAGTTCCCATCACTCCTGTTAGAGAAAGAACTTGTCAGCACCTTACATGTAGTAAAATGTACATATTCGAATCCTAGGTCAACAAAACACTTGTTCTGACCCCAAATTCACCCTCATGTAAATGTTACCACCTCAGCAAATGCTACTACATGCCCAATTCTCATTCTTTTTGAGAAAATGTCCAAAACTGGAAAGACAGCAACAAATCCCAAATACCAGTGAATGGACACGTGTTCTCTGTCCCACTTCAAAGTAACAGCAGACCAACTACCAAGAAGTACCCCCACACTCACCTGCTGGGCTATGAGATCCAGCCGGCTTTCCAGGGTGTTGGAAACCTTTATTTTACGATCTCCATTATAGATCTCAACTCCACCAGCTCTGCAAAAAAAAAAGCACAGGAAATAATCATTTTCAAAGACTTGAGAAAGATACATGGTACCCTTTACTCCCGCAGAGGAATGCCCTTGTCTTGGTGTGTAGACTGCGCAACCTAAGCAACAGGCTTGAAAGGAACTGAAAAAGCTTCTGAAGATGTAACGCACAGTTGGTTTCAGGAAACCCCAGTCCCCGCCTAGATGTCCATTATATGAAACAGCGTAGTATTTGCATACAACCATCACACATCCTCCCCTATATTGCAAATCATGTCTACAGCACTTAAAATAGCTAATACGATGTAAATGGTTGTTATACCGTAGTGTTTAGGGAGTGAAAAGAAAAAGTTGGTTGAATTCACAGGTGTGGACCCCAAAGATACAGAGAACTGACTGTATTCATCTCAATAACTGTCATTTACCAAGTGACACTATGTGTCAATTTGTTTTGTTTTTTTTGAGACTCGCTCTGTTGCCCAGGCAGGAGTGCAATGGTGCGATCTTGGCTCACTGCAACCTCTGCCTCCCGAGTTCAAGCAATTCTCCTGCGTCAGCCTCCCCAGTAGCTGGGATTACAGGCACCTGCCATCACGCCTGGCTAATTTTTGTATTGTTGTAGAGACGGGGTTTCACCATGTTGGCCAGGCTGGTCTTGAACTCCTGACCTCAGGTGATCCGCCCACCTCTGCCTCCACAAGTGTTGGGATTACAGGAGTGAGTCACCGCGCCCAGCCTGTGTCAATTTGATTTTATGTTACAAAACCTGTTTTAATTATCACAGCCAGCCCTCCCCAACAAAATGAAAAAGAGAGGATTTCATCTCAGTTTGCAAATCACTCAATCCTCATCTGAATGTTTTCTTAAGCCCAATCCTGCTCATTACTGATGAGGCCCTATCACGACTGCATGTGTGTCTGATAAAAGATGCCACTGCTGGCCGGGCGTGGTAGCTCACCCCTGTAATCCCAGCACTTTGGGAGGCCGAGGTGCTCCCAAACTCAAGTTTGAGGCCAGCCTGGCCAACATGGCGAAAGCCTGTCTCCACTAAAAATACAAAAATTAGCTGGGCATGGTGGGGCGTGCCTGTAGTCCCAGCTACTTGAGAGACTGAGGCAGGAGAATTGCTTGAACCCAGGAGGCAGAGGTTGCAGCAAGCCGAGATCACACCACTGCACTCCAGCTTGGGTGACAGAAAGAGACCCTTACTCAAAATACAACAACAACAACAAAAAAAGAGGCTGGGTGCGGTGGCTCACGCCTGTAATCCCAGCTCTTTGAGAGGCCGAGGTGGGCAGATCACGACATCAGGAGATTGAGACAATCCTGGCTAACAAGGTGAAACCCCGTCTCTACTAAAAATACAAAAAAAATTAGCGAGGCATGGTGGCGGGTGCCTGTAGTCCCAGCTAATCGGGAGGCTAAGGCAGGAGAATGGTGTGAACCTGGGAGGTGGAGCTTGCAGTGAGCCGAGGTCGTGCCACTGCACTCCAGCCTGGGTGAGAGTGAGACTCTGTCTCAAAAAATAAATAAATAAATAAATAAGATAAAAAATGCTATGAGGTTAGTGCTAATACGTCAATTTACAGATAAGGGAATCAGGGCTCACTACTATGGTTTGAGTCTGTTCCCTCAGAAACTAATGGTGAAATTTGATTCTCAATGTGGCAGTGTTGGGAGGTGGAGCATAGTAGGAGGTGTTCAGGGCTCAAGGGCAGATCCCGAGGCAATGAACTGTGGCGAGGGCCTGGATTCTAGCTCCGGCAGGACTCGACTGTGAGCAGAGGGTGGGCTGGTATGATAGGGAGTCTGGTTCCCTAGGCTCTCTGGCCTCCTCTCTCGCCATGTGGTCTCTATGCACACACCCACTCCCCTTCCACCTTCTGCCATGAGTGGAAGCAGCCTGAGGCCCTCACCAGATGCAGCTGTCCAATCTTGAACTTTCCAGCCATGAGAATCATGAACCAAATAAACCTCTTTTCTCCATGAATTACCCAGCCTCGGGTATTCTGTTATAGCAACACTAAATGGACGACACCACTCAATGAAACTGAATAAACGAGTCCAAGATTACCCAGGTAGTAAGTGGCAGAATCAGGAATCTAACCCAACTCTGACAGCATATCTTATGAGTTTATATACTTTTTCCATTTACAGAGCATTTTCACATGTACTATCTCATCTTTTTTTCTTCACTGCATGAAACAAAAAAGCAAAAAGCAATGATCCTATTTTACATATGATGAATTCAGTCTCCAGGTCCCATAGTAGCAAAAGGCCAAGATAGGACTCAAATCTAGGTCTTACATTCCTAAGTGTGATAATCAGCTAACTTCAAAATGTGTCCAAGGCACCAGGCATGGTGGCTCACGCCTGTAATCCCAGCACTTTGGGAGGCCGAGCGGGCAGATCACGAGGTCAGGAGATCGAGACCATCCTGGCTAACACAGTGAAACCCCATCTCTACTAAAAATACAAAAAAATTAGCTGGGCGTGGTGGCAGGCGCCTGTAGTCCCAGCTACTCAGGAGGCTAAGGCAGGAAAATCGCTTGAACCTGGGAGGCAGAGGTTGCAGTGAGCCAAGATCATGCCACTGTACTCCAGCCTGGGTGACAGAGTGAGACTGCCTGTCTTAAAAAAAAAAAAAAAGTGTCCAAGGTACTTTCTTCAATGTTAGTCAGTAGTGTGGCTAGGTGGCCTCAGACAGGCCAGTGAAATCGAGAAAATGACACTGGCTCTCCCCTTGTCAGGAGTTTCTACTGCCTACCCCAGCTACACAAAGCTTGTTAGGAACACTGATCCCAGAAATGTTC